>NC_000016.10:21213758-21516789 GCF_000001405.40 Homo sapiens
GGATAGAGATGGTAAAAGGATTTCATTTTATAGCCAAAGCATGATAGCAATAGTTTCTCCTTCTATGCATATTTTTCTGAAAAGTGGCACCTTTTCTACAAATATAATTTATTGCCACAATGGTTAAGACTATGATAAGACATTAGAGGAAAAAGGAGCATAGACGTGAGACTCAGAGCCCTATTGAGAAGGTGGTCAGAGAAGTGATGGGTTAATGTGCTTATTCAGCCTCCCTCAGACCCCACCTCCCTTCCCACCGCGCTACTCACTCCCCTCGAGATGGTGTCTTTCTCCAGAGCGGGAAGTTTTTGCCTTGGAAAGGGCAGCTTTGGTCAGAGCCCCCAAATTTGGGGTTTCTAAAAGGTTAAGGGGCAGCACAGAGACCCCAAGCAGGAGATGTGGTGAGAAAGCCCGCTGTGGGCTGGTGAAGCTGGTATGTGCACCAGAGATTAATTTTGTTTGTCTCACCTAACCCAGACCTGTGGTGTGCTGGGGACAGCCACCGAACAAATGGCTCTGGGCCCAGGAGCATCCATGTCTAGGATTCTGCTCCGGAAAAGCAGGAAGCTACCATCTGTTCAGCAACTGACTTTGAACACAGGAAGAAATAGCTGCTCCGTAAAACAGTGTCTCCTATCAGGAGGTAGGAAAAACTAAAGTTATTACAAAAATGATTCTTAACATTCTGTTCTCACTTATAAGTGGGAGCTGAACAATGAGAACACATGGACACAGGGAGGGGAACATCACACACTGGGTCCTGGTGACAGGGGTTGGGGGGTGGGGGCAGGGAGAGCATCAAGATAAATAGCTAATGCATGCGGGGCTCAATACCTAGGTGATGGGTTGATAGGTGCAGCAAACCACCATGGCACACGTTTACCTATGTAACAAAGCTGCATGTCCTGTACATGTATCCTGGAAATTAAAATTAAATTTAAAAAAATATTGCGCTAAATAGGCCCGGTGCAGTGGCTCACGCCTGTAATCCCAGCACTTTGGGAGGCTGAGGCGGGTGGATCACCAGAGGTCAGGAGTTTGAGACCAGCCTAGCCAACATGGTGAAACCCTGTCTCTACCAAAAATATTAGCTGGGCATGGCGGCACACACCTGTAAATCCTGCTACTCGGGAGGCTGAGGCAGGAGAATCGCTTGAACCCAGGAGGCAGAGGTTGCAGTGAGCCAAGATTGTGCCACTGCACTCCAGCCTGGGCAACAAGAGTGAAACTCTGTCTCAAAAAAAAAAAAAAAAAAAAGGCAGTAAACAAACAGCAGACCTCGTTCAAATATATGTGTTCCACACTCTTTTCAATGAACCTCTTAAAGTTTGCTGATTTATTATTACAAGGTGTTCCTTCTCCTCTTCTCTGCCCTGGGTTCTATGTATCATGAAACCATTTCTCTCTTGCTAATCACAAGGCATTTCTTGACGGGGTTCTCATACATAAAAGAAAGACTATAGTTTTGTTGTTGCCTCATTTGGGCAGATGTCTTCCTTTCTGAAGTGTGGTTCTTATAAATGACAGTTTATAATTCTTAAATTCTGAATCTGCTGCCCTTGTTTTCCACAACAATTATAAAAGTATTTATAAAAGACAACCTAAATATCACCATCTAGAGATGGTTGGATAAACTATGGAATACTCTTCAGCTACTGCAAATGATTCTATGAGTTCGTTCAGATCTGTGAGTACTGACATGAAAGATGTCTGCAATAAAACTGGAATTTCAGGGCTATATATCTACTATGCTTTCATGTTTTGCTTTAATAGGAAAATGAAAAACCTGTCGACCTAAAGGAAGGAGAAGAGAATATAGTTTTAAAGAGTTTACTTGAGGCAAAGTGTGGACAGCTGCCCAGGAAACACTTCCAAGTTGCCTTGGTGAGTTCTCCACTTTTGTCACAAGTGGGTGTTTTTTTTGTTTTGTTTTTTGTTTTTTTTAGACAGAGTCTTGCTCTGTCGCCCAGACTGGAGTGCAGTCGCACGATCTCAGCTCACTGCAAGCTCCGCCTCCCAGGTTCACGCTATTCTCCTGCCTCAGCCTCCCGAGTAGCTGGGACTACAGGCGCCCACCACCACGCCCAGCTAATTTTTTGTATTTTTAGTAGAGATGGGGTTTCACCGTGTTAGCCAGGATGGTCTTGATCTCCTGAACTCATGATCCACCTGCCTCAGCCTCCCAAAGTGCTGGGATTACAGGCGCCCACCACCATTCCTGGCTAATTTTTTGTATTTTTAGTAGAGACGGGGTTTCACCATGTTAGCCAGAATGGTCTCCTAACCTCGTGATCCGCCCACCTTGGCCTCCCAAAGTGCTGGGATTAGTGGCTGATACAGTGTTTCTTGACTCATTGATTTACAGAAATAACACTGATTAGCTGGGTACAGTGGCTCACACCTGTAGTCACAGTGACTCAGGAGGCTGAGGTGGGAGGATAGCTTGAGCCCAGGACTTTTAAGGCAGTCTGGGCAGCATAGCAAGATCCCATCTCAAAAAAAAAAAAAAAACACTGATTAGTGATTGGCTATACATTGTTGAACTATAGGGTATGATTAATGGCGTCCAGCATATGGTATGAGTTATGATGTCCAGTGTATGGCATAGTTAGGTTAATTTTATGGCTACTTGGTGTCAGTCTAGAGCCCACATATCAAGTAGCTCCAAGAGATAATTACTGAGCCCGAGGGAGTGAGGTGTGACTGCTGTCACGTTTCAATGCCTCTCTGGGCCTGATAATTTAAAGGGACTTGCATTCTTCAGATAAAAAGTTTCTTTTCTTTCTCAAACTTATGTGTATATTTATACTTTATGTGTCTGCATGTGGGTCTATACATATGTATTTGGATTACAAGTCAAGAAAGTTGTCCCAGAGAATCGACAGCATCATCCAGGAAAGGAGAGGGTTGCCAGGGTCCGGGGAGTCCACGTGGCTGTGCTGGGCATTTGCGACCATTGTCTATTCTGACTTGTTCGTGCTTTTGCTGTATGGGTTTTAAATACATTGAATATCATCACCGGGAATAGGATTAAGGAGATGGGAGGGTTGGAGCACAGAAAACAATTCCCCAAATGTGCCTGGGCATGCCAAGTGCTTTGGAAAATTAAAAGGCTTCAGAAATAAGCCTCAGAATCAAGGTCTCTCTATCCTTGCCTTGTTCCCTTTCCACCCCCAAAGTACAGGAAGGAACTCTCTCTGGGGAAAAAAAAAAGAAAGCTCCTTCTTTTTTTTTTTTTTTTTTTTGGCAGGGCTTTGGTCTTGTTGCGCAGGCTGGAGTGCAATGGCATGATCTGGGCTCACTGCAACCTCCACCTCCCAGGTTCAAGTGATTCTCCTGCCTCAGCCTCTCAAGTAGCTGGGATTACAGGTGCACGCCAGCAACCATGGCTAATTATTTTTTTTTTCTTGTATTTTTAGTAGAGACAGGGTTTCACCATGACGGTCAGGCTGGTCTCAAACTCCTGACCTCAAATGATCCACCTGCCTTGGCCTCCCAAAGTGCTGAGATTACAGGCATGAGCCACTGGGCCCAGCCAAGGCAGCTTCTTAACAGAAGAAACACTATTGCCTTCTATCCCCTCCCTGAAATCTCATTATCTATAGCAGGAAAGGAGACTAAGGAATGTAACCACACATGGACAGACTTTTCCACAAGATAATGTCAGCCTCTGAAGCTCAGTCAAATTCCAAAGATAATTATGTACAAGTTAATTTCTCTCTCCCTGGTCTGTTCATTCTCCCTGATAATCATTATTGCCCCTCAAGAGAATTGTCTACAGTCCCCATCTCCTCCCTCCCCTATGAAAAACTGTATATACAGCCAGGCACGGTGGCTCACACCTGTAATCCCAGCACTTTGGGAAGCCGAGGCAGGTGGATCACCTGAGGTCAGGAGTTTGAGACCAGCCTGGCCAACATGGCGAAACCCTGTCTCTACTAAAAATATAAAAAATTAGCCAGGCATGGTGGTGTGTGCCTGTAATCCCAGCTACGCAGGAGTCTGAGGCAGGAGAATCGCTTGAACCCGGCGGGCAGAGGCTGTAGTGAGCCGAGATTGCACCACTACACTCCAGCCTGGGCAACAGAGCAAGACTCCATCTCAAAAAAAAAAAAAAAAGAAAACCCACCGTATATATGCATCTGTGCCCCACTGAGGGTTTAGGGGCAATTACTCTGTGATTCCCACCTTCCCCTGCACATTAATAATTTTGTATGAATTTTTCTCTTATTCATCTGCCTTTGGTCAGTTTATTTTCAGTGAACTTTCAGAGTGCAAAGGTGGGAGTTTTCTTCCTTCAGCCCTTAAAGAATAAGTAACTCCTGCCTTTCTGACTTTGAGGGAGAAGAAAAGGAAAAATCATTTGGGATAAACAGGCTGCACCTGCACACAGATAAGCAACTTTGTCTAATTAGCGAGCTCCTAGGAAAAAGTTTCCTCCCCTTTTCAGACATATCCATGGTGGGAACTTACACAGGGAGGAGGGGGGCTTACCTAAAACAAACCCGCAGTTATCAAAACAAGAGACGCAGGCTTTGTGCTTGCCTAGATACATGCCCACAGTTGCGTAAGATACCGGGAGTTGCACAGACAGCTTTACTGATGAGAAGTTACTCAAACTGCTAGAGATGAGAGAGGAGTTTCTTAAAAAAGCTTTTGAATTCAGCTGTAACCTGGCAATCCACTTGGACTCCCCTCTCTGCTGCAGAGAATTTTTTTCTTTCACTTATTACTATTCTTTTTTGAGACGGAGTTTCGCTCTTGTTGCCCAGGCTGGAGTGCAATGGTGTGATCTCGGGTCACTGCAAACTCTGCCTCCTGGATTCAAGAGATTCTCCTGCCTCAGCCTCCCAAGTAACTGGGATTACAGGCATGCCCCACCACACTCGGCTAATTTTGTATTTTTAGTAGAGATGGGGTTTCATCATATTGGCCAGACTGGTCTCAAATTCCTGACCTCAGGTGATCCACCCACCTCGGCCTCTCAAACTGGTGGGATTAGAGGTGTGAGCCACCACACCTGGCCTCTTTCCCTCATTAAACTTTCACTCCAACCCACCTTTGTGTCCATGTTCCTTAATTTTCTAGGAGGTAGGACAAAGAACCCAGGGTACTAGTTCAGACAATGAGAAAGTCTACATTAAGGTGCATTGGTGAGGTTCCAACAACTTTATTCCCTCTGTTTTGGTTGAATTGTTTTAGTGATAAAATAACCAATTAAATAATTATAGACTGGGCATGGTGGCTCACGCCTATAATCCCAGCACTTTGGGAGGCTGAGGCTAGAAGATAACTTGAGGCCAGGAATTCAAAACCACCTTCGACAGCATGGCAGGACCCTGTCTCTTAAAAATTTATTTAGTTAGTTAGTTTTAGTTTTTTGAGACAGAGTCTCACTCTGTCACCCATGCTGGAGTCCAGTGGTACCATCTGTGCTCCCTGCAACCTCTGCCTCCCAGGTTCAAGCTATTCTTATGACTCAGCCTCCCCAGCAGCTGGGACTACAGGCGTGTGCCACCACACCTGGCTACTTTTTGTATTTTTAGTAGAGATGGGGTTTCATCATGTTGGCCAGGCTGGTCCTGAACTCTTGACCTCAGGTGATCCATCCGCCTTGGCCTCCCAAAGTGCTGGGATTACAAGTGTGAGCCACCGTGCCTGGACAAAAAAAAATTTTTTTTAATAATAATTTTGACTGATTTCTGAGTGAGCTACCTAAGTTACAGAGTCTAAGGCTCAAGGATGAAAACTCAGTAGTATAAAGGTAAAAAGGCGAAATGAATGGATCCGGAACTTGAGGCTTTGAAACAAAGTCCAACTCCCTATGGTAAAATGAAGATATTAAGAGGTTTAATATCTAAAGAGGTTTAGTGACTTGCTCCAGGTCATTTACCAAGTTAGTAGCAGATAGAGCTCCAGTGAGAAACCAGGTCTCCTGATGCCTCTCCCTGCCCTTTCTAATTCATTTCAATTTTCTCTCTCTCGCTGTGTGTGTGTGTCTGTGCATGCGGGGGTGTTTTAAAACTCTGTGCTTCTCTTGCAGTTCACTTGTCTTTTAAAAGTACAAGATGACATTAATTAGAATTTTAGCAGTATAAGATAAATAATATAAAAACTTCTCCCAGTTATGCTAATGCAGCTCAAAATAGCTTTCAAATATCAAATATGAATTTAACTTGGAAAAATAAGATAGACTATGTCAATGAGAATGTTCTCGAACATCATATGGTAGTTCCTTTACCAATCTAATATACAATGTTAATGTTGTTTTCCCCTTGGGTCCTTTAGACAGATCCAAGTTGAATGAGCCTTCTGACAGTAATAAATTCAGAAAGAACTAGGATGAAAGCTTTATCGATCTATAAATATAAAGGTAGGGCGGCATCAATATATGGAAGACAGAAGGCCCAGAAGTCTTTTTTTTTTTTGAGATGGAGTCTTGCTCTGTCGCCCAGGCTGGAGTGCAATGGCGTGATCTCGGCTCATGGCAACCTCCGTCTTCCAGGTTCAAGAGATTCTCCGGTCTCAGCCTCCTGAGTATCTGGGATTATAGGCATGTGCCACCACGCCCAGCTAATTTTTGTACTTTTAGTAGAGATGGGGTTTCACCATGTTGGCCAGGCTGGTCTCGAACTCCTGACCTCAAGTGATCTGCCCCCTCCAGCCTCCCAAAGTGCTGGGATTATAGGCATGAGCCACCACACCTTGCCTTTTTGTCTTTTTTAACTGTTGTTGCTTTAACGTCTGTTTTGACTGATACAAGAATAGCTATTCCTGCTCACTTTTGATGTCCGTTTGCATGGAATGTCCTTTTTCACCCCTTTACTTTAAGTTTATGTGAGTCCTTACATGTTAGATGAGTCTCTTGAAGACAGCAGATACTTGGTTGCTGAATTCTTATTCATTCTGCCATTCTATATCTTTTAAGTAGAGCATTTAGTCCATTTACATTCAGTGTTAGTATTGAGAAGTGAAGTACTATTCTATTCGTTGTGTTAGTTTTTGCCTGAATACCTTGTGTTTTTTTTTTCATTGTGTTTTTGTTTTATAAGTCCTGTGAGACAATGCCTTAAGGAGGTTCTATTTTGGTATATTTTGAAGATTTGTTTCAAGATTTTGAGCTACTTTTAGCAGTTCTTGTAGTGCTGGCTTGGTAGTGGCAAATTCTCTCAGCATTTGTTTGAAAAAAAACTGTGTTTTTCCTTCATTTATGAAGCATAGTTTCACTGGATACCAAATTCTTGGCTGATAATTATTTTGTTTAAGAAGGCTAAAGACAGGACCCCAATCCCTTCTAGCCTGTAGGGTTTCTGCTGAGAAATCTGCTGTTAATCTGATAGTTTTTCCTTTATAGGTTACCTGATGCTTTTGCCTCACAGCTCTTAAGATTCTTTCCTTCATCTTGAATTTGATCATTATGTGCCTACATGATAATCTTTTTACGGTGAATTTCCTGGGTGTTCTTTGAGCTTCTTGTATTTGGATGTCTAGATCTTTAACAAGGCCAAGGAAGTTTTCCTCAATTATTCCCTCAAATATCTTTTTCAAACTTTTAGATTTCTCTTCTTCCTCAGGAATGCCAATTATTCTTAGGTTTGGTCATTTAACATACTCCCAAACTTCTTGGAGACTTTGTTCATTTTTAAAATCCGTTTTTCTTTGTCTTTGTTGGATTGGGTTAACTCAAAAGCCTTGTCTTCGAGCTCTGCAGTTTTCTTCTACTTGTTTGATTCTTGTTGGAGAATACCTGGATACTCATTTGGTTGTCTTTATCCTAGATGGGTATGTGGGTTTGCCTATGCTGAGGTTGTTTCAAGAACCAAGAGAAGTCAATATTGTAAGAGATTAGTGGTATGTGTATGTGTATGTTTATGCATGCATATAGATACATATATATGTTTTTCTAGAGTAGCTTGCATATAAAGGGGCAGTGATATAGCAAGAAATAAGCTGCTGTTTTTAACTATGGCAGGACTCTGCTTGTTCAGAGAGTGTGTAAGATGCCCACACAGCAATGACACTATGGGATGAAGGGGTGCCCTGCCCCTCCAAACCTGTGGGTGTTTTCTTGTCGGGTGGGATGAGAGACTAAGAAAAGAAAGAGACACAGAGACAAAGTATAGAGAAAGAAAAGTGGGCCCAGGGGATCGTCGCTCAGCATACGGAGGACCATGCCGGCACCAGTCTCTGAGTTCCCTTAGTATTTATTGATCATTATCTCTACCATCTCGGAAAGGGGGATGTGGCAGGACAATAGGGTAATAGTGGGGAGAGGTTCAGCAGGAAAACATGTGAACAAATGTCTCTGTGTCATAAACAAAGTTAGAAAAGGTGCTGTGCCTTGATGTGCACATACAGAAACATATCTGGTGCATTAAAGAGCAGTATTACCGCCAGCATGTCTCACCTCCAGCCTTAAGGCAGTTTTCTCCTATCTCAGTAGATGGAACATACAATCCGGTTTTACACTGAGACATTCTATTGCCCAGGGACGAGCAGGAGACAGGTGCCTTTCTCTTATCTCAACTGCAAAGAGGCCTTCCTCTTTTACTAATCCTTCTCAGCACAGACCCTTTACGGGTGTTGGGCTGGGGGACAGTCAGGTCTTTCCCTTCCCGCGAGGCCATATTTCAGACTATCACATGGGGAGAAAACTTGGACAATACCTGGCTTTCCTAGGCAGAGGTCCCTGCGGCCTTCCGCAGTGTTTTGTGTCCCTGGGTACTTGAGATTAGGGAGTGGTGATGACTTTTAACAAGCATACTGCCTTCAAGCATTTGTTTAACAAAGCACATCCTGCATAGCCCTAAATCCATTAAACCTTGAGTCAACACAGCATGTTTCTGGGAGCACAGGGTTGGGGGTAGGGTTACAGATTAACAGCATCTCAAGGCAGAAGAATTTTTCTTAGTACAGAACAAAATGGAGTCTCTTATGTCTACTTCTTTCTACATAGACACAGTAACAGTCTGATCTCTCTTTTCTCCACAATGGGACCAGGATAAAGTGTTACTAAAACACATAGCAGCTAATTTTGCTCTGCGTGGCCACTTCTGTATCCTTGGCTAACCTGGGAAATTATCCTGCAAGTGTGTGTGTGTTCTTTCTACTGATCAGTAATTCAACTGCAATTGGGCAATATGCAAGTTTGCTTAAGTCTTATAACCCTGTGAGTGCAGGTGTAAATATCCCCATATCCCCAAGAGAACAGCCTTTTTAATGCTTGAGAATTGGCCAGACATGCTGGAAATGGGGACTAGAAGAGCTTTCACACAGGCGCATAATATGTATTTGGTGACTGATTGGCACAGAAGGAAATGAGGGAGGGTTAGGATGTAACTGATGTGAGAGGAAATGATAGGACATTGTCACACTCAAAAGGCCATTCGACATGGTTACTGGAGCAAGGCAAATACTGTACATGAGTGAAGTCGGTTGGGTGCAAGGAAATGGCTTTAGTGTGATGAGAATGGCAAGTGACTAACTATTGCCCTCAGGGTCAGGATTACAGCTCTGGGCAGCTGGGGGTGATGTGGACTGTTGAGTCCAGGCTGCATCTAAAGAAATAACTGCTTTGGCTGGGCACAGCGGCTCACACCTGTAATCCCAGCACTTTGGGAGGCCAAGGTGGGTGGATCCCCTGAGGTTGGGAGTTCGAGACTAACCTGACCAACCCGGAGAAACCTCCTGTCTACTAAAAATACAAAAAAATTAGCCGGGCATGGTGGCGCATGCCTGTAATCCCAGGTACTCTGGAGGCTGAGGCAGGAGAATCACTTGAACCCAGGAGGCGGAGGTTGCAGTGAGCTGAGATCGCGCCATTGCACTCCAGCCTGGGCAACAAGAGCAAAACTGCATCTTAAAAAAAAAGAAAAAAGAAAAAAAAGAACTGCTTCCCAGCTCAGGCAGAGGTAATTGTCATGATCTTCAGTTTCTCATCTGGAAGCTGAAAATCCAGATTCCATTCAATTTCCTCAATTTTAATGTTGATATTTAATGTTAAAGATATTTTCAAAATCCTGTGCCTGCCAAACAAGACATATCTCTGGCCATATTTATTCCCATCCACCAGCAGCCTGTAACTTCCAAAACCATGGAGAGACCATGCATATAGTGGCTGAGCTGCTGCTCACCCTGTGGGCGTGGGGCAGGAGGCGAACCTGCAGCTCCTCCCACTCCGTCCAGATCTCCCCCTTCAGCTTCTCTGAATCCTAGGCCAGGTGCGTTTGCAGCTTTGTCTATGGTGAAAGGTGGCAGCTTATCCTGTAGACACCTGTGTCGTCGAGGTTGGGGGTGGTGAGAGACAGGCGTGGGTTTCGTTTTATTCTCTGGGGTTCCAATTTGTCTCTGCAGATTCTAATTTGTTCTTTTTCTTTACTTCCTCTCCATCTTTACTTCCCAATTGCTGGCCCTACGGACTTTGGGTCTAACATCTGGTGCAGAAGAAATAGCCTTACTAGACAGCTTACCTGGCTTCCAGGTATAAGCTTAATCTCTGCAATAAACCCTTTATTCTATATCACTCAGAATGGTTCTGCTTCTCTGATGAAACCTGACTGATACAGAATTTGGTTGCTACCTCCTTATATGAGAGGCAAGGAACCTGGATTGCAGATAGGGACAATAACTCTAGGTCCTACAGTTACTTAGTGACAGTCCTGGGAATTGAATCCAGGGTTCCCCTCATCTCTGCTTTTTACTTTTTCCCCTGTGTTTAAAGAAGTTGATTCTCACCTTTGTATAATCTTTTTTTATTTTTTTGCGACAGAGTTTCACTCTTGTTGCCCAGGCTGGAGTACAGTGGCACAACCTTGGCTCACTGCAACCTCTGTCTCCTGGGTTCAAGTGATTCTCCTGCCTCAGCCTCCAAGTAGCTAGGACTGCAGGTGCGTGCCACCACACCCAGCTAATTTTTGTATGTTTAGTAGAGATGGGGTTTCACCATGTTGGCCAGGCTGGTCTTGACCCCCTGACCTCAGGTGATACATCCACCTCGGCCTCTCAAAGAGCTGGGATTACAGGTGTGAGCCACCATGCCTGGCCACCTTTGTATAATCTTTAAAGCATCTTTTCCATAAAATGTCCCCCACCATTCAAATAACAGCTGAGTCCTGCTAAG
Source organism: Homo sapiens (assembly GCF_000001405.40). Lineage (NCBI taxonomy): Eukaryota > Metazoa > Chordata > Mammalia > Primates > Hominidae > Homo > Homo sapiens. The sequence goes on from NC_000016.10 coordinate 21,224,878, forward strand.
TCTCCTTTGATCATAGCTCTGTAAGCCACTCCTTCCTCATTTGGTCCTCTGCAGGTTTTGTAAGCCACATGTACATCGTTCACGTTTCATCCAGAGTTCTGGGAAAGAGTAGGTGGTTCCCAGAAACAATGTGAGTTCATGAGTCTTTCTAAGAAGAAGGGAAGAAAGTTTTTGTCAAGGCCACAATGTATAGACCTTGTGCTAAGCACTGATTTATAAATAATCCAGATAGGAGTAAGAAAATGAAATGAAGTCTCCTTGAGGTGAATTTTCCTCCAGTTGATAGTAGTAGAAAGCTATTATGGGCTGAAAATATATCTCCCCCACCATTCATGTTGAGGTCCTAATTCCCAGCACCTCAGAATGTTACTGTATTTGGAGATAGCCTTTGATACGGTTTGGCTCTGTGTCCCCATCCAAATCTCATCTCAAATTGTAATTCTCACGTGCTGAGGGAGGGAGGTGATTGAATCATGGAGGTGATTTCCCCCATGCTGTTCTAGTGATAGTGAGTTTGTTCCTATGAGATTTGATGGTTTTATAAGTGTTTGGAAGTTCCTCCTTCATTCTCTCTCCTACCACTGTGTGTGGAAGATGCTTGCTTCCCCTTTGCCTTTGCCAGGATTGGGTTTCCTGAAGCCTCCCCAGCCATGTTGGAACTGTGAGTCAATTAAACCTCTTTCCTTGATAAATTACCCAGTCTCGGGTATTTCATTATAGCCGTGTGAAAACAGACTAATACAGCTTTTACAGAGGTGATGATGTTAAATGAAGTTATTAGGGTGTGCTCTAATCAATATGACCATCTTATAAGGACCAAGTGTCCTTATAAGAAGAGAAAATTTGGACACAGACATGTGAAGAGGAAGATGACATGAAGACACAAGGAGAAAATGGCCATTTGCAAGTCTTTTTCCAGGAGAGAGGCCTGGAACAGGTCCTTTCCTCACAGCCCTCAAAAGGAACCAACCACGCTCACACCTTGATTTCAGATTTCTGGCTTTCAGAACTGTAAGAAAATAAATTTGTTTAAGCCACTCAGTCTGTGGTACTTTGTTATGGAAGTCCTAGTAAACTATTACAAAACCCCAGATTGAAATTCAATTCTGTGTGACTGTAAAATATATATTATTTTTATTATACCATGATAAGGGGTAGGACAAAAAAAAAAAAACAAAACTAGGTCTCGGCTGTTGTTATTGAGAAGGAAAATGCAGAGAAAAGAGAAGTTTTAAGAAAATGCTGCATTTATATAGATTGACTTAAAGAAAGGAGAAACTTTCTTTCTCCTAGTGCTAGTACTACTATTAATTTACTTTAATTAAGTGCTGACTACACACCATAAACTGTACTTAGTATTTTACAAATATTCAGTAATTACTTGCAACAACCCTGTGAATGATTCTCTTTTAAAGAGAAAAGTACTGTCTTTATTTTACTGATGAAGAAACTAAAGCTTAGGGAGAAGTAATTTGCCCAACTTAATGGGAAGATCCAATCTGGGGCTTAATATCTGTCAGTCTCTGACTTCAGACCCCATGTTCTCAATCATTATTCTACTCTGGCTTTATTTCAACACAATGCTTGGAGTTTACATTTGCTTGTCTTTCCAATCCAACCATCAGCTTTGTAAGAGTTGAACGGTTTTGATGGTATTTGATGATCTGCTAATGGATGCTATAACACACCTCCCTTGTGGTAAATTCTACCATCTTTGAAACAAAATGGCACCTAACATAGGTTTTTCCAATGATTGTCGTTCCTGCAGTTTTTCTAGAACTTGAGTTATAGAGGGGACCTGTTGGTAGAAGAATTACATGGATTGAAATTTTCAAGTCACAGAACCAATAATTAGGAAGAAGGAAAGACATAAGAAAAAAGGGAAATTTGTTCAGCTAACAAAGCCAGTTTAATCAAGTGTAGAATTTAAATTCCTAGCCCCTGCTTAGACTATCCAGTATTCAAATTTGAAAGAATTTGTTTTTGGAAGCCTTTATAAAACTCTTCACTGTTACAATGTATGCCATCTGGGATTTAGCATTTATAAAATGTGCAGTTAAGAGATGCCAAGAGATTCCTCATGCAAACCAGATGGTACAATAACAGCTCTGTCTTTAGTTTTCTGCCAGAAAAATAGGCCTTTGAATGGCTTGAAACTTATATGAATAAATTAAGCTCAACCAATACTTCAGGGACATTACAATTTCAATAGGCAACTTATCCACTTAAATATTTTTATAAATGTTTTCATTTAGAAAAGAAGAAACAAAAAGGCAGACAATGATTCTTTTTGATTGTTAAAGAATACAAACATGATACAATGCTTTTAAGGAAAACATCAATGACTTTCAATGTGGGAAAGAAAGTTTCTCCTTATTTTGACAGTGTTATATGTGTTTGTTTATTTATTTTTTGAGACGGAGTTTTGCTCTTGTCGCCCAGGCTGGAGTGCAATGGCACAATCTCGGCTTGCTGCAACCTCTGCCTCCCAGGTTCAAGTGATTCTTCTGCCTCAGCCTCCCAAGTAGCTGGGACTACAGGCATATGCCACCACGCCCAGCTAATTTTTGTATTTTTAGTAGACACGGGGTTTCACCATGTTGGCCAGGCTAGTCGATGAATGTGTTTAAGTTAGAAGTGAAGTTGTTGAAATTTCTTCCGAATAGGAGAAATCCATATCAAATAGGTTGAACAGTTGTATCATTGTGCTAAAGAGAAAAGAATACACATGTAAGTGACATTTTCTGGATAATATATTTGAGCACATCTTTACCTTAACAGATAGTCTCTCATAAACCCAAGGGCAGTGCATACAGCAGTGTGTTACTGATGGCTTCTTTTGTCCTTGCCTGGTTCCTGCAAGTTTTCTATGGAACAACAGGACTTTTGTATTACTCTCTAATTTCCCTTACTTTGTTACTGTTTTTATTTTCATTAAAATTCATAATAAGATCCTCATTAGATGAAGTAATCTTGTTAAAAGCAGTGTTCTACTCTGATCTTTTTCCTTCTTATGTAAAAAAAAAAAATGTGCTTCCCTACCATACAAGTGAATTTCTTCTCTAATTAGACATGAATAGCTTTAGAGATCAAACACAGGCTGCTTTTGAAAACCAGATCTCTTAGGACACAGGGGCAATCTCATTACTGAAAATATGTGTTTCTGGGTTGCACAAGCCATTGAATTTCTTTCCCAATTAGCAGCAAATGGTTTTTCAGAACAATGAGGAAGAAGTTTGGTTTGTACTTTGCAAGTGTTGTTTTTTTCTTGGAGTTAGACTGGAAGTATCAACTACCATCATCTCTGTCCCTTCTTTTCCTCTCCCTGAGCAAAGGAACACACATGACTCTGTTTTATAGATAGTCAGAGTTCCAGGTAAATTCTTCATCCAAATGCTACTTCCTCTGGGCCAGGATTGGACTCCATGGTAGAAGGAACACCTATTTAAGACTACCTAGTTGTCAGCTACTGTCAGCTGTTATGATGTTAGGGGAGACTGCAAAATCATAAACACAGCAATGAGAAGCTGACAATGTCCTTGCTCTGGGGGGAGGAGGGGAACCATTCATGAGAGAATCTCTCCAAGTGCTGCCCCTAGAAGCAGATTAACCATGTTTTCTCTGGGTCTTTGGCAAAAAAGAAGTGGTGTCTGTGGAGAAGGGCTTCTTATCATTAAATAACCAACTGCTTGGGGTTCCAGATAATAGGTTGAGGTTCTAGAGTTTTAGGACAGTGCAGGAGGAAATAAGACCTGCCTGTCTAAACCTAAGTGTCAGTCAGAGTCAAGGGAACACAGAGGTCATGGACAGGATGTTTCTCTAAGTTGAGACATACTAGTAGTGCAGGAGTATGGGGAGATATGAGGAGCATGGCGAGGCTCCAACAGGAAGGTTGATGAGAGCTTTGACTTGGGGTCACTGCCACTCAGGTCCGAGCCTCAAAGTCTCTCCAGTGTGTGTCTGGCAAATATTCTTCTCTGGCCTTCCAAGAGTCCAGCTGTATGCTGATGGAACACGCTCAAATACTAATTTCCACAAGATCAGTACAGTCAAGAAAATCCACAACTGCCCCCACAATTACCATGACTCCTCACAAGGAATTAATGTCTACATTATATGCAAATTCGTGTTAGCTCTTTTTATTAATTTCTGCCCTTACCATCTCCCACCAATTTTGTTTCCTTTGGGCTTTGAGGAATTCAAAAATGATTACTGGGCTAAAACTTCCTCTGTCTGTTCCCTAAGCCACAATCACACTACTTCTAGTTTGTAAAAACATGCTTTATGGGTTGCAAGAAATTTTATTTCTTCATCTTTACTAAAGTTAGTTGATGCTGATGATAATGATGATATGATCACTAGCAACATCCCCCAGTTTTATCCACAAGGATATGGAGACTCAAATAGATGGAGTAACTTTTCCTGGATTATATGAACGCTAGGTCTTCAACCCTCCTTCCCAACCTCACCTTGAAGGGATAGGATAAGGAGGATCTTCAAGTTCAGAAAAATGTTTTAAATCCTTATCTCTGCCCCCACTTCCCCACCCCCCGCTGCCCCTGCCACCCCATTCTTCTCCCAAGGAGGAAATTTTCCCAAGGGCGTGCCAGAGGATGCCAGGATATTTACCATTTAAGAAAGTTTGGTTATTTCGCCATTTCACAGGAGACTTTAAGTTCTAGTCCTAAGGACTGCTGGAACTGAGAAATTCTTTCTCTTTCTTGTCTTCTATCTCCAATCCTTCTTCCCCATCTCTATAATTATTCTGTCCTCTTTACCCTTTGCCTCCATCCTGTGAAACTTAATCACGCAAATTGCATCATTCTTGTTATACCCAACTAAATCAGGGTTGAGAGGCTGGGTGGTGGAGTTGGGGGAGAAAGCACTCCGAGTACAAAAAATAAATAAATAAATAAAAATTGCTCCAAGAACGTAATTCTCAGCAAGACTGACTGCTGGAACTGCCTGCTGTAACCCGGGAGCAGTTTTATTTACAGCTGCTGAGATAACTTGCTGCAACTCTAGGACAAATTTTGCCCACTAATCAGAGCTTGCCAGCTCCCCAAACCCTTACTAGTGCCAATGAACTTTCTTGAAGAGCAATATGTAACATTTCTCTTGTTAATAAAACCTCTAAACTTCTCTTTTCTTCTTCAGACATACTGAAGACCACCTGGTCTATGTGTGTATCCCAAATTGCAAGTCTTTTTCCAAATAAAACATTAAATTTAGAGATTCAGCTCTAAATTTTTATTTTGACTTTGACAATCCTCATCCTAATTTGGCTTATGACCATCCTAGTGGCCACTATTCTTCTCTTTCTCTTCCTCTTCCTCATCCTTATCTTCTGAAAGCAGACCCTTTGGCTGGAGTCTTAGGATTCTACTACAAATAATACATCTTTGAGAAGTTCTCTATCGGTTATATGTATTTTTATTTTTTATTTTTTTTGCACTCTGTCACCCAGGCTGGAGTGCAGTGGTGTGATCTTGGCTCACTGCAACCTCAGCCTCCCAGGCTCAATCAATTCTCCTGCCTCAGCCTCATGAGTAGCTGGGCTTACAGGTGTGCACCACCATGCCCAGATAATTTTTGTATTTTAGTAGAGATGGGGTTTTGCCATGTTGGCCAAGTGGGTCTTCAACTCCCGACCTCAAGTGATTCACCCACCTTTGCCTCCCAAAGTGCTAGGATTATAGGCGTGAGCCACCTCGCCTGACCTGTTTTTAAATTTCAAAGTGCATTAATGAATGCAGTTGTATCTAAATTAAAGTGGCTCATGCAAAACTTGATGAAGAACCTTACCATTTTCTCACAGTATTCATAATCATGTTTGGATATGTCACTCTCTCTGGGCTAAAAACAATGTTTAAAAAAAGCTAAATAATGCTGCCCTCCAGGCTGCTTCTACTGCTCTTCACCTAGAAGCCAGAAAAAGGAACAAACAGTGACCTTTGGAGCTCATTATTATTGTGAAGAAACTGTAGATGAAAGCTTTGTACTTTTTCTGAGTGGGTAAATAATTTATCTTGGAATAAAAACTTAGACAAAAAGAGATAAGAGGAATATACAGTTACAGGCTTCAAAAATAGATATTTCTCACATCAGTTTAGTGGACAATTATCTAAATATATTAAAGATTGTGTAACAATATGGGGATATATTTATGATGGATTAAGGAGTGGAAAAGATGTAATGTAAAATTATATGTATTTGATGAAAACAATGTAAAAAATACACCACAGGAGAACATATGCATAGTTGATGAGTTATGTAAGGATGGCGGTTTCTAATTTAGTTGCAGTGTCTTCAGAGAACACGGTTTGCATGAACCCTGTTATTTGTTATTTGTCGAGAACTGCACTGCTTCTATTCAGTGGTCAGGTTTTATAAATATTCTGTGTGCTTAGAAAAAACATGCATTTACTATTGGGCACAGGGTCCTTTCTCCATGTGACTGTTAGATCAAGCTTGTTAATTGTGTTCAAATCTGTTTTTCTTCTTTTTTTTTTTTTTTGAGATGGAGTCTCACTCTGTCACCAGGCTGGAGTGCAATGGTGCGATCTCAGCTCACTGCAACCTCCGCCTCCCGGGTTTAGGCGACTCTCCTGCCTCAGCCTCCCGAGTAGCTGGGACTACAGGCACATGCCACCATGCCCAGCTAATTTTTGTATTTTTAGTAGAGACGTGGTTTCACCATATTGGCCAGGATGGTCTCAATCTCTTGACCTCGTGATCTGCACCCCCTCAGCCTCTCAAAGTGCTAGGATTACAGGTGTGAGCCACTGTGCCCGGCCCAAATATTTTATAGCTATACCAATCTTTAGTCTGATATAGAACATTATGATGATGTCTGAAATCTTCCCTTATGATTGTGGTTTTGTTTTTTTTTTTCTGTTTAATTTTTGCTTTCCCTTTTTTGCAGCTGTGTTATTTAATTTATACAAGTTTAAAACGATCATAGTTTCTTGATTAATTGTTCCTTTCATTATCATGTATTATCTCTCTTTATGCCTAGTAAATTTTTTTGGCTTAAGCTATATTTTTCCTTGCTACCAATACGGGTGCTCTTCAACTTACAATGCAAAACCACCATAAGTTGATATAATAACTCAGTTGTGAGCTGAGAAGCATACTAAATACCTGTCATTTTTGTGCCATCATAAAGTTGAAAAATTAGGTCAAACTCTCATAAGTTGCAGACCATCTATGTGGGTACACCAATGTTTTGTTAGTATTTGCTTGCTATAACTTTTCCATTTTTTGCTTTCAATCTTTCTGCAATTTTATATTTTAGATATGTCTATTATAAACAAGACATGGCTGAGTCTTCCACATCATAAATTTAGTCCATTTTCTTTTGTTTTTATTACAGATCTGGAAATTTTTTGGTCTTATATTGTACTCCTTATAGTCATTTTTCTATACTTTTTCTCCTTCCCTTGAGTTATTGATAATATGTTTAAGTTATTGATTTGAGATCTTTTTTCTTTCTCATATATGCATAAAAAACTACAAATTTTGCCCTAAGCTTTTCTTTAACTGCATCCTATAAATCTTGATATGTGGTATTTTCATTTTCATTCTGTTCCAAATATGTCTGATATAGGACTTGTATCCAGAGTATATAAATAATTCTTATAATTTATTAATAAGACAACCACTTAAAAATTGGGCAAAAAGATTTGAATAGAAGATGTAAGAATGGCTAATGGGCACATGAAAAGATGCTCAATATCTTAGTCATTAGGAAATTGAAAATTAAAGCCATAATAAGACCACTTCATATCCACTAGGATGACCATAAACAAAAAGATAGGCAATAATAAGGCTGGCAAGGTTGTGGAGAAATTGAAACCCTCATACGTTATTGGTGGAAATGTGAAGTAGTACAGCCACTTTGGAAAACAGTCTGGCAACTTCTGAAATTTAAATGTAAATTGCCATGCAACCCAGCAGTTTCACTCCTTGATATATACGCAAGACACATGAAAATATGTGTCCACACAGAGACTTGTACATCAGTGCTCATAGCAGCATTATTCATCATTACTGAAAAATGGAAACAACCCAAATATTCATCATATTCATGAAACATTGAATGGATGAAGAACATGTGGTATGTTAGCACAGTGGAATATTATTCAGCAGTGAAAAGAAAGAAACCATTACATGCTACACATGACAAACCTCAAAAAAGTATGTGAATTGAAACAAGCTATACACTAAAGACTATATATTGTAGGATTCCATTTGTCTGAAATGCCCGTAAAAAACAAATCTATAGAGACAGAAAGCAGACTGTGGTTTCCTGAGGTTGGGAGTGGAAATGGGATTGACAGCAAATGGCATGAGGGATCTTTAAGGGCTGATGGAAACTGGATTATGATAATGGGCATGCAACTCTATAAATGTCCTAAAAATCATTGAATTGTATGCATGAAATGGGTAAATTTAATGATGTTATACCTCAATAAAGCTGTTCTTTTTGGAAAAAACAGCTAGTGAACTAGAGTAGCTCTGCATTTTATTAAGAAATTATTTCTTACATCCTGTGCCTAGATGGCCAATATTACACTCAAGAAACTAATGGACATAGAAAAATTGAATGTACCTCCAAACACTCAAGATGAATACAGCAGTCTTCAATAGTCAACGTCATGGCCATTCCAGAGAGAAAAGGTCCAAGTTCAGTGCCTCGAACCTTGTTGCCTTCCGTGAAAGGAAGCAGTTGAAATGAGCTTTGCCCCTGGTGACACTCTTCCTTGTCACTAATTAACCAGCTCTATAGGAAGGTTGCTCCGCCAACACCTTGCTCTGCCTGGAGAGACATCTGGCCAAGTTCTGGTGAGCAGGAAAAATGTCTACTCGTTACCACCAAGCTGCTAGTGATAGTTACCTGGAACTTCTAAAAGAGGCTACCAAGCGAGATCTAAATCTTTCGGATGAAGACGGCATGACTCCTACTCTCTTGGCAGCCTACCATGGGAACTTGGAAGCCCTAGAGATAATCTGCAGTAGAGGGTAAGTTCAACCCGATGGTTTCTGTTGGAAACAGTGTTCATGGTAGGTTTTTGCAGACAGCAGCAAGAGGCAGGGACGTCAATACAAATACTTTATCCTCTTTCTAGATTGTCTAAATGATTGGATTTTTAGAGAAAGAGAGAAAACTATGCCTAGAGATGCTCTCTTTTCTCACTGAGGACTGGCACTATAGGAGTGGCTCATCCCTTAGCCACAATCAGAGGAGAGACCCTGAACTACGGCATTATCTGCATGGGGAAGAGGGAAGATATTTTAATTCTATGCCTTTAAAAATGCTTTTCATGAAATTTAAATAGTTTTCTCTTTTCAAAGAGGCCATTGTTTTACTTGGTTTTAAGTTGCCAACCTTGGTTGGAACAAATGACATGGTTTTAGTTTTTTTTTTATCTATGCCATCAAAATCTCACAGTCTTTTATTAACTTTCAATCCCAGTGCAAGCTCATGATTTTTTTATTTTTTATTTTTGACACAGGGTCTTGCTCTTTTGAATGGAGTTGCTGGCTCTACAAGGACTCTTTAGCCTATCTTAACTCTATCACTTCTTTGGCTAGTGGATAGATACACACACACACACACACACACACACACACACACACACCCCATCTCTTTGCCCAGATTTTAATGGAGGAGTAAGCTAGTTCCTCTGCTTGTTCTGCCTGTTATCAGAGGGCTAGGTTGTGTTGGCAACCGTAACCCAAGAGGGGTAAAGAAAGAGAAAAGGACAAGGTAAATAAAGGAGCCAAGTGAATCCAATTGAATACCCATTTATTCAGTATTTGTTATGTGCCAGCCACTTATCTCTTAAGATAAGAGATATTTTGCTAGCCACTGGGCACACTGTGATCAACAAGACAGCCACAGTCCCTGTCATAGTGAGCAGATTTGAGAGGGGAAGACAAGACATCTATGATATTTGTGTGTGTGTGTGTGTGCATGTTTGCTCTGAGACAGGGTCTCACTCTGTCACTCAGGCTGGAGTGCAGTGTCAAGATCATAGCTGACTGCAGCCTTGAGCCCCAGGCTCAAGTGGTCCTCCCATCTGAGCCTCCCGAGTAGCTGGGACAAGAGGTGTGCACCACCATGCCCAGCAATTTTTGTACTTTTTGTAGTGATGGGGTTTTGCCATGTTGCCCAGGATGGTCTTCAACTTATGAGCTCAAGCGATCTGACAGCCTCGGTCTCCCAAAGTGCTGGGATTACAGCTGTGAGCCACTGTGCCTGGCTCATCTATGATATTTGTTACAAAAAGGGAAATAGAGGGCACTAAATAGGCATCTACCTCAATCTCAGGGGTGAGGGAAGGCTTCCCTAAGGGGAAAGCATTTAAGCTGGGATTAGGAAAATGAGAACAAGTTGGCTAGACGAAAGAGTGTTTTCCCTAAGATGGAAAACTGCTCTAGTTCTGAGAACTAGAGAAGCTGAGTATGGCTGGATGTGGTTCAAGTAGGAGTGGGGTCAGGACAAGTATAAGAGATAAGACCAGATCACAAAGAGCCTTGTCAACTCTGGTAAGGACTTTATCCTAAGGGCCCAGGAAGCCATGTCTTGGGTAGGGAAGCTGCCAGAGTAGATTTATGTTTACAAAACTCACTCAGGTAGATGGATAACAGTCGGAGAGAATGTTTGGGGACTGTTTTAGTGGTCGAGATGAGTTGGACTAGGGTAGTGACATTGGGAATGGGAAGATATGGTTGGATTTGAGTGGCAGTTTGGATGTAGAATCAATAATGATTGACTGGATGTGGGCAGATAAAGGAAAAGGAGGGTTAAGGTCCCAGGTTTTGGATGTTGACACCCTTTATTAAAATAGGGGACATTTAGGAAGTGTCAGAAGAACCCAGGATTGGGAGAGTTCCTGAGTTGAAGATTGAATGAGAAAGTGAGTGAAGCAGATCTTCCCCATCTCTCTTGTCTGAATAAGACTTTCTTTTCTCAGACACATCGATCCCCATCAGCCAGCCTTCTCCAGTCATCTCATCTCTTCTCCTACTCAGCCTAGGGTTCCCCAGCTTTCTCCATCTACTGAAAGTCTACCTCATTCCACAAACTGCAAGATGTCAGTTACTTTAAAATCAAAGTATTAGCCTATTCTTGCATTGCTATAAGGAAATGCCTGGGCCTAGGTAATTTATAAAGAAAAGAGGTTTCACTGGCTCATAGTTCTACGGGCTGTACAGGAAGTATAGTAGCTTCTGCTTTTGGGGAGCCTTCAGGAAGCTTCCAATCATGGCAGAAGGAAAAGGCATCTCACATGGCAGAAGCAAGAGCAAGAGAGCAAGGGGGGAGGTGCTAGAAACCAGATCTAATGAGAGCTCACTATCATGAGGACAGTACCAAGGGGAATGGTGCTAAACCATTCATGAGAAATTCGCCCCCACGATCCAGTCACCTCCCACCAGTCCCTACCTCCAACATTGCGGATTACAATTTGATTTGAGGTTTGTTCCCCACCAAATCTCACAGATCCAAACTGTATCAACCAGTGAGTTTGTCCTCCTAGAAGAGGGTTTGGGGGTTCTGGGGTTCTTCTCAGCAGAGAGCTCTTGTTCCATTTGAGGACATTTTGAATAGTAATGCTTAGGTGTTCTCTCTCTTTCTCTCCTTTGAAAGCCTGAAATATTCTCTTACAATAACTCTTCTGCTGGTCTTTATTTATTTTTTATTTTTACTAGAGACAGGGCCTCGCTTTGTTGCCCAGGCTGGTCTCGAACTCCTGAGCTCAAATAATCCTCCTGCCTCAGCCTCCCAAAGTGTTGAGATTACAGGTGTGAGCCACAGCACTCAGCCTGGTTCTGCTAGTCTTTAATTACAAAAGTAACATGAGCTGAACCCAGAAAATTAAACCATACAGACGCACACAAAACATGAAGAAAAAATGTCCTATAATGCCATGCTACTAAGATGTATATAGTTCTCTCTATATATACTATAGTGCATACAAATACATTTTAATATTCTTCTATAAATTTCAGGGACTTTGTAGGACTCTAGTCAACAAATACATTTCTTAGCCAACCCCTCTTTTGGACACATAGTTTGTTTTCCCTAGTTTGAATAGGGCTATGATGACTATCCTTGTACATAAATCTTTGCTGACATTGTCTTTTGTGTTTTTTTGAGATGGAGTCTCTCTGTCACTCAGGCTGGAGTGCAGTAGCGTGATCTTGGCTCACTGCAACCTCCACCTCTCGGGTTTGAGCAATTTTCCTGCCTCAGCCTCCTAAGTAGCTGGGTCTACAGGCGTGCACTACCACGCCGGGCTAATTTTTGTATTTTTAGTAGGGACAGGGTTTCACCATGTTGGCCAGGCTGGTCTCGAACTCCTGACCTCAGGTGATTTGCCCACCTCGGCCTCCCAAAGTGTTGGGATTACAGGTGTGAGCCACCGGGCCTGGCCACATTTTCTTGAGAATAAATTCTCCAAAGTGAAATTTCTGGATCAATTTGCATTTGTGTTAGTCCATTTGTACTGCTATAACAAAATACCTTAGATTAGGTAATTTATAAAAACCAGAAATTTATTTCTTACAGCTCTGGCAGCAGAGACATCCAAGATCAAGGCACCAGCAGGACTGGTGTCTGATGACAGCCCTGTCTCCGCTTCCAAGATGGTGCCTTGTTGTTGCATCCTATGGCTGTGTCCTCACATGGAGGAAGGGAAGGAAGGGGCAAAAAAAAAAAAAAGGCAAATTCCCTGTGTCAAGTCCTTTTATAAGGGTGCTAACCCCATTCATGAGGGTAGAGTCTTCATGACTCAATCGTCTCCTAAAGGCCACACTGCTTAACGCTGTTACATTGACGATTAAGTTTCAACATGAATTCTGGAGGAGACACATTCAAACCATAGCAGCATATGTGCAATTTAAATAGTTTTGTGTGTGTGTAAATGGACATGCTGTCCTTCAGAAAGTGAGTACCCATTTTGGCCAACATGATAGGTCCAAAATGATATATTAGGCTGGGCGTGGTGGCTCACTCCTGTAATCCCAGCACTTTGGGAAGCCAAGGCGGGCAGATCACTTGAGGCCAGGAGTTCGAGGCCAGCCTGGCCAACATGGTGAAACCCCATCTCTACTAAAAATACAAAATTAGCATGGTGTGGTGGTGCACGCCTATAATCCCAGCTACTCAGGAGGCTGAGGCACAAATTGCTCCTGAATCCCTTGAATCCGGGTGGTGGAGGTTGCAGTGAGCCGAGATCAGGCAACTGCACTCCAGCCTGGGCAACAGAGTGAGACTCTGTCTCAAAAAACAAAACAAAACAAAACAAAATGATACACCAGTGTGGCTTTAATGTTCTTTTCTTTGGTTGCCGATGAGGTTGAAAATTCTTTTTATGCTTAAAAAGAATTGGCCATTGGATTGCCACTTTTGTGAACTGTGTATTTATAACTTTATTCCCCATTTATATTGGGGTTTTCAACCATTTCTCCTTGATTGATAAAAACACTTTTGAAAGTTAACAATATCAACTCTTTGTCATATAGGTTACAACTGTTTTACAATACACAATTTATATTTTTGACAACAGATTTTTAAATATAAATGTAAACATAAATATATATATATATATACGTATAAGTCTATCAATCTTTGTTGTGTGATTCTAACTTTGAGGTCATGCCTCAATACTGACTGATCCTTTAGTGCTATTTTTAGTTTCATTTGTTATTTTAAATACTTTATATAATTTAAGATCTGAATTATGATCTAACTCTGCATTCTCCAAGTGGCTACTCATTTATTCCAACACAATTAGTTGTTATAGTCTATCTCTTTCTCCACTAAGTTGACATGGTAACATCATTTCTTTCAATGTAATATAAATATCCAGTCCCCCCAATTTGCTTATATTAATATTTATTAAACACTGGCTATGGGTGCAAATATTCTTCTAACCTTGTTTTTCCTAGTCCTTCCTTCTCAACTCCTTTCTTCTCACGGGATCTAGTACATCTCAGATTTGTTTCATTGCCCTCAAAAGCATCTGGGATCTGCTGTGTTGAGCAGGCCTGATGTAGGCTAAAAAAAAGAACAGAAGTCTTGTGAGGTGCCTTTTTGACCATAGCTAATCCTGGGAACCAGTGTGAGGTCAAATTTCCAATTAGATTTAAGGAAGCTGAAAAGGGAAGAAAATTACCATCTCACATCAGTCAGAATGGCTATTATAACATCAAAAAATAACAGATGCTGGTGAGGTTGAGGAGAAAAGCGAACACTTATACACTGTTGGTGGGAGTGTAAATTAGTTCAACCATTGTGGAAAGCAGTGTGACAATTGCTCCAAGAGCTAAAAGCAGAACTACCATTCGAGCCAGCAATCTCATTACTGGGTATATACCCAAAGGAATATGAATCCTTCCACAATAAAGATACATGCCTGGATCATGCCTGTAATCCTAGCACTTTGGGAGGCCGAGGCGGGTGGGTCATTTGAGGTCAGGAGTTCAAGACCAGCCTGATCAACATGGTGAAACCTCATCTCTACTAAAAGAAAAACACAAAAAATTAACTGGGCGTGGTGGCACACACCTGTAATTCCAGCTCCTCAGGAGGCTGAGACACAAAAATTGCTTGAACCCGCAAGGAGAAGGTTGCAGTGAGCCAAGATCACGCCACTGCACTCCAGCCTGGGGAACAGCAAGACTCCATCTCAAAAAACAAACAAACAAACAAACACATGCATGTGAGTGTTCATTGCAGCACTGTCACAATAGCAAAGACATGGAATCAGCCTAAATGTCCATCAATGACAGATTGGATAAAGGAAATGTGGTACATATACAGCATGGAATAGTATGCAGTCGAAAAAGAATGAGATCACATATTTTGTGGGAACATGGGTGGAGATGGAGGCCATTATTCTTAGCGAGCTAACGCAGGAACAGAAAACCAAACACCACATATTCTTACTGATAAGTGGGAGCTAAATGATGAGAACATGTTGGCTTAGTGCCTGGGTGACAAAATTATCTACAACAAACACTCGTGATATGAGTTTACCTATATAACAAACCTGCACATGTACTCCTGAACCTAAAATTAAAAAAAATTGAAAATTGAATTTAGAAGCTAATCAACTATTGAAATACTGAAGTCCATTTCAGTCTGATGATTTAAGAGTTTATCTGTCATTACCTGATAGACAACGAATCCTATAGCAACCATTTATATTAAAACTCTGGCTTTGTTAGAAAACTATTTTCCTTTGTTTTTAAAATTTGAAGATGGAAAACAATCATTACATGTATTTTCCTGCACTAGGAAGCATAATGGCCCAATTACAAAAAAAAATTCATTTTACCTTTAAAGTGTATGAAATTTCTTGGTTTTATTTTTTAAAATGGAAACTAGACTTTTTCCCCCAGATTCTTTTTTTTTTGTGATGGAGTCTCGCTTCTGTCGCCCATCCTGGAGTGCAATGATGGGATCTTGGCTCACTGCAACCTCCGCCACCTAGGTTCGAGTGATTCTCCTGCCTCAGCCTCTGGAATAGCTGAGACTACAGGTGCCTGCCACCACACCCCGCTAATTTTTGTATTTTTAGTAGAGACAAGGTTTCACCATGTTGGCCAGGCTGGTCTGATTCTTAAAGAAATACATACTTATTGTAATATTTCACATCATATTGAATAGAATTGATAAAGTAAAAATTATACCAATTCCTACAGTTATCAACATTTGGGTACATATCCTTCCAGACTTTTTCCTTTGAGTACATGCAAACACATGTACATTCTCTCCCTTTAAAAGACAATCATATAAACTATACTGAAACCTTCTAATTATTTAACAATATATCATGGACCATTTGCACTTAAAAGTTGAGATCCACGCCACTATTTTATTTTTTTTTTAATAATTTCAACTTTTTTTTTTTTGTGAGAGACAGAGTCTTGTTCTGTCACCTAGGCTGGAGTGCAGTGGCACAATCTTGGCTCACTGCATCCTCCACCTCCCAGGTTTGAGTGATTCTCCTGCCTCAGCTTCCCAAGCAGCTGGAACTACAGGTATGCGCCACCATGCCCAGCTAATTTTGGTATTTTTTAGTAGAGACAGGGTTTCACTATATGTTGGCCAGGCCGGTCTCGAACTCCTGACTTCAGGCGATCCACCTGCCTTGGCCTCCCAAATTGTTGGGATTACAGGTGTGAGTCACTGCACCACGCCAGTTTCAACTTTTAGATTTAGAGGGTACGTGTGCAGGTTTGCTGCATGGGTACACTGCATGGTGCTGGTGTTTGGGGTATGACTGATCCCATCACCCAGGTAGTGAGCATGGTACCAAATAGTTTTTCAACCGTTGCCCTCCTCTCATAGTCCCCCGTGTCTGTTGTTGCTATCTTTACGTCTGTGAGTACCCAATGTTTAGCTCTCACTCATAAGTAAGAATATGCGGTAGTGGGTTTTCCATTCCTGTGTTAATTTGCTAGGGATGGGATAATGCATGCCACTATCTTTAATGACTTCATGGTATTCTGTTTTATGGTGTTTGTTTGTTTGTTTTTGAGATGGACTCTCGCTCTGTCATCCAGGCTGGAGTGCAGTGGTGCGATCTCAGTTCACTGCACCCTCAGCCTCCCAGGTTCAAGCAATTCTCCTGCCTGTCTCCAGAGTAGCTGGGGTTACAGGCACATGCTACCACCCCCACTTAATTTTTGTAGTTTTAGTAGAGATGAGGTTTCACCATGTTGGCCGGGCTGGTCTCAAACTCCTGGCCTCAAGTGATCAACCCACCTTGGCCTCCCAAAGTGCTAGGATTATAGGCGTGAGCTACTGTGCCTGGCCAGTTTCATTATTTTTATTAATTAACAAAAATTATATATATTTATGGTGTACAACGTGATTTTTAAAAATATGTATACATTGTGGAATTAAGTCAAGCTAATTGACTATGTGTTATCTTCTATACTTTTTGTGATGAGAACATTAAAATCTACTTGGTAGGCAATTTTCAAATATACAGTGTATTGTTATTAACTATAGCCATTGAGCTGAGCATGATGGCTCATGCCTGTAATCCCAGCTCTTTGGGAGGTTGAGGCAGGAGGATTGCTTGAGGCCAGGAGTTCGAGACTAGCCTGGGCAACATAGCAAGACCCCATCTCTATAAAAAATAAATAACTAATTTTTAAAAAAACTATAGTCATCATGTGTTACAATAGATGTCTTGTACTTATTCCTCCTGTCTCACTGAAATTTTGTATCCTTTGACCAACTCCCCAGTCTGCCTCTGCCTAGTTACCACCATTCTACTTTCTGCTTCTAGGAGACTTTTCTTTTAGACGGAGTCTCACTCTGTCACCAGGCTGGAGTGAAGTGGCACGATCTTGGCTCACTGCAACCTCCGCCTCCCGGATTCAAGCAATTCTCCTGCCTCAGCCCTCCCAAGTAGCTGGGACTACAGGCACGTGCCACCACACCCAGCTAATTTTTGTATTTTCAGTAGAGATGGGGTTTCACCATGGTGGCCAGGATGGTTTCAATCTCTTGACCTCGTGATCTGCCCACCTCAGCCTCCCGAAGTGCTGGGATTACAGGCATGAGCCACTGCGCCCAGCCTCTAGGAGACTTTTTTAGATTCCACATTTAAGTGAGATCATGTGGTATTCGTCTTTCTGTGCCTGTCTTATTTCACTTAACATACTGTCCTCCAGGCTCATCCATGTTGTCGAAAATGACAGGATCCGTTTGTTTCTTAAGACTGGATAGTATTCCATTGTGTGGAGCCACCATGTTTTCTTTATCCATTCTTCCACTGATGGACACAGATTAATGCCATAATATATGTAATCAGTTGACTATTCATGTTGCTTAATTTGAACCCACTCTTTTTCCTGTTATAAGTAAGTTTGGGAGGAACATTCCTGCTCATTCATCTTTGCACAAAGATCTTATATTTCCTTAGGACAAATTCCTAAATGTAGAATTGTAGATTCAAAAGAGTGCCTCATTTTAAAGGCTTTTTGTGTGTATTGTGCCAGGAAATTTGAACCACTTTCTGCTTCTTCCAGCAGTATTTCTTTCCCCATACTCCTGCCAAAACCAAGTATTACTATTCTTTTTAATCGTTGCCTATCTGATTGGCAAAAGGCAGAGTATTGTTTCAATTTGCATTTCTTTGACTATTAGTGAGTCCAAATATTTCTTTTTATGCAGAAAAACGTTTTTGAAAGAATAGTTGAGAACTTCACAAAAAATCAACTTCAGGAGGAAAAATTGGAATGTAACAGATGCTCAGGGTAATTTAAGCAAATTGCCTACTTAGTGACAGTAGTGCTAAGCCAGCTTTAAAAACTATTGCCCAAATGCACTGATCTACCAAAAATCAAGGGAAAAATGGGTTATTTTAAAATCTCTTCAGTGAGTTTCTCTTTTGGGGAAAAGGGAAATAGAAAAAAACAACACTAGACTGAGCTTAGCCCACGAAAACCGTAGAGCATCAATGTTGAACTCAGATTATCAAACGACAGGACTAGTTTTCCACCCAGGCAGTTGTATGCAATGGTTCTATCAAGAAATGTGAACAATGACAAGTATGGAATTTAAAAGGACTCCATGCAACTTGTCTGTAGAAAATATTTCCATTTAAATTGTACATCAATTTGGAAATGTGTCTGTAAGTAGAAGTTTTGCAAGTTTTTTGTTTTGTTTTGTTTTGTTTTTGAGACGGAGTCTTGCTCTGTTGCCTGGGCTGGAGTGCAGTGGTGTGATCTCAGCTCACTGCAAGCTCCGCCTCCTGGGTTCACGCCATTCTCCTGCCTCAGCCTCCCGAGTAGCTGGGACTACAGGTACACACCACCATGCCTGGCTAATTTTTTTTGTATTTTTAGTAGAGACGGGGTTTCACCATGTTAGCCAGGATGGTCTTGATCTTCTGACCTCGTGATCCACCCACCTTGGCCTCCCAAAGTGCTGGGATTACAGACATAAGCCACTGTGCCCAGCCAAAGTTTTGCAAGTTTTAATAGCTTAAAGCCACTAGGAAAACCCATGAATTGTCTTACTGACAGTTTCATCTGTAAATCTGGAATTTTGCATTTGAAATTTTCTCAAAAGAAGGCCCACCTTTGGGGTCATCTCAGGTGTACTGTTCTTCCTTCTGTCTTGAAAGCATCATTTAAGATTCAGTGAAATGGGTGCAGCTGTAAAAAAAAAAAAAAAAAAAAATGAGATCATGTCCTTTGCAGGGACATGGATGAAGCTGGAAGCCATCATTCTCAGCAAACTAACACAGGAACAGAAAACCAAACACTGCATGTTCTCACTCATAAATGGGAGTTGAACAATGAGAAGACATGGACACAGGGAGGGGAACATCACACACCGGGGCCTGTTGGGGGGTCGGGGGCAAGAGGAGGGAGAGCATTAGGACAAATACCTACTGCATGAAGGGCTTAAAACCTAGATGACAGGTTGACAGGTGCAGCAAACCACCATGGCACATGTATACCTAGGTAACAGACCTGTATGTTCTGCACATGTATCCCAGAACTTAAAGCAAAATAAAAATTCAGTGAAATGAGAAAATTCCACCAGTCTATAGTCTTAAGCATATACATTTAACCCGGACACCTTAGTGCCCTTCTGCATCCCCCCTGCAGCTCACTCCTCCCAATAATTTTGTTTTCAACTTATCCAATCCAAGGATAACTTCAGGCAAATTTAATCAGTATGTTTCTCTTTCTGTTGATAGTAACGTCTTGGGTGTTTTACAATCCCTCTTTGATGTCTAGGATACTTAAGGAGTCTTTTGCATCTAGTGTTTATTTAAAATAAAAAGTGAAACCACATGTTTAGGGGGGAGACACAGCGGTCCCTTAAGATGCGGGTCTGTGCCAAGGTTGAAGGGTCTCCTTTCATCCCAAACAATTAAGTCAGGCTGACTGACCAGAGCCTTCTGGAAAGTGGCTTCCCAGCAAAACTGTGTTACTTAATATTTGCTTTCCTTAGATTTGATTTCATTTTCTTTCCTTTTCCACTCTTTCCCCTTACCCCCAACTCCACACACTCTGGTCACGCTGATCTATACTCCTGGTTCCCCAAATAGGCCTTGTAATATCAGCCATCTGTGCCTCTGCTCACACTGTTCTCTCTGCTCAGAAGGAGGTTACCAGTTGCCAGCTTATGGGCTGGAGCTGGTCCACAAATGTGTTTTATTTGGACTTTACTATATTTTTCTTTTAAATTTGAGCCAACACTTAAAAATCACAGAATTTCGCTTGAAATTCTGGATTTGTGGCTTCGTTTGAAAAATGGGAGCTCTGGCAATATTGTTTCCGCTTTGATTCAAGGTAGCTGAGCTGTGGTCCTTTCTAGGTGGAGTATGCATTTAACTGTGACTTTGTTGAAAGAGCAAACTTGGCCCCATTCAGTCACTTACATGACTTGCTGGACTTCTTTGAGTTGGGTTGGAGACTTCTGCCGGGACATGTGGCTGACACAAAGGAGAAAGAGACACAGGCTTTGCCCTCTGGGGCATATTATCCAATTAAGGAGACAAGGCATAAATATTTGTCAGATTAAAACTGGAAGTGATTGATTGATTGATTTTTTTTTTATTTTTTTGAGACAGAGTCTCACTTTGTCACCCAGGCTGGAGTGCGGCGGCGCAATCTCGGCTCACTGCAATCTCCACCTCCCAGGTTCTCCTGCCTCAGTCTCCTGAGTAGCTGGGACTACAGGCGCGCACCACCATGCCTGGCTAATTTTTGTACTTTTAGTAGAGATGGGGTTTCACCATGTTGAATAGGCTGGTCTCAAACTCCTGGCCTCCAGTGATCCACCAGCCTCGGCCTCCCAAAGTGCTGGGATTATAGGCATGAGCCACCTCACCTGGCCTATAAGTGATTTTTAAAAACCCACAAGCATTATTGTGCTGTAGGAATTTACTAGTTGAATACAAGGAAAAATAAATACATGAAATTAAGGATTATGAGTTTGGGGGCAAGGGCAAGGATAATAAGTAATGTTTATTCAATATTTACTATGTGCCAAGCAGTTTTCCAATGCTTTATGTAGATTAATTTATTTAATTCACATAACTCTATGAATAGGTAATAGTATTATCTTCAATTTACAGATGAGTGTTAGAAATGTTTGTCTTTTGGTGTTGCAAAGAAATAGTATTTGAACATAAATTTAATTTTTTTAGTAAGGCTATTTTTATTTTTCGTAGAAAGGGTATATTTGTTAGTAGTTTTGTTATGAGAGTATATTGAACAAAGGAGACAGGGTTATTTATAACTTGATGTGTTTAATGTTGTGTTTGGTTTTTATTGGCTGGAATGGGACTTTACATTTTGTATTTGTCTTGATTGGTTAGTAACTTAGAACTTTTTAAAAGAGGCAAAGGCAGAGGAGAACAAAGGAAGGAGAAAGTAATTTGTGGAATGTTGAGAAAGGTAAAAACACTTTTAAATAAGGAAGAGGAACAGGCTATGACTTAATGTTTGTTTGGACTACTATAAGTATGTTAGGGTAAATATTTAAGCTAAATTGTGGGAGTTAAGAGTATAAAGTATATTGATTTTTTTATTATGGCTAGTAGATATTTAAGAATGTTAGTACAGGTTTTTGAATAAATTTTGTTTTTAAGAGAAGTTATTATTTATTTTTAATTAGATGGGGAGGAAAGTTTTTGAAGAGGAAACTTTATTTTACTTTTTACATGAAGAAACCAAGTCCTAGAAAAATTAAACTTGAGGCCATGTAGCTGGTAAAATGGAAAAGCCCAGTTGTGTTAATCTAGGATGTATTGTATTGGAGATGATTTGACTGGGAGACCAGCCTGATCCAAATCATGCTGCCTGTTACCCTTGGGCAAATCAATTAAGCTCTCTGAGTCTTATTTTATTCCTGCAGTAATGATTCTTGCCTGCCTTCTCTAAGAGGGAGATTGTGATGGTTGAAGGCAAAGAATGTGAAAGTGCTTCTTTGTAACTAACACACACCAAAGAGCCAGGGATTCCCGTGGAGTAACTGCAAATCTGATTTATCAAATTATAGGACCCTGGTCGGATCACACTAACCAGTGAAGTTCTTTTCAATCTGTAGTGAGCCTACGAATCACCTGCGGATCTTGCTAAAGTGTAGATTCTGATTCAATAGGTCTGGGTGAGAGTCTTCTGTACTTTTTTTGGTTTGCTTTTTTTTTTTTTTGGAGAGAGTCTCACTCTGTCACCCAGGCTGGAGTGCAGTGGTGTGATCTCGGCTCACTGCAACCTCCGCCTCCGGGGTTTAAGCAATTCTCTGCCTCAGCCTCCTGAGAAACTGGGATTACAGACATGTGCCACCACGCCCGGCTAATTTTTGTATTTTTAGTAGAGACAGGGTTTCACAATGTTGACCAGGCTGATCTTGAACTCCTGACCTTGTGATCCACCCACCTCGACCTCCCAAAGTGCTGGGATTACAGGCATGAGAGTCTTCTGAACTTCTAACAAACTCACAGGTGATGCATCTGCTTCTGGTCTGGAGACCCAACGTTGAGCAGCCAGGAACTAGTAGAATGGTCGTGGCGCACTAACAGGTCATTTGCAAGGGTGCAGATCTTCTCTTCTGCTTCTGTCTGCCCTCTACTTCTCGGGAATGTTAAGAGGACTTCTCAGACTCACTGTCCTCTTTCCATGGGGCCAGGCTGGCCAGAGTTTAGTGAGATCCTGATTTTGGAGTCTAGCCTAGGGCAAAGGAAGGACCCCTTAGTATCTGTATTATCAGAGTTCTCAGCATTGGCGCATGGCTCTGGCCATCATTAAAAATAGTTACTCGACTTTTTATCTGTTCCTGTTTGTAACTCAAGTCCTTGTAGGAGAGGAGGGTTTGCTGCCTTGGGCAGGATTCCAGTAGGTTTTCATTCATTCCACAAATACTGGAGCACCTACTATGTCCCTGTTCTGTGCCAGGCATTAGGTTTATGGCCTTAATACCATCTAATAGTATCCCCAATTCCACCTTAAACTCTTGTAGAATGACACACTTATATGAACCTGCAGTCATGGAAGTAAGTTGAGGAATAAATAGAGATGTAATGCCCTTTTAATGAATAATGTTTGTAACAGACACTGTTTGCTACCTCTCCAACATCCTTTTCTTTCTTCTTTCCTGCTGATGGGGACTGAGTTTGGTTCAGTTATTTATTTCCCCACATGTGGCTCAATTCGGGAGGGTAGCAGTAGCATGCTGGAACCAGCTTGTCAGAGTTATTTCCAAATTTTAGAAAGTTTGACAGCTAAATATAGCCATTCTTTCTTACTTTTTATTTTTATTTTAAAAAAAAATTTAATGGAGGCAGGTCTTGTTATGTTTCCCAGGCTGGTCTTGAATGCCTGGCCTCAAGCAAATCTCCCACCTCAGCCTCCCAGTGCTGGGATTACAGGCACGAGCCACTGAGCCTAGCCTTTTTTTTTTTTTTTTTTAAGGCAGGGTCTTGCTGTGTTGCCCAGGCTGTAGACAGTGGTGCAATCATAGGTTACTGTAAGCCTGAGCTTCTGAGAACATAGCCATTCTTAAAAATAAAATTACAGGCTGGGCGTGGTGGCTCACAACTGTAATCCCAGCACTTTGGGAGGCTGAGGCGGGTGGATCACCTGAGGTCAGGAGTTTGAGACCAGCCTGACCAACACGGTGAAACTCCATCTCTACTAAAAATACAAAAATTAGCTGGGTGCAGTGGTGGGTGCCTGCAGTCCCAGCTACTCGGGAGGCTGAGGCAGGAGAATCGCTTGAACCTGGGAGGTGGAGGTTGCAGTCAAGCCGAGATTGCACCACTGCACTCCAGCCTGGACGACAGAGCAAGACTTCATCTCAAAAAAAATTATATAAACTTATAATTTAACAAATTATATTAAAAAGATAACACGAAAGTCTCACTTTCTACTTATTTTAATACATTTCACTCTTACCTGTCTCTTAAGATGATTCATGTCCATTATATCTACATGGGGGAAATAGTTGATAATGGTACGCTACTGTGTATCTCTTCCAAACTCTGTCCAGTGATGTTACATTGGTAGCTTGAAATTTGCCATGGTGGATGTATTTACACCACAGAAATTGGCACATGCTACAAATTAGGATTTTGATGTTATTATTTTCTTGATAAGCCATTGAACAATCCTATCCCTAGTTTCAGGGCAAAATCTAATTGATCTAAGTTAAACACAATAGTATGTTTCCCATCTCTTAGGCGTGTAACCTAGTGCTGGCCAATGAGACAAGAAAGTTGTTTGGCTGGAGAATTTCTTAGTAAGTTTTTCTCACTTCTAAAAAGGAGACACAGCCAGGCACGGTGGCTTACACCTGTAATCCCAACAATTTGGGACGCCAAGGCAAGCAGATGGCTTGAGGCCAGGAGTTTGCGACCAGCCTGGGCAACATGGTGAAACCCTGTCTCTACAAAAAATTAGCTAGGTGTCATGGTGCATGCCTGTAGTCTCAGCTACTCAGGAGGCTGAGCAGGGAGAATCACCTGAGCCTGGGAGGTCAAGGCTGCCAATGAGCTGTGATCACACCATTCCACTCCAGCCTGGGAGATAGAGTGAGAACCTGTCTCAAAACAAAACAAAGGAAACAAACAAAAAGGAGACACACGGTAGAGATGGGCTCTGTTTCTGGCCATGTGGTTTTAAGATGGGATGGTTCTAAGACAGTTGGACTTGCAGCCAGTATCTTATAACAATGTCAAGTCAGGATGAACATGTTTGTATTAACGTGCCTTTTGTTCTTTATTTTTGTTTTGATTTTTTTGGGCCTGCGTTCAGAGAAAAAAAGTCCAACATGTATTTTTTTTCTCTCTCTCTCTTCTAGAGGGGACCCTGATAGGTGTGACATCTGGGGAAACACTCCTCTACATTTTGCAGCCTCCAATGGCCATGCCCACTGCGTCTCATTCCTGGTCAACTTTGGTGCCAACATCTTTGCCCTGGATAATGACTTACAGACTCCACTGGATGCTGCTGCCAGCAGGGAGCAGAATGAATGTGTTGCTCTCCTGGACAAGGCTGCCACTGCACAGAACATCATGAACCCCAAGAAGGTCACCAGGCTGAAGGAGCAGGCTCAGAAGAATGCCAGGAGGCAGATCAAAGAGTGTGAGAGGCTCCAGGAGAAGCACCAAAATAAGATGGCCCACACCTACAGCAAGGAGGAATCCGGGACTCTCTCTTCTTCCAAGGGTACCTTCTCCAGATCATCCCCTTCAAATGCTTCTGCTCCTGGCACATTCGGGTCACTATCTAAGGGCATTAAAGACACTTTCAAGATCAAGTTCAAGAAGAACAAAGATACAGCAGAACAGGTGGGGAAGGAAGGCAGAAGTGGGCAGAGGAACGTGATGGAAGTGTTCAGAGAGGAAGAGGAAGACTCGTTCTCAGGGGACTTCAAAGAGAAGCTCCAGTTGTCAGCAGAGGAGGACGGCAGTGTGCACCATGAATCCATTCTCAATCGTCCAGGTCTAGGAAGTATTGTTTTTAGAAGGAACAGGATATCGAGTCCTGAAGACATCTCAGATAGCAAGAGAGAGTTTGGTTTTAAACTGCCCAGTGAATTGCTTCAAAGACAAGGAGCATCAGAGGCTGATGAGGGTGCAGCTGATGAAGAGGGAGAGGAAAACGGCCTCAAAGATGATCTGCCGTGGGATGACGATGAAGTGGAGTGGGAGGAAGATGTGGTCGATGCCACGCCCCTGGAAGTGTTCTTGCTGTCTCAGCACCTGGAAGAATTCCTGCCTATCTTCAAGAGAGAGCAGATTGATCTAGAAGCTCTGCTGCTCTGCTCTGATGAGGACCTTCAGAGCATACAAATGCAGCTGGGTCCCAGGAAGAAAGTTCTGAATGCTATCAACAGGAGGAAGCAGGTGCTTCAACAGCCTGGGCAGCTGGTCGACACCAGCCTGTGATGGAGAGTTTTGGCCTGGAGCATTGGGGTGATGCTGTGGCCCGCTGGCAGCACTCCAGGCGGCACCCCCTCTTTACCCAATGCCAGACCACTGGGAATGGATTCTAGGGCATCGGAAATGCCTACCTGAGAGAGAGACCCAAACTTTACTCTGGGAGGTAGGCTATGCCCATCCAAATAAATCTCCATGAGAAACTTGAGGAGACTTCATAACAAGAATCTGGCATTTCTCTTCAGTTATCTTATATGTACATATAATTGTTTTTGTGGTTGTTTTGTTTTGTTTTGTTTTGTTTTTTGGAGATGAAGGTCTCAGTCTCTTACCCAGGCTAGGGTGCAGTGGTATGATCATAGTTCACTGTATTCTCAACCTCCTGGGCTCAAATGATCTCCTCCCACCTCAGCCTCCCAAGTAGCTGAGACTACAGGTTCACACCCCCCACACCTGGCTTATTTTGTATGTTTTAGTAGAGGTGGGGTCTTGCCACATTGCCCAGGCTGGTCTCAAACTCCTGGCCTCAAGCAATCCTCCCACCTCAGCCTCCTAAAGCACTGGGATTACAGGTGTGAACCACCGTACCCAGCCTATCTTTTTGATACTTTTGAATAAAGAAAGGGTCATATGCATGACAGGAAAATGAAAGAAACTTCCTTTACTTTTCTATCTCTGGATTTAAAATTATAATCTCATCACATTATCCTGCTGCTTGCTTTCCGATCTGTGTAACCTGGGAATTCCAATTCTTTTTCTCTCCTGAGATCTATGACTTTGCCTAGTGGTAGAGACTAGAGTTCTTTCCTGGCCTGCGGCTTGATGCCCAACTTAAATGCATCTAACCCTTTAACAAATGTGTACATGTTTACAAGTAATGGAAATGCGTCTATAATACTCCTGCCTGAGAATAGAGACAGAGTGGTGGTGGGGAGAGTGAAGAAAGAGATAGAATACAGGTGGTACCTGTTGTGGACTGAATTGCGTCAAATTCATATGTTGGAGCTCTAACCCCTAATGTGACTGTAATTGGAAATAAGACCTTTAAAGAAGTGATTAAGGTTAAATGAAGTCATAAGAATGCAACCCTAATCCTGTAGGACTGGTGTCCTTTTTTTCCCTTTTTTTTTTTTTTTTTGAGATGGAGCCTTGCTCTGTCACTCATGCTGGAGTGCAGTGGCGTGATCTCAGCTCACTGCAACCCCCGCCTCCCAGGTTCGAGCACTTTTCATGCCTCAGCCTCCTGAGTAGCTGGGATTACAGGCGTGCACCACAACGCCTGGCTAAGTTTTTGTATTTTTAGTAGAGGCGGGGTTTCACCATGTTGGCCAGGCTGGTCTCAAACTCCTGACCTCAGGTGATCCACCTGCCTCGGCCTCCCAGAGTGCTGGGATTACAGGCATGAGCCACTGCACCTGGCCTAGGACTGGTGTCCTAAGAAGAGGAAGAGACACTTAGGTGGAAGGCACACAGAGAGGCCACGTGAGGACACAGTGAGAAGGTGGCCGTCTGCAAGCCGAGGAGGGGGCCTCAGGAGAAACCAACCCTGCAATCACCTTGATCTTGGGCTTTCAGCCCCCAAAGGTGTGAGAAAATAAACTTCGGTTGATAAACTGCTGTTGTTGAAGCCATCCAGTCTGTGGCATTTTGTTATGGCAGTCCTAGCAGAATAATACTGTCCTAAGTAAGAGGGTTGGGGAGGAGACCAAGAAAAATACAGAAAAAAAGTCTGTCCAACTGCAATTGATGAGTTTTGTAAGGGTAAACACCTAGTGAAACTTAAGGGGAAAAAAAACTAAGTTCTTTGGAGGGAAGATTTGATTGTCAAAGGAAATTTCACATTTTCATGCTTATTATGTACACATGGTTTATTTACTGTTGTCTGTCACCATTGCCGCATATCTGAATATGTGTAGGTTCCACGATAGAAACTGACAACACTTGGCTCATGCCTGTAATCCCAGCACTTTGGGAGGCCCAGGCAGGCAGATCACCTGAGGTCAGGAGTTCAAGACCAGCCTGGCCAACATGGCGGAAACCCGTCTCTACTAAAAATACAAAAATTAGCCAGGTGTGGTGGCGTGTGCCTGTAATCCCAGCTACTTGGGAGGCTGAGGCAAGAGAATTGCTTGAACCCAAAAGGTGGAGGTTGCAGTGAGTTGAGATTGCACCACTGCACTCTAGCCCAGGCGGTAAGAGAGACTCCATCTCAAAAAAAAAAAAAAAAAAAAAGAAAAAAGAAACTGACAACACTGCTGCTGACATTTTTTCAATGGCAATCCCAAATTCAAACTGAAACCCCACTGAAGAGCTAAGCTTCATTAGATCTCTACAGGCTGACTTACATCAAGTGGAATTTACTGTTGATTCTGGGTATAATACAGAAACAGCTGTTTATCTTCAGCTTGCTTTCTGATGCACATCTGTTTGGGTTACTTCAAGAGGCATCATGGAGGATTCAAGTTTAGGGAGGATACAGATGCTCAAATCTGATGAACAATTGGCTTATTCTTCCTCAATGAATATATTCAGAAAGCTTGTTAGCCATTGAATAAACACGTTGCATTAGGGGATGATTGTTTACAAATACCTTATCTTGTGGAATAAACTGAAGTTGTGCTTTCCTTCATTAACGTGCACAGAAGCAGTTGGCAAATAGAAAGTGCTCAAAAAAGTTTGTAGTCTGTGCCTGCCACTATTATATTTCATCATCATAGATGCCAGAATCCCCTCTTCACCTATTGCCCGGAATCTGCCTAATGAGATATTTGCTCCACCCCCTGCTGTAACTACATCATAGCAAGAGAGCCATCACTCAGGTTGGTAGAAATGAACTTGAACATTGACTCTCATCCCTTTTTAGGAGATATTTGCCACTAGGGGTCTCATCAGGTACCTCTATGCTCTTCTTAGGGGTTCTTTTCTTTTATGATTGACAGAATTAATAGGTGAGCGTTCTCCAAAGTTCTCAGCATCAAGGATATAGTCTCTTCGTCACAGAGTATTGTTATATAATAAAAAAAGGTTTATACCATGTTATAAGATGTTATCAATGTTCTAAGAATTCCAGATCTTTCGAACTAAATACCAACTACAGGGGCTAAGAGAAGATGCCAGAGCAATACAAAGGCCTTGATAAGAGACAAAGACAAGAGGATTATGAGCCAGGATGAGCTTCAAGTACTCACTGATCTCAGACCTCCATCTCTTAAACTAGATGCTTAGAGTAGCTCAATCCAATATCTGGTCACCCCTACCACCTCCTGGCCCCTCTTTTCCCCCTCTATGTAGCTTGACATAAAAGTCAACAAGAGGGAAAAGCAGCTGGGAGCATTTCACCGAAGAGGAGAGTTTGAGAAGTTATAGTGTGGTAAATGTGTATTGTGCTTATATTTCAGGCCATTGTGTAGTACAGGTCAGTTATATGCTCAGAATTCCTAAGTCCAAGTTACCAGCCCAGACCATTGCTTTGGGCACCAAATACTTAAGCCCAAATCTAATCTGACATCTCCTCTCACATGTCTCACAAGTACCCCATACTCAGTGTGTCCAGGACTGAACCCATTTTCTTCCAGGTTGTCAGTTCTCAACTTGGATGATTTTGCCCTCTGTCTCCTAGAGGACATGTGGCAATATCTAGAGACATTTTTTGATTGCCATGATAGGGGAACAGTGGTGCAACTGACATCCAGTGGGTAGAAACAATGGGTGCTAAACATCCTAGAATGTACAGGACAGCCCACCACCACAATGAATTATCGAGACCCAAATAGTGATCGTGCTCAGTTTCAGCTGCATTAAAACATGCAGCTCTAAATCTTCATTTTTCATAAATGGAAAATTTAACCCAATACTTCTTTTCATCACCCAATTGGTCACCAGGCCCTTTCAACTTTTCAATATGTCTCAGAGCTAAATCCTCTTTGATGTTTGCAAGATGACCTATTGGTTCCTGCCCCCAACCATCACTCACTGGATTGCTGTAAGTATCCTTATCTGTCTTTAATTCATTCTCCACAAGGCTGGTTGAGTCACGTAATCTTTTTAATATGTAAGTCTCTTGTCACTTTCTACTTTACTGTTGCTTTTTTTTTTTTTTTTTTTTTAAGACGCAGTTTTGCTCTTGTTGCCCAGGCTGGAGTGCAATAGCACGATCTCAGCTCACCGCAACCTCAGCCTCCTGGGTTCAAGTGATTCTCCTGCCTCAGCCTCCCAAGTAGCTGGAATTACAGGCATGTGCCACCAAGCCTGGCTAATGTTGTATTTTTAGTAGAGACAGGGTTTCTCCATGTTGGTCAGGCTGGTCTCGAACTCCCGACCTCAGGTGATCCACCTGCCTCAGCCTCCCAAAGTGCTGGGATTACAGGCGTGAGCCACTGGGCTCAGCCACCATTGCTTTTCAAACTCTCACCACCACACAGAAGGCCTGCATGATTAAAGAGCCCTATTCTCTCCTCCAAACCTCTGGTCCCATCTCTGACCACTCCTCTCCCTGTCCCCTAATTTCAGCTATACTAGATTTCTTGTGGCTTCCTGAATACATGTCTCTCATATGCCTGTGCCTTAGCATACCATCACCCTTCTGCCTGGAAAAGTCTTCCTCCATATAGCCATCCTCACTGGGAGACATACCCTCTCTCTTTGCCCCTAGTCTGGGTTGAGTAGCTTCCTATCTGTGCAAGCTCTCTTTGTTTGCCTCTCCAGAACTTCTCTCTACTATTTTCCAACCTACTTTGTGTCCCAGGTGGTTGGGCTCTGGACTGCATCAAAGGGCTCCCTTGCCCTTGGGATCCTGGTTGGGTCTGGCCAATGGGAGTTACTAACAAGATACCAGAAGGTGGGAGAAAGAAAGATTGAGGCATTTATTCTACCTGTTTCTTCTTTTCAGGGCAGCAGCTGCCTTCATCT
Source organism: Homo sapiens (assembly GCF_000001405.40). Lineage (NCBI taxonomy): Eukaryota > Metazoa > Chordata > Mammalia > Primates > Hominidae > Homo > Homo sapiens. The sequence continues at coordinate 21,255,720 of NC_000016.10, forward strand.
AAGCTCACCTCTCCCATCTGGCAGCCCTCTGCTATAGCTCTAGTTGTTTCTGGGTTTCACTAACTGCTCTTTCAAGCTTAGCAGTGGTAGTGATTTCCTACTATTGCTAACCCTGGGGTGCTTCTTCCTAAACAGTCTCTTTATTCTCTTCAATCACACCTTTTGAGTGTGGCATCTACAGACAGTTCCCCACTTACAATCGTTCAACTTAAGATTTTTTGACTTTACGATGGTGTGAAAATGATACGCATTCAGTAGAAACTGGTAAGATATTCTCTCAGGATGCTGGGCAGAGGCAGCGAGCCACAGCTTCCAATCAGCCATGTGATCACCAGGATAATCAATTGACAGTGAACAGTGTACCGTGTTACCAGATGATTTTGCCCAAATGTAGGCAAATGTAAGTGTTCTGAGCACATTTAAGGTAGGCAAGGCTAAGCTATCATGTTTGGTAGGTGTTTTCTATGCATTTTTGACACATTTCCAACTTTTTTTGAGACAGGGTCTTGCTCTGTCAACCAGGCTGGAGTGCACTGGCACAATCTCGGCTCACTGCAGCCTCTGCCTCCTGGGTTCAAGTGATTCTCCTGCCTCAGCCTCCTGAGTAGCTGGGACTACAGGTGTGCACCACCACACCCAGCTAAGTTTTGTATTTTTAGTATAGACGGGGTTTCACCATATTGCCCAGGCTGGTCTCGGACTCCTGACCTCAGGTGATCCGCCTGCCTTGGCCTCCCAAAGTGCTGGGATTACAGGCATGACCCACCATGTTCGGCCACATATTTCCAACTTTTGATGAATTTATTGGGACACGACTGCATCATAAGTCAAGGAACATCTGCATTTCCTGCAGGGACCCTGAACCATGTTCCTGTAACACCAAATTATTGTAATTTTTTTTTTTTAACATCTGTCTTCTCTTCGAGGCTGTGTTCTCTGGGGCTGAGGACTACTTTTCTGTTGTATCTTAGTAAGCTAGCACAGGGTTATGATAGGGGCTCTTGCGAAAAGAATGAAAGAAAAGATATATGAATATTCTCATCATTCCATGCTCTTCTCTATATATCCTTTAGGGTAGTGACCATCAGGATTCCTCAGAAAGACTCCATAGTCACTTGAGATATGCAGAATCAGATCATGTGGGTAATGTGGGTATTTTGTTTCAGCACAAAGACCCCTGTCCAGACAGTCTGGCAAATATGATAAACTTTTGGCTAAACCATCTGGAGCATGAGTCCTTCCCAGGAGGAGTATGGTCAGGAAAACAGAGCCATGCTTTGCTGCTGACTTATCTGAAAACCAGCCTTGGAGTAGCAAAAAGCGAAGGGGTGGGGTGAGGCTAGGGTCGGAGTGGGATTTGGACAGGGCCTTTGGCAGGACAAGGACAACACGGTTCTGCTAGTGATTCAGGGGGCCTGGAGAAAGTATCTCTGCACCTCAGTTTCCCCATCCGTAAGTTGAAGATCGACTAGCTGATCCTTAATGGCCCTTTTAACATGGATACTGTAGTGGACATCTTTAGATTTTGCCTTTCAACTACCCAGTCCTCTTTTTGTTAAGAGACACCTTCCCTCCATCAGCTCATGTGGGCAGATGCGCAGATGACACTTCTGACTTCAAGGGTGGGCATGTGATCCAGGCCTGGATAACCAGAGCATCTGATCCCCCTGGACAACGTGATGGTTCAGGGATAGGTACAAGGCTTGAGCCTGGCCAGGGTATTCCATCTCTTTAAAAGATGGGGTCTTGCTATGTTGCCCAGGCTGGTCTCGAACTCCTGGGCTCAAGCAATCCTCCTGCTTCAGCCTCCCAAAATGCTGGGATTACAGGCATGAACCACCTCACCCCGTCTATTCCATGTCTTTCAGCCACAATGTTAGGCTCAGGAATAGACATGTGACCTAGATGGTCCAGTAACTCTCAGTTCTGGAACATCTAACTGTAAAGGAAGAGAATATTTATGCTCAGTTGCTAAAGAGGACAGAATACAATTCAGGAGCTGCTGACCAATGTCCTGCCACTACCAGGGAGAACTTGATAATGGAGCCAACGGGGAAGAAGACCAGGCCCTGGTGACAGTTGGAGCCCCTGAATACAGCTGTAGCTGAAACCAGTTACCTGTGTGTTCCTAATTACGAGAGCCAATAAATCTCATTCTCCATTCATTCAGCTTAAGGTAGTTTGAGTTGTAGTCTCTACCACTTATGACCAAAGGAGCCCTGATCTATACAGAAATTCCATTTTTCCTCTAAGCATTAAGGAGTCAGGCACAAAAGACTACATATAGTAGAATTTCACTTGTAAGAAATGACCAGGCTTGGCCGGGAGCCGTGGCTCACGCCTGTAATCCCAGCACTTTGGGAGGCCGAGGCGGGCAGATCACCTGAGGTCAGGAGTTCAAGACCAGTCTGGCCAACATGGTGAAACCCCGTCTCTACTAAAAATACAAAAATTAGCTGAGTGTGGTGGCGTGGCACCTGTAATCTCAGCTACTCGTGAGGCTAAGGCAGGAGAATCACTTGAACCCAGGAGGCAGAGGTTGCAGTGAGCCGAGATCATGCCATCGCACTCCAGCCTGGGCAACAAGAGTGAAACTCCATCCAAAAAAAAAAAAAAAAAAACACTACTGAATTGTATAGTTTAAACTAGTGGATCTTAGAGTATGTGAGTTGTAACTACTAAATAAATACATAAAAAAGAAGTTTCATTATAGCCAGTGTAGCTCCCCCAGGGAGTAAATGGGAGCATCTGATCCCTCTCAGTTTCCTTGTGATAGTAATAGAAGTTACCGAAGCAAACACTGCACAATTGGAATGTGCTTTATTTCAGGGAAATATAAAGGGAAATGAATGCTATTATAACTTGGTAGAACAGAAGAAATGGCTACCTAGCTTTGCTTTCCAACTACAAACATAAATGAGGATCTCAGCATTTAAGGTAAAACATGATAAGCACAAAAGGAGAGTTCACTGGGGACTGGACTCCCTCATTTACTCTAGAAATTATGAGAACCAGCAGCAATATTCCTCAAGCATCCATCTCAACATCAAGTTCCTTTGTTTTATTTACCAGATGACCAGGAATCATAGATGAGTTTGGCTGCAACTGTGTCTTCCACTGCCATTCCTAGAATAGACAGAAATTTGGTTCGCCTTTGGTCAAAACAACTTTTCTTGAAACAACCCAGGCCCCATGGCTGGAAGTTTCCTGATACATGTCCATGTTGCCAATGCCTATTGGAATAACAGGGACTGATACCCAGAGATGAGCTCAGGCTTCAATTGTCTGCAAAGGGGCAGAGAATATGATAGTAAGAAACACCCACCAACAAATTGTGCATCTTTCTAAATCTAGCTCAGGGCTGAGCAAATTTTTTTTTTTAATTTTTTTTTTTTTCGAGATGGAGTCTCGCTCTGTTGCCCAGGCTGAAGTGCAGTGGCGCGATTTTGGCTCACTGCAAACTCTGCCTCCCAGGATCAAGTGATTCTCCTGCCTCAGCCTCCTGAGTAGCTGGGATTACAGGTGCATGCCACCATGCCTGGCTAATTTTTTTTTTTTTTGTATTTTTAGTAGAGACAGGGTTTCACCATGTTGACCAGGCTAGTTTCAAACTCCTGACCTCAGGCGATCCGCCCACCTCGGCCTCCCAAAGTGCTGGGCTTACAGGCATGAGCCACCACGCCTGGCCTGAACAAACTTTTCAAAAAGGGTCAGACAGTAAATCCTTTAGGCTTTGTGGGCCACAGGGTCTCTATTACAATTATTCAACTCTGCCTTTAGAGTAGAAAACACAGCCAACAGGTAAACAAAAGAGCCTGGCTGTGGGCTGTGTTCCAGTGAAATTATTGATGGGACTGAAGCTTGAATTTTGTATCATTTTCAGACATCATGAAATATTTTCTCCCCCCATTCATTTGAAAATCTAAAAACCATTTCTAGCTCATAGGCCACACAAAAGCAGGCAGCAGAGCAGGTCTGGCCCCAGGACTGTAGTTTTCTGACGCTTGGTCCAGTTTGAATGCTGCATCCTTTGATATCTCCCCTTTGTCTTGTAATTTTGGTAGATACCTTAACCTCTGCACCCAGCACAGATAATTAGGTGCTTGATACGCATCTGTTAGATGAAACAATGCACCAATAAACTGATCCCCAAAAGTAAGAAAGCAAAAATTGCCAAAAAGGACAGAACAAGTTTCTGCAGCATTTTGGCTCCTTAAGTAAGGGCTGGCTGACCTCTGATCTGCCATGACCTTTGAAGTTTTCAGACAAAACTGGATCCATGTGATGTCTTTGAACCAGGCTCCAGATAAAATTGTATTGCCTTTGTCTTCCAGTGCATGAGAGATTTTAAAGACATTTACCAACCTGCAAGGCATGGATACTTAACCAATGGCATGGGCTCTGGGTGGCCAGAGCGCTCCTGATGCTCTGCCAGGCATTTACTCTTTTGCTGCTTGATCACGAAGTATGGAAGGTCATGAGAGGGGGACAGAGGGCACTCTCGAGGGGCTCAGGATAGCAACTGTTTACCAACCAGTTTGGGAGTATTTCAGTGTTTTAGGTGTATCAGCTCTGTTCCCATGTACTTTATTTATTTATTTTTTGAGATGGAGTCTTGCTCTGTTGCCCAGGCTGGAGTGCACGATGTCAGCTCACTACAACCTCCACCTTCCGGGTTCAAGTGATTCTCCTGCCTCAACCTCCCAAGTAGCTGGGATTGCAGATGTGCACCACCACGCCTGGCTAATTTTTGTATTTTTAGTAGAGATGGAGTTTCACCATGTTGGCCAGGCTGGTCTCAAACTCCTTAGCTCAAGTGATCTGCCCACCTTGGCCTCCCAAAGTGTTGGGATTACAGGCGTGAGCCACCGAGCTCAGCCTGTTCCCATGTACTTCTGTTTCCTTCAATCTCATAGGGTGGAAGAGGACCTGGGGCAAGGGACAGACTGGCCACTGGGAGCCCACCCTTTGTTGGGCTTCTATAAGGTACCCCATACAACTCAGGTGGTAGGGGGCTCCCCATGGAAGCCCTCCTCAAAGCAGCAAGTGGGAGAGTAGGGAAGGAGGGAATGAACAGGGCTTAGGCTATACTTTCCATCTGACTCTTTCAGGTTGGGTCTCTGCCATTTCCCTTAAGGTTCCTGTCTTTTAACATCTTTGTCCCCTGCCCCCTCCACCTCTGAAGGGTACCTTCTGAATTTCATCAAGATCTGCACCGAACTGATTCATTTTATATGCAAATCCCACCTAATCCTCAATGGTAACAGGTGGTGAGGAAACTGAGGCCTACAGAGGTCAGATCACTTGCCTAAGGACACCTGCCTTTGAGTGGCGGGGAAGGGACTCTGACCCAGGACTGCTCAGTTCCAGAGTTCATGGGCTTAGCACTAGGCTAAACCATGTAAATAATTGACCTGAATGATGGAGCACAATGATTCAGCTGCAGAGTCTGGTGACTCATTGCTCTTTCCACCAATGGGTGAACCTGCCTTGTGCGCTAGTTGGATTTGTGCCCAGGGAGCAATGGATCTTACCCAAAGACTTGAACACGGTGGTCTTCTCACAGTGGGCTGGTTTCACTCCCTTAATCACTTCTCCCAGCTCAGCAAAGATCTCGGCCTAGGAAACAAACATACGCTGACCCAGGCATGAAGCTAAAGTCTGTGCAGGGTTGGCTTTTGAAGCCAGCCCAGGGAATTCCTGAATTGGATAAGAGATAAATTTGATTAAAAAAAAAAAAAAAAAGAGAGAGATCCTTTGTACACTGAATGATATTAGGGAGGAGGCTGGCCCCGAAATCCTTTTGGGGTGGCATTTGCTTTTGTGATACCATAAACACAGAGATTCGAGTTGGTGCTCAGGGAGCTGTCCTGCCAAGATCATTGTGTCAGTGAGGAAATAGACATGCTGTTATCTGAACATGCATGCCAGCAGCTCCCTTCTTGTTTTATGCTGATTATAACCGTAAAATGAGGCCAGAAGGTGGGCAACACAGTCTTATCATGTTGGCCACATTGGGAAGGTTTCCAGGCTGCAAGAAGCTTCCAATCCCACTTCTTTAGAGGACAGCCCAGCAAAAAAATAAAATCCACTGAGCTTCTCCTTCCAGGAACACACATGTCACCACCCATAATGCCCATATTTTTCTGGAATGGAATTAAAGAGGGTTGCAAAATGTTTAGGAGCTCCTTCCCCTACAAGGAGGTGGGGTGGCTGAGGTCTGGAGCAGACCAAACTGGAAGGGAAGTTAATGAAACCCTGGGATCCAGGTGAGGCCAGCCAGGTGGCAGCCCTGACTGGGGTCAGAAGGGCCTCACCCCTGACAGCAGGACATCTCCAGACTCCTTCAGGGCAGCCTCCTGGGAATCCACGTACAGCACAGCTTCTTTCATGAGCTCATCATCCAGTTCTCTCCAGTCAGGTCTGCTGGCTCCAACAGCTAAGAGACAGCAAAACAGACCTTAAGCCCAGGATTAGTGCCAAAGGCTGCTAAGAAGCCCAAAGCACAGGAGAGAGGTGAACAAAGGACTCGTGAACACACTCAGATTCAAAATACCCCCTCATTCCCCAGGCCATGCTCTCCCAATCAGTAGGACGAAATACTTATTAAGAAATAGGCCAGGTGTGGTGGCTCACACCTGTAATCCCAGCACTTTGGGAGGCTGAGGCAGGCAGATCACTTGAAGCCAGGAGTTTGAGACTAGCCTGGCCAACATGGTGAAACCCTGTGTCTACTAAAAATACAAAAAATTATCCAGGCGTGGTGGCTCACACCTGTAGTCTTTGCTACTCTGGAGGCTGAGGCATGAGAATTGCTTAAACCTGGGAGGCGGAGGTTGCAGTGAGCCAAGATCATGCCACTGCACTCCAGCCTGGGCAACAGAGTGAGGCTCCATCTCAAAAAAACAAACAAACAAACAAAAAAAACTACCTACCATTTTGCCTTTCTATTCTATATCCCACCTCATTGCTAAAAGATTTTGAGACGACATAGCATTCATTTACAGGGTGTCTACTCTCTGTGGGATGTTTTGCACGTACTATTTATGGTTCTCGCAAGTACATTTCAAAGTCTGGTTCTCACTTAACAGATGCACGAATGGAGGCTCAAAGAAGTGAAGGTGTTTGCCAAGGTTAAGGATCTGATGGGTGAATCCAGGTCTGAGAGAGCACCTAGGCGCTCACACCTCTTCTGCTTAACAGGAACACCTTCCTCACAAAAATCCCGAAACAGAGACATCACTTGGTGCTTATTCACACCTCACTCTCCTCTTGATCTCCATCATTCCCATTCCTCACCCTCAACCAGTTCTTTTAATATCTATTTTTTTCTTTTTGGAGAGAGGGTCTCACTCTGTTGCCCAGGCTGGAGTGTAGTGGTGCAATCAGAACTCACCACAGGCTGGGTGCAGTGGCTCATGCCTGTAATCCTAACACTCTGGAAGGCTGAGGTGGGTGGTTCACTTGAGGTCAGGAGTTCAAGACCAGCCTGGCCAACATGGTGAAACCCTGTCTCTACTGAAATACAAAAATTATCTGGGCATGGTAGCACACGCCTGTAATCCCAGCTACCTGGGAGGCTGAGGCAGGAGAATCTCTTGAACCTGGGAGTTGGAGGTTGCAGCGAGCCAAGACTGCGCCACTGTGCTCCAAACCAGGCGACAGAGTGAGACTCCATCTCAAAAAACAAACAAACAAAAACTCACCACAGCCTCAAACTCCTGAGCTCAAGTGATCCTCCCGCCTCAGCCTCCCAAACTGTTGGGACCACAGACGCCTGCCACTATGCCCCTTTCCCTCTCCTCACCCCCGGTTCTCTCTTAACTCATGACAAAAGAAAAAAAACAACAACAACAAAAACTCAGTGTCAGGGTCATGGAGAAGTCTCGTCAGAAAGAAAACTGGCTCCGTCCTGGCCCTGAACTGTCACATCCTCTATGGAGTCCAGGACCAGAATGATGAATCCAAGGTGTCACGCCCCCTGGCACCAGGACACAGGAGAATGCAGAGGCTGCCACCAAATGCCTGCAAGGCCAGGGAGGTAATGAAAATGAACAAAGCTGGTCAGAGGGACTGGATTAGATGTGGTGGAGACTGAGGGGCGGGGAAGCCAGCAGGCCCTTCCGAAGGGGACAGTCATTGTTCAGCTCCAGCTAATCATTACCACGTGTGAATGTAGATCCACTGTTACCAGATATGCCCCAGTTGTTTTCTTAGAAGAGAAACAGGAAATCTATTTGCATATGTCACTCCTTGAGTTTTAGATTACTCTATGGTCCAAACCAAACACATCTGCTGGCTGGATCCAGCCCCTGGCTGGCTAGTCTTTGAAAACTGCTATAAAGCCTTATACAAATATAAGACAGCATTTATATGCCTTCTTCCACTGCCGCCCCGTTTTCTCCCTTTGTTCCCTCCCGTTCTGTTCTCCCTCATTCTAATTTCCAAAGAGAGTTGTGTAAAAATGTCCATCTTGAAGGTTGTTTGTGCGGAGAGTTCTATAGAACAAAAGCACTAGCTTAAGGAAGCTTGTAAATAAATCATAAGCTGGTGGGAACAAAACCCCCGTTTCTCAGGCCACTCCTTCTCACTGGACTATTTCCCCTGCACAACCACTGCTTATGAGCCGGGCGAGTTCTCAAAGGGTTGTGTGAGGTCACTCAGGCGGATGGAGGTGGGCCAGGCAGTAAAGAGAGAGAAGCCTGACTCAAACAAGGCTCTGGCTTGGTTGTGATGGGGCTAAATGAGTGAGGGTCGCAGACAGGCTTGACAGGGTGTGGGGGCAGGAGGAGGGAGGCATGGGGCAGGGTGGAACTGGGCCTGTCCCTCCGCTGAGCTGTAAACTAAGTAAAATCTGTTGTTGGTATTTCCCTGTTGTCTGCGCTTGTGACACATTTTTCTTAAATGTATGTGTTGCCTCTGTGAACACATAAACCAATTTTGTCCCTGGGCCAGGAAAACAGAAGAGATGCCTTGACTCAAAATCAAGTCAGCCCTTCCTGGAGAATGATTCCAAGTGAGAGAGGGATCCAACATAAGGGAGATTGTCTGTGGCTGGATGTGAGGATGGAGAGTCCATATGGTGGGAAATTTGGGTCATCTCTGGGAGCTGAGAATGGCCCCAAGGAAAGGGGCTCCCCCCATCCTCCAGTGTAAGGAACTGAATCCTGCCACACCATGGGAGCCTGGAAGAGGACCCCCGAGCATGAGATGAGATTGCAGCCCGGATGTTGCCCAATTTCTTTTTTGTGAGACTTTGCACAGAGGATCCAGCTACCCACACCCAGTCTCCTGAACCACGGGAACTGTGAGATGATAATAATGTGTTGTTTTAAGCTGAAAAAAAAATCAAGTCCATCTTTCTGAAGATGCAGCCTTGGAAACCCATTTCACCATGAACTGGTTCCTTTTGATTTCCCAGGTCCTTCCAGAAATGGTCTTATTGTCCATAAACTCAGCCCTGACTTACCTCTTACCCATTCCCTGGACCCAGTCTGACCACCAGTCCCATGCAGCCTGAGACTTTCAAATTACTTTGATCCATTCCTCAAACACGCCATGTTCGCTTCCACACTCAAGGCCTTTGCATCTGCTGTGCCCTCTACCCTGAATGCCTTTCCTTCAGCTCTTGGCATGGCTGCTCTTCCTCCTCATTCAGGTCACAGCTCAAAAAACACATCTTAGAGAGCTTCTCAGATAACCCTATTGAAAACACCTCTCTCTGCTTCTACCTTCCACCTCCACCACCAGCCTCTATCACCCAGGGCCTTGTTCTTTCCGGTCTCATCTTTAGCCAGAACGATCTAGTTCCTCTATGTGTTTGTTTGTTGTCTATCTCTCCTCACTGAAATTAACCACCATGAAACCAGTGACCTTGACTGCCTGGTTATTGTGGCATCCCTGGCATCTAGAATAGTGCCTGGCACACGGTAGAGATTCAGTCAGCATGTATGATTGAATGCGTCATCATTTGACTTGGCTCTCGCCGGCTCATCTGCCCACGTGTGCAAAGCTCTTAGCTTCTGAGTTCACACCATGTGCTTGTCACTAAAACACAGGGCACCAAGACCATCTTTAAATCCTCTAAAATTTGCCTGCTCTGCTCACCAGAATCCAGTCTTCCTGTTGGAAGGCAATCATGAGTATCATTTAAAGCTTGGACTCTGAGGATAGAGTGCCTCCGTTCAAATCCCAGCTCTGCCATCAAGAACCTCTGATTTTGGGCTTGGCACAGTGGCTCACGCCTGTAATCCCAGCACTTTGGGAGGCTGAGGCGGGTGGATCATTTGAGGTCAGGAGTTCGAGACCAGCCTGGACAATGTGGTGAAACCCCATCTCTACTAAAAATACAAAAAAATTAGCTGGCATGGTGGCGTGTGTCTGTAATCTCAGCTACTCGGCAGGCTGAGGCAGGAGAGTCACTTAACATGGGAGGTGGAGGTTGCAGTGAGCTGAGATCATGCCACTGCACTCCAGCCTGGGTGACAGAGTGAGACTCCATCTCAAACAAACAAACAAACAAACAAACAAAAACTTGTGACTTTGGAAAAGTTATATAATTTCTCCATGCCTTGGTTCATCCCCCTATAAAATGTTTATGATAATAGTTCCTGCCTCATAAGTTGGTTATAAGTATTAAATGACATTATACATAGAATAATGTCATTTAATATACAAAGAATTATACAAAGAATTCATGACAGCACCTGCAGTAGTATTAGATGTAGACCAGCTCTTGCTATAACACCCAGGGCCATCTGAAGGTCTACAGAGGCCCCAGGCACCCTCATGTCTAGAGCCCCCTCTCCTGCCCCTCATCCTATCACACATATTAAAAAGCATATACATGTCACATAAAAAATTACAGTACAAAAGAAATTTAAAGGTTTATAATTCTTAGTGTTAAGAAAAAGTGACTCATTTGGCCTTTCTGATTTAAATTTCATCACATTTTAGAATTGAGCTGTGAATTACCATTTGCCATAATTTTACATGTTATGGTCAGGCGTAGTGGCTCATACTTGTAATCAGTCGCAGCACTTTGGGAGGCTGAAGTGGGTAGAGTGCTTGAGGCCAGGAGTTCGAGACCAGCCTGGCCAACATGGTGAAACCTTGTCTCTACCAAAAATTACAAAAAATTAGCTGGGCATGGTGGCACATGCCTGTAGTCCCAGCTACTCGGGAGGCTGAAGTGGGAGAATCGCTTGAACCCAGGAGGCAGAGGTTGCAGTGAGCTGAGATCTCGCCACTGCACTCCAGCCTGAGCGACAGAGTGAGACCCTGTCCCAAAAAAAGAAAAAAAACTTACATTTTATAGAACATTAAATATTCTTTAGTTTCAGGTTTGTAATTTCCCTTTTACATTTCTTGGAGCAAATATTGTTTGTTTGTTTTTTAAGACAGAGTCTCTCTCTGTTGCCCAGGCTAAAGTGCAGTGGCACAATCTTGGCTCACTGCAACCTCTGCCTCCTGGGTTCAAGCCATTCTCATGCCTCAGCCTCATGAGTAGCTGGGACTACAGGTGCAAGCCACCATGCCTGGCTAACTTTTGTATTTTTAGTAGAGACGGGGTTTTGCCATGTTGACCAGGTTAGTCTTAAACTCCTGGCCTCAAGCAATCCACCTGCCTCAGTCTCCCAAAGTGCTGGGATTACAGGCATGAGCCACTGCACCCAGCCAAATATTGTTTTTTTCAATCTCACATGTTTTCAAGGCCCTTAAATAGCTTGGGCATTCTGCATGAATAAACTGGCTCTGCAAATGTAGTCGACTGGTCCCGTCTAGAGAGGAGCCTGGCCACCACCCATCATGCCTTATGGAGCCACTCTACTTACCATTGATGTGAGCCCCTGGCTTCACCCATTCACCAAACAAAATGGGCTCTGTTGCCAGGGTGACTGTGATGATCACATCTGCACCTGCCACAGCCTCCTGGACCGAAGAACAGACCCGTACCTCTCCTTGCACTGTGTCTGCAAACTTCTCTGCATTTTCTTTGGTGCGGTTCCATATCCTCACCTTCATTGGGAGTAACAAGAAGGATATTGGCGCCATTTTTTGGCTGCTTATGTTACACTGAGCCCAGGGATGCGGAGGGAAAGTTGAACTACTCTGGCATAGGGGTCAGTGGTTATCTAAATCACTCCTAAATCATTCCCCATGGAGAATGGACATTTGATCAGGGGTACAGCATTAACTTAGACACCTAGCCAGGTATTTGAAAATCAGCGTTCTCTACCACTTTCCCCTTTTAAAATGAGTGGAAGTATTTCACTTCTAGGCCAAGAGGCACAGCCTCAGTAACTTCATAGCTATTATATATTAATAGCATAATGATTAGCAGAGCAAGTTCTGGAGCCAGGTAGGCTTGGAACCAATCTCCACTCTGCTATTTCCTGAAATTGCTTCATGTCATTCAGCCTTAGTTTCCACATCTGTAAAATGGAAATATAACTGGCAAAGTCTGTGTGGAACTCACACTTTATGTCTGAGACCCCGTAAAGGAGTTGTAATGGGTGGGAGATTCATATGAAGGATTATTTATGATAATGTTTTTCATGGAATAACTTGATCGGTGAAGAATACTTAGGAAATTCAAGATCAGACGAGTTTGAAGGTAAATGGCATAGCCAATGAAAAGGCCAAGAATGGTAGCTACGGCTGGAATCCTGAAAGGTGCTGGGGTTGGAGGGTGGGGCAGCGGCCTCACCAGGAGCTGGGGACTTGCCGACTTGCTTGACAGGTTTCAATGTTTGGGTCAAGGGCTTGTCACCCGTCAACTGAAAATAAGGCCTACAGAATTTCTCATAAGGAAATATAATACATACGGAAACAAACTTTATGTCTAAGCAAGTTCACCAAGCAAGGTGAAAAACAGGACATTTTGCCCGGCCGGAAGTGCATGGTTAACCTCTTCACCCTTCTTGATAGAAGACTATGCAAATTTTATGCAAAAATTAGATAACCTGAAAAGTGATGTTAGAACATTCAGTAAGAGAGGATATAAAATGGTGCATATCTAACGTGACTAAAGCTATGTTATAAAAAGCTGAAGAGGGAAGATCAGAAAACATTAACTGTCTTTGAAAACAGATGAAAGGGCATTTTTCTTTTGTTTTCTTCCTTGTATTAAAAGTAATGGCAACTGGGCGCAGTGGTTCACGCCTGTAATCCCAGAACTTTGGGAGGACAAGGCAGGTGGATCACCTGAGGTCAGAAGTTCCAGACTAGCCTGGCCAACATGGTGAAACCCCATCTCTACTAAAAATACAAAAATTAGCCAGGTGTGGTAGTGGGCGCCTATAATCCAAGCTACTTGGGAGGCTGAGGCCCAAGAATCACTTGAACCCAGGAGATGGAGGTTGCAGTGAGCCGAGATTATGCCACTGCACTCCAGCCTGGGCGACAGCGCGAGACTCCATTTCAAAAAAAAAAAAAAAAAAAAAAGTCATGGCCAAAACTGCAATTACTTTTGCACTCACCTAATAGTCTATATTTCTCAAGGCAGTGGTTTTATTTTCATCATTAAATCATACTTTAAAACTGCTCCATCCCTTTCATACACACACATAAAATAACAATAGCATCAAAAATTCCCAGGGGGAAGCATGAGACGCAGTGGGGGGAAGGTGGACCAGTATGGAGACTGCAAAAGAGAGAGGCTGTGGCCTCCTGGTCTCCAGGTCTCATCCCACCCAGTTTCTTGATCCATAACCTTGAATACTTAAAAACTCTGGATTCTCCTAAGAAAAACATAATAGACAGGAGCTAAAAGGACAACTGAATGTATACAAGAGATATAATAGAATCTTTTAACCGAGTAAGCTTGCTGTATCCTCAGACAAATGCCCTCTGAACTGAGGACTGGAAACAGGTAATCAGATCTTCCCCTGACTCTTATCCTCCATCCCCTCCATCAGGGCTTCTGGGAAGTCATGAAGATACAAGAATGGTCTAGATGGGGCTCACAACTTAATTATTTCAGAATAACCTGTGGTGCAGTGAAGCAGTATAGACAGGTCAAGGACCACCCCCTTCCCTCTTCTCTCCCACCCCCACCCCTGGACTTACCTCCTTAAAGGAGAACTGCTCTGTGAAGATCTCATAATGGCTGTAGGCCTGGACCCCAGCCCCAAGGATGCACAGCACTTCACTGCTGGGAGGTTTCAGAAACTATATGAGAGAAATGAAGTGGCAAAGGTCAAGGGAGACCCTAGCAGACGGGTAAAAAACTAAGATGGTTTGAGTATCAGGTGACTTCTGCCCTCTCTTCTGCCTCCCTCAAGAGCTTGCAGGCAATCAAGAGAATTTCCTTTTGTGTCTAGTTTCCCCCGTATCAAGTGGGAAAAGAAGGAAGAAGGCTTCACTGAACAGCTAATGTATGCCAATGCTTTGCCCCCATGATCTCATTTAGTCTAGACATTGACCCTACGAGTTGGGGACTCCTACTATCTTCTTCTTACAGATGAAGAGACTGAGGTTGCCCTGGTAACAGAAAGGTGAACTTGCTCTGGGTCTTACAACTACTTTTTAAAATTATTTATTTATTTCTTTTTCTTTCTTTCTTTCTTTTCTTTTTTTTTGAGATGGAGTCTCGCTCTGTCGCCTAGGCTGGAGTGCAGTGGCACGATCTTGGCTCATTGCAACCTCTGCCTCCTGGGTTCCAGTGATTATCCTACCTCAGCCCCCCGTGGAGCTGGGATTATAGGTGTGCGCCACAACACCCAGCTAATTTTTGTATTTTCGATAGAGATGGGGTTTCACCATGTTGGCCAGGCTGGTCTCAAACTCCTGACCTCAGGTGATCTGTGCACCTCGGCCTCCCAAAGTACTGGGATTACAGACGTGAGCCACCGCACCTAGCCAGGTCTTACAACTATTGAAGGGCACAGTGTGGCTCTAAAGTCACGTCTTCCATACTCCAAAGCCCATGTCCTTTCTTCATATCTCAGGTACATGCTCAGCCATACCCACTTCTCAGAGCTCTGAGCTGCTTCTAAGAGCTGCCTGGATTCTGTGAGCCCTTCCTTCCCAGGGTTCTAGCTATATTCACTGGGCCAACTCTGTTGATCTTTTCACTGCCTCTGTCTTCCTCTAAAGACGAATGTAGAATTAGCATTTGTGGCATCTCCTGAGGGTGTCTGTGTTTGAGAGCAGGATTCTGTGATCAACTCACGTCCAGTGCCACCTCTCCAATGAAGCCTTTCTGACCTCCTTGATAGAATGCACCAGGCCATAGCACTTATTTGTTTGTAGATTTTCTTCTACAGGTCTTTAAGCCCCATGAGGACAGAGGTAGTCTTATTTGCACAGAACTGGTACATACCTACTATGACCTACAAGAGGTAGCACTGGGCTTCTCAACCTCGGTACTACTAACATTTGGGCTGGACAATTCTTTATTGGGGAGGGGCACCAACCTGTGTATTATAGGATGTGCAACAGTATCTCTGGTTTCTATCCATTAGATGTTAGTAGCATTTTCCACCCCTTCAAGTTGTGGGAACTAAAAACGTCTGCACACTCCTAAATGTCTCTGGAGCAGGTGGCAAACTCATGCTCAGTGGAGAACCACTGGCATAGAGGAAAGACATCACTTGGCCCTCGACACCATATGTATTAAATAAAACCCTCTTCTGCCTTTTCTCTATTCCATTTAGTAAACTTTGAGTTCCCTGTGGTCTGTTCTTTTATAAAATGCTACTCACTGGAATTTTGGAGTATAATATTTAAAAAGTGAAAAGTCTTCTTAACTACTAATTACTAGCAAAACAGCATCTCTGAAATATTAGGAATTAATTTTATCTCCTGCAGCTACCGAAGGAGAGATACCATTCTGTGCCATAAAATATAGTTTAACGTCTCTGATTTGAAAAGGTTTCAAAATGATAATATCCACAAGACTAGAAATCTTATGTTGCTGTCTGATAAGGATAATTAGATTTTTTTCCTTAATTGTTACCATTTTCTTCTGTTCTCAGTTAATATGAATCTATTCTTGAAAGTACAGGTGAGCTTCAGAAATTGTTACAGTATCCCATAAAAATAACCTTCAACTTCCTAAACTAAATGTGTAATTCTAATTGGTTGTCTTACTTGATAATTTGTTGCCCTGGTAATAGTGTGATAATTGATATTTTTAAAATTTTTTTTTTTTTCCGAGACAGTCTCGCTTTGTCGCCCAGGCTGGAATGCAGCGGTGTGATCTCAGCTCACTGCAACCTCTGCTTCCTGGGTTCAAGCGATTCTCATGCCTCAGCCTCCCGAGTAGCTGGGATTACAGGTATGTGCCACCATACTTGGCTAATTTTTTTTTTTTTTTTTGGTAAAGATGGGGTTTCGCCATGTTGGCCAGGCTGGTCTCGAACTCCTGACCTCAAGTGATCCACCTGCCTCGGCCTCCAAAAGTGCTGGGATTACAGGTGTAAGCCACTGCACCCAGCCGATTTTTAATCATATGTTTATAAGATTTATTAAACAGCATTAGTGGCACTTCAATCTTTTCTCCTAAGCATGCAGGTTATTAAGTACACGTATATGAATCTGCTGGGTTTCTCATTTAAAGAGTCTGAAAGTCTGTTTCATTTGCATTTGCCAAGGCCTTGCATGGTCTGGCCCTCCTATCTCTAAAGCTGTCTCTCATACCACCATGCCATGTTCCCCTGCACTTCCTGTCTTCCAGCCATACTGGCTTCCTTGCAGCTTCCCAAGCTCATGTACTTCCTTCAACCACAGGGCCTTTGCATGAATTAATTCCTTGCCATACGATGCTAGGCTGCTTTGTCCCCTCTCCCCCTCACAAGTAACTGATTATCCTTCAATCTCAGCTCAAATATCCCCTACAGAGACACAGCCACAGGCTAGATCAAGACATACTGCTTTACACTCTTACAGCACTTGTCAGCGTTGTAGTTTCATATTTATTGGTGTGAATTTTTTTTTTTTTTTTGGAGACTGAGTCTCACTCGTTGTCCAGGCTGGAGTGCAGTGGTGTGATCTTGGCTCACTGTAACCTCCGCCTCCAGGATTCAAGCAATTCCCTTGCCTCAGCCTCCCAAGTAGCTGGGATTACAGGCACCTGCCACCATGCCCAGCTAATTTTTTTTTTTTTTTTTTTTTTTTTTTTTTTAGTACAGATGGGGTTTTTCCATGTTGGTCAGGCTGGTCTTGAACTCCTGACCTCAGGTAATCTGCCTGCCTCAGCCTCCCAAAGTGCTGGGATTGCAGGCGTGAGCCACTGCGCCCAGCCTATTGATGTGATCTTTGGACTATATCTTGCCTCCCCCACTGGACCCTGTACTACATGAGGGCAAGTACTGTATCTGGTTTTGCTTACCCCATGCTGAGCGCAGAACCTTGCATTTGGTGGACACTCAAATATTTGTTGAATAAATGTATGTTAGTGCTAAACCCTAATATATACTATCACCTTGAGAAAACATATCAGAGGCTTCAATGAAGCTTATGTGAGACCCAAGCACAAAAAATGTATTATGTTCATCAGACCCTAGAGCTCCGTATACTTATTCTCCCCAACAAGAGCCCTAAATAGAAGAGAAATGATGGACAAGAAAATATTCTACTCTCAAGGCAACAAGTAAAATAGACCCTTTGTTCCTTATTGAAACAGTTCATCTGAGCCCCTGGAAATAAAGCTGTGAAGTTTCAGCCTAAACTTTGAAGTGTCTAAACTTTGAAGTGTCAACCCAAGGCTTCTTGATTCTTCTGGGAGCACAGATTTTTATTAATGCAACAAAGCAGTGTTATTGCAGGCTGGGTCTACAAAAGTGTGGTTTCCAGACCTGGTTGATCCTCACTCTGTGATTTTGATTCAGTAGGCATGGGAATTTGAGTTTTTAAAAACTTCCCTAGCTAATGCTGCTGCATAGCTTGCTTCTGTTGGAAACTTCTTATCTGGGACAAGACCATGTGGCCTCAAAAGGACCCGCAGGAACCTGGTTGTATGACTTCAGGAAACCCAAGTTTCTATTCTTTTATGCGTAAAATGAGGCCATTAATACTTTCTCTGCCTTCCTCACAGAAACTCGTAGTCCAGACAAGGGGCTGGAAATGAGTTTGAAAAAGACTAAAGCTCTTTGCAAATGACAGTAATACAAGATTCATTCTGTTCCCAAATTACCAGCAAACATAGCAAGGAGTCCTTGATTACTTCAGTTGAGTCAGGTCTGGATATAACTAAAAACCAGTTCATTGAGGTGGGTGCTGTTGGTCTACTCCCTTCGCATACAATTACCAGATTAATCCTCCCATTCTTCCCTCCCCAGCAGGTATCTAGAAAACCTCGACATGCAACCTGAACACCTGGTCTTTGCTGCTGCAACTTTCCCTGGGTTACCACGTTTCCTTTATAATAACTTAGGAAAACCAGTGTCCCAAGACCTTGTACTTCCACATTTAATGTGAAAGACTCCAGACTCCAATCGTTCCCACAGACACCCTGTTTCCTAAGCCTCATCCTCTTAACTCTAACTTTTAAAAATGCTGTTTTTCTTATAGGATGCCTTGACATTGCTTGGGAACATCATCACCCCCATTGCTTACTGTTCCCTCTGCCTGGAGTGCCCCTCCGTGTTTTTGCATGGTTCGCTAACTCACTGCTTTCAGCTTTGACTCAAATGTCACCTTCTCAGGGAGGCCTTTCTTGGATAATGTAAAATGTGACAGCTTCTCCAATACTCTCACTTCTGCTTTATCTTCACCTAACATGTTATGTGGCTTTTTGGATTATTGTTGGTTTTATTTTTTAGCAAATTCTAAGCACGCTATTAATCATTTATTAATATGTACTAATTATTTAATTACATATTATTTATTACTATTTAACACATTATTAAACTCAACAGATGTTTTTGTTTGTTTTGTTTTGTTTCCTTTTTGTTTTGTTTTTTAAGACACTCACTCTTTTGCCCAGGCTAGAGTGCAGTGGCTCGATCTGGGCTCATTGCAACCTCTGCCTCCTGAGTTCAAACGTTTCTCCTGCCTCACTCTCCCGGGTAGCTGAGATTATAGGCGCCCACCACCACGACCAGCTAATTTTTGTGTTTTTACAAGAGACGAGGTTTCACCATGTTGACCAGGCTGGTCTCCAACTCCTGAGCTCAAGTGATACGCCTGCCTCAGCCTCCCAAAATGTTGGGATTACAGGCGTGAGCCACTGTACCCAGCCTGTGTTTTCCTTTTTATTGGTATTGTCTACCTCCCCTGTGTGTGCCCCTCTGTTTTTCTCACTGCCATTTCCCTAACATTTAGAACAGTGCCTGACACATGATAGAAGCCCAGTCAATACTTGTCGAATGAATACAGGGATCTGGCTTGGATATGTTCAGTTCACTCAGCCTCTTGTGTAGTACTAGCTTTGGTCTATGGGACAATTATACTGTCTTACCAGGGGCAATGTGGTACAGGGACAAGAAGCCAGTCCTGGAAGCCAGAGAGGTCAAGTATTAAATTCTTACTCTAGCACTTATTAGCTGTGTGATCCTGGGCAATTCACAGAAGCTCTCTGAGCCATATTCCTTGACCTGGAAGGTGGAGAGAATTTCTCATTTCGATTCTTCAAGACTGATGGGAAGATTGAGAATTATGCACATAAGGTACTTGAAATCTGGTCATGCACACTAATTGGTAGCTAATAATTTCGTGAATTACTGATATATCTGACATCTGGAGTTCCAGCTATGTCCAACAGGAAACCAAAATAAGTTCCCCACTTCTCCTTTAGTCTCTCAAGATTGAGACACCAGACCCCACTTGACAGCTCACCTTAATGGTACAGCCAGCCATTCATCTTACCTTGGTGGCAATGGCAGAAACTGCAGCTGTTCTCTTTGCAGTTATGACATTTCCATCCATGACCTTGGAGGAAAAGAGAGACAGTGAGCAAGGGGAACCCCTGTCCACTGCATAAATTAGAAGAAACAGTTCTAAAATATTAGCTTAGGAAGTTTTATAGCATCCTACAAACAGCATGGGTTTGGCGTCAGACCTGGATCCGATTCCTCCACTTACGAGATATGCAACTTTGAACAAACACTTTAATCTTTAAGCACTGGTTTCCTCACCTGTAAAAAAGATAATGCCAGCCATTCAGAGGGTTATTGTGAGGATTAAATGCACTGGCATATCTGGAAACATCTAGCACATGGTGAGCCCTCAAGAACTGCCCATTTTCTTTTCTTGCCCTAGGATTCTCAAAACACCAAATTAAGAAGGAACTAGAGAGAGAAGGTTGCCAATTGACATCTGGACAACGGCCATGAAACTCTTAGTGGCTCTCCGTTCCTGCTGCACATGTGGAAAGCTTCGTGAAGATGCTCAGATACCACCCTTAGATTAACCCAGTCTGTATCTCTTCCAGGAGTGAGACCCAGACAGCCCAGGTGATTCCGATACACAGCGAAGGTTGAAAATTATGCCTCGCTAGTAAAAACCATCCTCTGCACTCCTCTCCCTGTTATTCATCTCAGCTGATCATCAAAAAATAGGCATCATCAACCTCATTTTACAGATGAGGAAGTGAATCACGAAGTCACTGAGCAGATTCAGCTGTCATCTAGTTTCAAAGCCTTGGGTTCTACCCCCCTAGGGAACCGCTGTTGGCAGGTAGTATGAATGCCATCTCGGTTGGATGAGTGTAAGTTGGGGAAAGCTAGATATTCTCAAAGGAGTGTTAAACGGCCAGATTATTTGGCGATCCAGAAATTCAGGGGAAAAGGAGGGACATTGTAAGACCCAGCTTGGAGCGCACAGACCTTAAGAGTTAACTGTCACACCTGGGAGTGATTCTTGAGTCTTTCACTAACCAGATGTGTGACCTCAAGCAAAGTGACTCTACTAACCTGAGCCTCAAGGACCTCAACAGAAATTGGGGGGAAGGGGAGTTAATAAAAACACCCATAGAGGAATTTTGCAGAATTGAATGTGATCAGCGTCTCCTTCTTGGCACATAAGTGCCCAATATGTAGCAGTTAAAATGGCGGTGGTCTTAGAAGAGTCTGGACCTATGGACCGTGGACTTAGACTGAGCAGCTCTGAAGTCCAACCATGCTAATTGTTGGTTACATAAACCTCGGTAAGTTGAACATAGTTGCTCTGACTCGGTTTCCTCATCTATAAAGTGGGAGTAATCATATTACCCATATCATAGAATAGTTTTAAGTATTAAGAGGATTAATAAATGTGAAATGTTTAGAAAAGTGCCTGATGCATTATAAAAAGTACTCCATAAACACAAGCTACTGCTACCTTTTGAAACTATGATTAGATATTAAAACAGGTCACACCGTATACCCCTCTGAAGACTCCCAGGGATTATAGAACACCCCTTCTTTTCCATGTCGACAAGGATTCAGTAAGTAAGTCTTCCCTTGGCTAATGGGTTCATTCAAGCTGCGTATTTGGGGCAACTGAGTATAGGACAAGGACATATGCAAGAATGACAACAAGATTATTATTTCCACACTGTCACATGCTTGAGGCAGCAGTGGGCGCTGGTGCCGTGTTATGCATCCTCAGGCAGTCCTAGAAATAGATACATGGACACAGATAACCTTCACTGTTGCTGGTATCCAGTCACTTGCAGAGGGGCACGCGTAGTCACAATCAAGACTCCCCCTGCTGCGGAGAACTTACTTTTGAGCTTCAATCTGGGCCCAGGGGCCCCATTCCACCCCGGGACAGGAAGTTGCTCACCGCCAGCAGGGTGCCATTGCTGGGCTCAAAGAGTAGCACAGTAGCCTGGTGGGAAGGGACGACCGAGGTGATGCCGCGGTCCTCGTAGAAGGTGACCAACTTGGTGGTCAGTGCATCCTCTGCAGCACTGTAGGCGGGCATGACCCCCAGGTAGCTACAAGGAGAGAGGGAGCAGCTTCAGCCCCTTCCCATCAATGCTGGGGTCTCTTAGAAAGTATCCATATACTTTCCTTTTTCTTTCCTTCCTCACCACCCCACTGGCCCTCTTCCAGCCCCCGCATCCCTCTGCCCTTCCCTTAGACACTATGCACAGTATGTTCAGAAGTCTGGCTCTGGATCAGAAAACCTTTCCAGCTCTGCCACTTAGTAGCTGTGTAAGCTTAGGTAAGTCACTTAACCTCTCTGAGTCTCAGTTTTCCACCAATCAAATGGTGGTATCAATACCTCCCTAGGTGGAGAGTGTGCTGAAATAAACAAGGTAACACCTGTAAAACGCCCACTTAGCACACCGGGTAGCGCCTATTAAAAGTGGCAGCTGTTAGCAACGGTTAGGCAAGCCGTCTCTTCCCTTCTCCCACCCCTCCTCTTCCTGCTCCTCCTTTCCCCGCTTTCCAGTTTCTCCTGCCCCTGACCCCGACCCTCCTCACTCACCCCCTGTGCTTGGTCACCGGCACCACGGTGCGCACGGGCTGCATGACCCCTCCTTCGGGACCGCTGGAGAAGTTGGCCAGGGCCGTCTCTAGAGGCGGGATGAGGAGGCTGGAGCTGCGGAGGTGTTCCTCCACCTCGGCCGCGCTCAGGAACGCTGGTACCCGGCTCATCTCGCCACCTGTGCCTTCTAACCTCAGTCTCCGCACCGCGATCCACGTACCCTCGGCTGTGCCCTTTATGAGCGCGCCCGCTGCTCTGTGGAGCCGCCTGCTGGTCACAGCCCAGCCTCCGGGGGCGGAGCAACCCCGCCCCGCCCCGCCAGCCCTCTCCTCCCCCTTCGCCCACCTCGACCCCTAAGGGTGGGCGAGATGGGTCCCTTCCAGCAACGGATTCCCCAAGATGGACATCGCGGTGGCGTGCTGGGAGTCAATATTGTTTGGTCCACTTTCTCAGTTCCTGTAATCAGCTGTAGCCACATTCCTTGACTTTTGCTTCCTACATAACCCCTCCCTATTAACTCGCTTTTTGCTGCTGTCTAGGTCACCGTGCCTGGGAAAGAATGGACAGGGAAAACGCTAACGGGGCTCCTTTATTTATTAAATTACTGCCTACTGCTAGGAGATAAAAGGAGACGGAGGCTTATTTAATTTTTTTTTCCTTTTAATTCTGTCCCCGTCTAGAGTCTCTTATCCTAGTCTTCCTCCCCCCTGTACCCCCAGATGTCTGGCCTTTGATTGCTAAGAACGCACAGTTTTCTCACAGGCTAACTAACCTAACAAACCTTCGCCTTTAAAGGGGGGAAGTTTGCAGGGCAAGGTGTAATCTTTTCCATCTCACAAAAAGCCAAATTGCAGGATCTTTTCTTCCAGGAGTTTTTACCTGAGATGGGGAAATAAAATCGGAAAGGAATGATGTAAAGCTTAAGGCAATAAATCCTAGTCATCAAATCAGTGATAGGAAAAGTAAGTTAATTCAAAGAAAAGAGAGATGATTTTGACCTGGAGTGGTTAGATAAGGGCTTCATGAAAGAGTGGGGAGAAACCAAGGTCTGAAATAATAATAGTGACGACAACAATGATAACATCAGGTTATTGATCTTTACTATGTACCAGATACTGCACCATGCACTTTATGTATATTATCTCATTTAATTATACAACAACCTCTAAGGTAGGGAGGTGTTGTTATTAGTTTTACTGTCCATTGGAGGCTCTGAGAAGGGAAGAAATTTAGTTCAAGGTCATCCACCAAGTCAGCAGAGGAGCTGGCTTTGCCCATGGTTGGACTTCAGAATTATATTCCTAATCATTAAGCTACTTTGGCAGAAAGAGAGGAAGAGGGCATTACAGGCCAAGTAAAGCCCTGAGGTGGAAGGCATGTTGAATAGCTCTGGGAACAGTGAGTTGCCAGATGTGTTAGGCTGGAATAAGGTGCTGAGGTCTAGGAGCATCAGAAGATAAAACTGAGAACGATTCTTGGAGTCAGGCAGCTGAGAATGGTGATTCCTAGGAAAGAAATTACATGCTCCAAGAGAGTAAGCATTTAGAAAGATGGGTCTTCTGCCAATGCAAAGGATGGAACAGATGAGCGAGAGCAGAGCCTGGGAGAAGGTCAAGAGGCAGGACTGCTGAAGTTGTGCTTTGTGGTATTTTGGTTGGAAGCTACATAGGGCATTTTGTAGGAAATGGTCACATCATGATAAAAGACAGTGGATGAGTAAGTGTCAAAATCAGTACCAATGAAATGAGAAATTGTACATAATGTGTTTAGCAACAGTGCTTGGCACAGAGTAGCCATGTAATAAGTGAACACTGAGAGAGAAAGAGAGAGAGAGAGAAGACACTGGTGGTTGGGAAAAGCTGATTTCAATGACACAATTTTGTTTCTTCGGTTCACCATCCCTAGAAATTTATGCCCAGAGCCGCTGGGCTTATAGAAATGTTTCTGGCCCATCACGTGTGCTGTTAGCATTAATATTACATCACATTTATTGGGTTTAGAAAGCACAGACATATAGCCCTGGCATGATAGTTCACGCCTGTAATCCTAGCACTTTGGGAGGCCCAAGTGGGTGGATTACCTGAGGTGAGGAGTTCGAGACCAGCCTGGCCAACATGGTAAAATCTTCTCTCTACTAAAAATACAAAAATTAGCTGGGTGTGGTGGCGGGTGCCTGTAATCCCAGCTACCCAGGAGGCTGAGGCAGGAGAATTGCTGGAACCCGGGAGATGGAGGCTGCAATGAGCCAAGATTGCACCACTGCACTCCAGCCTGTGTGACACAGTAAGACTTTTTTGGCCCTTTGTTTTTGTGAATGTGAACTAAAAATAAAATCCTATGCCCCCCACCTACTGAATGAACCCCCTCTGGGCCAAGCAGACCCCAGAAAAACCTTAAAGACTTAGTTTCCAGCCATGATGGGATGGCAAATCAGATATGCCTCATTACATCCTCTCCCTTTTAGAGTTTAGACACAACTGAGCAGCCTTAATGTTAATACAGAGATCACAAGACTGACAGAACAGACTCTTTGTGGCAATACGATAACAAATTATAAACAGGATCTAAGGCCATGCCAGGAAGGGTTAAGTCACGCACCCTTACACTTAAAGAAAAAAGCTATGTTCTAACTGCCACAGAGTTTTTGTTTTCTCCAGCAGCTAAACAAGCACTGGCTTGAAGATAAGCAATATTTTTGTTTTTGTTTTCCCCAGCCCTGCTCAGAGAAGATAGGGAACATGGCTTGGGCACAGTGGCTCACACCTGTAATCCCAGCACTTTGGGAGGCCAAGGCGGGCGGATCATGTGAGGTCAGGAGTTTGAGACCAGCCTGGCCAACGTGATGAAACCCCATCTCTACAAAAAGTACAAAAATTAGCCAGGTGTGGTAGCATGTGCCTGTAATCCCAGCTACTCAGGAGGCTGAGGCAGGAGAATTGCTTGAACCAGGGAGGTGGAGGTTGCAGTGAGCCGAGATCGTGCCACTGCACTCCAGCCTGGACAACAGAGTGATTCTCTCTCTCTCTCACTCTCTCTCTCTCTCTCTCTCTCTCTGTATATATATATATACACAAACATATATGTATATACATATATACGTATCTATGTATCTATATAGATATGTATATGTATCTATGTATCTATATAGATATGTATATATGTGCATATATATATATATAAATTTTTTTTTTGAAACAAAGTCCCTCTCTGTCACCCAGACTGGAGTGCAGTGGCATGATCTCAAGTGATTCTCCTGCCTCAGCCTCTCAGGTAGCTGGGATTACAGGTGCATGCCACCACCCCCGGCTAATTTTTGTACTTTCAGTAGAGATGGGGTTTTGTCATGTTGGCCAGGCTGGTCTCGGTCTCGAACTCCTGACCTGAGATGATCCACCCGCCTTGGCCTCCCAAAGTGCTGGGATTACAGGCATGAGCCACCGTGCCCGGCTGAAGATATGCAATATTAAAACAATTACAACTCATCCAAATCACAGATATTGACTAACCGACCCCTTGTTCCACCAGCCATAACTACAGCTTGATTGGACAAGAGACTGATTTCAGTAACTTTCTCCTGATAAGACTACCGACTATAGGATGGTTCTGGCTGACTTACAGAGGTTGCACACTTGCATGCCTTCATGTCCTGAAAAGACCTTTTGACGTATCAGGCTGAATTGTAATACATTTAAATGCTGCAACCACCCCAAAATGAACATGAGTTGTATGTAACATGCATGTTTGTTAAATACACATGCATCAGGACCACTTTCATGAATATTCATAGCTTCTTCTCTCACCTGTTGAATATGTATATTTAGCCAACCTGTTGAGCATAAAGCTCCTACCCCAACCCTCCTCCTTCAAAGTGCCTGTCTCTGATCTTGGCCAAGGCATGTGATATGGTTTGGCTCCATGTCCACACCCAAATCTCTTCTTATAGCTCCCATAATTCCCACATCTTGTGGGAGGGACCCAGTGGGAGATGACTGAATCATGGAGGCGGGTCTTTCCCCTGCGGTTCTGATGATAGTGAATGAGTCTCACGAGATCTGATGGTTTTAAAAATGGGAGTTGCCCTGCACAAGCTCTCTCTTTGCTATTGCCCTCCATGTAAGATGTGACTTGTTCCTCCTTGCCTTCCACTATGATTGTGAGGCCTCCCCAGCCATGTGGAACTGTAAATCCAATAAGCCTCTTTCTTCTGTAAATTGCCCAGTCTCAGGCATGTGTTTATAGACAGCATGAAAACGGAATAATACAGCGTGCTTCCCAGCATAGGATCCCACCTTGCAGGCTGTAACCTCGTATAAGAAAGTCTCTTCTTGTCTAAATTTATAAATTGTGTGGTTTTTTTTTTAAAGTTAACAAGGAGAAAAAAAGCAAAACCAAATACTCATCAACTAAAAGAGATATGAAATAAGAAAGCCAGATATTTATTTGCTTCCATAGTAAATTCAGGAATTTAGCCCCGATTAAATAGAAATCTTATTTCTGACTCCCACATTACTAGAAAGTTTATTAATCTTCTTTAAGTCATGATTATAATAGTAATTTCATTATTTTAACAATGACAAAATAAGAAACCTCAATAATAGGAATTCACTCCAGTGAATCCTGTAGAAACAGGACAACTCTGCAAATCATCTCAAATCATCTTCCTGATAAAGCTTTGGTTCACATCACCCAGGTCCTCAGTAAAGTAGCACTGAGAAAACTAGTCTTGGTTGCATCACTTCTTTTGAGACCAGAGGCACAGAGAACTAATTGTCCCAAGCCTCCAATAATAAGTATTATTAATAAGTAGCATATTAAATATTAGGTGTTATTGAGGTTTATTTTATTATTATTAAAATAATGAAATTATTATTATAATTATGACTTAACAGAAAGAAGATTAATAAACTTTTTAGTAATGCAGGGGTCAGTATTGAGAAAGCTGGTGTAAATCTCTTTTCCCCGCCCTTCCCTGAGACCTTGTCCTGGGACAAGCCTGGGGGCCATGTAAGCTCCTGTGCCTGAGCCTCTGGAAGTTCCCTGCTAACCCCTAACAGACCCTGCGGAGGAGGTGGTTACTTACATCCCCCTAGACTTCTGCCACTACCACAGTGAAGATGGCAGCAGGGTAGAGCTGTACCATAGTGAGGTACTCACCTATGGCACAAAATGTACGGGATTCACTCAGTAGTCATGATAAATATTAAACTAAAACATCTAAATGCAATATTTAAAATAAAAATCAATGCCAAAAAATCCACAGTGAACAGAGTACAAAAATTTTCAACAAAGACGGCTCAGGATTACTGACTTTTCCTTTTGCTGTAGATGCCAATACAGCTCCTCACGAAATTTTATCTTTACATTTTATTTTAAAATGTAAAAATATTGTATAAAAGTCTTTATTTTGACTATTGAGTTGGCTTCACCTTGAATGCTGCAGCCAAGGCGCGTGTCTCATTCCCCTTATCCCTAACCTCTGTCGTCCTAGAGTTGGGGGACTGAGCGGTGGGCCAGGACAAGCAACGGATGAAGTATCTCGGAAGCCGGAGAAGGGTGGTCTGGGGCTCTTGGGAGCATGCGCGGGGTGGGGCGGTGGGGGGACTGAGGTGGCGCTCCCGGCTCCTCCGCGCGCCCCCGGCACCTTCCGCGCGTCCCCGGCTCCCCACACTCCGTCCCCGGCTCCCCACACTCCCACCCCGGTCTGCCCCGGGCGCCCCCGGTTCCCCACCTCCTGGTGTGCCTCTGGCGGGTCCGCGCAGGATCAGGCTACAGACTCGCCCGCGGGCGGCTGCGCGGCGGGCCGTTGGGGAGGGTGTTGGGATGAGGAGCCCCAACCAGATGGACGCGCACCCCGCAGCGGCGGAGGCGGCGGCGAGGCTTGAGCAGTGAGTGCTCGGGAGCCCCGGCCAGCCCTTCCTCCTTCTGCCTGCGTCCTCTGCGCTGGCCGCTGCTCCAGACGCCAGGGGGCCCACCCGCTGCCCGTGGTCGGCGCGCGGAGCTCGAAAGCGCGCGCCTCTAACAAATGAAAACCCATAGGGACTTAGGGTTGAATTTTAACTTTTTTTTTTTTTTGGCTTATTGTTTAGTGCTAGATAGAAGGGTTTGAGCGGTGTAGTCAATTTTGGTGCTAGTCTGACTTGAGGCAACGTGACGTGACCTACGCGTCTCATCAGTAATGCAGAAATAACATTTTATCCACTTCATCGGGCTTTTCTTTTTCTTTTTCAGAAAATTGAGGTAAAATTCAAATAACATAAATTTCACCTTTTTTACCCTTCAAAGTGCACAGTTCCCTGACTTTTAGTATATTCACGATGTTGTGCGACCAACACTACCATCTAATCCCATTTTCATCACCCCCCAAATAAACCCTGTACTCATTCAGTTACATCCCATTCTCCTCTCCCCACTGCCTCTCCCAATTGCCAATCTACTTTTTTGTTTGTGGATTTGTAGGTTCTAGACATTTCTTTCTTTCTTTCTTTCTTTTTGTCTCCAGCTGCATCTACATTGCTGCAGAGGACATAATTCCATTCATTTTTATGGCTGTATAGTATTCCATAGTGTATATGTACCACGTTTTCTTTATCCAATCCACCATTGATAGGCACCTAGGTTGATTCTATGTCTTTGCTATTGTGAATGATGCTGCAATGAACATACAGACGCATGTATCTTTTAGTAGAATGATTTATTTTCCTTTGCGTATATACCTAGTAATGGGAATGCCGGGTCAAATGGTAGTTCTAAGTTATTTGAGAAATCCCCAAACTGCTTTCCACAGTTTCTGAACAAATTTACATTCCCACCAACAGTGTATAAGTGTTCTCTTTTCTCCACAGCCTCACCAGCATCTGTTTTTTGACTTTTTAATAATTGCCATTCTGACTGATGTGAGATGATATTCCATTGTGGTTTTTATTTGCATTTCCCTGATGACTGGTGATATTGAGCATTTTTTCATATATTTTTTGGTTACTCGTATGTCTTCTTTTGAGAAATGTTTGTTCCTTTTGCCCATGTTTTATTTGGGTTATTTGTTTTTGGCTTGTTGAATTGTTTCAGTTCCTTGTAGTTTTGTATATTAGACCCTTGTCAGATGCATAGTTGCAAAATAAACTTGGGGCTTATGATACTTCGCCTGATTATTTACATAAAACACAGTGGGCATAGTGAATGGCTTTTAAAAGTTGGCTTTGCTGGGACTTTTATACTAAATTTTGGATTAGACTTTTAAAAGTCTTGAGGCTAGGAAGCCAAACCAAGTATTTGCTTGGCTGTATCTGTAATACCTGTATGAATTGGGTTAATTTCTCTCTTCTTGAGTTCCCAAAATATACTGAGGCTCGTGGCCCTGCCAGAAAGTGACATTCTTTACTTAGTGCAAGCACAGAAACCATACAAGGGAACTGTGTAGACAAGGAACCATGCCAGACTTTCCAAAGGGCTTTTTATCAGCACTATAAAATTGTAAAGCTAATCTCAATTCCTCCAAGCAGTCTGGTCATCTCTGAAAATATGCCATTCCAGCCAAAGCCTTGATAAAATAGCCAGTGTATCTAATTATGTCCTGTTATAAAATAAAACAGATCCTTATTGAACTTATGCAAATAACTATTTTGCCATAAATTAAGAATACTCACAGTTTCCAAATTTGGGAGAAATCCAGTAGTGAGAAAGGCAAATGCTTCAAATTTGCCCACAAAGGTATATTTACCCAATTTTTGTAAGCTATGAATAGCTCAAAAGAAAAAAGGTTTATTAACTCTGGAAGCAAAACATAAAAAGAATCAGCAATGTTTCAAGCAAAAAAGTTATTAAAAATCATCTTTGTCCTCTATCAGTTTAGTCCCATGTAGCTAATTATTATTCCACTTGATGTTGGGTTAGCAACCCTCATGAATGCATCAGGTTTTTTATTAGAGCTCTGGAAGTTTTTGCCCACTCCAATGGTGTGATCTCCAAAGTTATCAGAAACCTGGATTCAAGAGTACTTGTCATAGTTCTTTCCATGAAGTTCCTTAAGAAGAAGCCAATTTTGGACTGTAGCTGATTATAAACCACTTTTTGAGAAGAATCAAAATAAAACAATAATTGAGAATGACAAATCTCTTAGAATAGACATAGTTAAAGACAGAATTTTTTTTTTTTTTTGAGACAGAGTCTCACTCTATCGCCCAGGCTGGAATGCAATGGCGTGATCTCAGCTCACTGGAACCTCCACCTCCTGGGTTCAAGCAATTCTCTTGCCTCAGCCTCCCAAGTAGCTGGGATTACAGGCGCCGGCCACCACGCCCAGCTAATTTTTTTTTTTTTTTTTTGTATTTTTAGTAGAGGATTTTGCCATGTTGGCCAGCCTGGTCTTGAACTCCTGACCTCAGGTGACCCACCCGCCTCGGCCTCCCAAATTGCTGGAATTACAGGCATGAGCCACCGCACCCAGCCTAAAGACATAATTGACAAGGATATTTGATTATTTCTGTGGCATACAATTTAACATCATTGTAATGATTACCGATAACATATACCAAGACATATCAGAATTGTAGGAATTTCTTACAATTTTGGAACATACTTTAATAACACTTTTATGTAAATATGACTCAAAGAAAGTCAAGCACCATTTCTTATTTGCCAGTGTTTCCTATATAATTTTAACATATTAAATAAGCCTACTATGTCTCTCTTGGACATCTAGGAGTTCCTTTTGGAAGATACTTAATTTTAGGCCGGGCGCAGTGGCTCACTCCTGTAATCCCAGCACTTTGGGAGGCCAAGGCGGGTGGATCATGAGGTCAGGAGATGGAGACCATCCTGGCTAACACGGTGAAACCCCATCTCTACTAAAAATACAAAAAATTAGCTGGGCGTGGTGGTGGGCGCCTGTAGTCCCAGCTACTAGGGAGGCTGAGGCAGGAGAATGGCGTGAACCCAGGAGGCGGAGTTTGCAGTGAGCCAAGATCACGCCACTGCACTCCAGCCTGGGCGACAGAGCGAGACTCCGTCTCAAAAAAAAAAAAAAGGAAAATACTTAATTTTAGAATTTGAAATTTGATTTTTGGAAGTATGTCAAATACTAAAGGCTTAAAACACTTCATCAAAATAGAATCACTGGTCACTGTAAAATAATAGTCATTCATTTACTCAAAGTGATAATTCAAAGATTTCAAATAGAAAAGCCTTTACTCTTTGTTAGAGAGGAAATTGTTTTCCAAACAACCATAAGACCTATTTTTTGGTAGAGTTTGAGAAGGTATGATATAACAGAAATATGTATTTGGTCTTCATCCCTTGTTCCTGGCACAGAGCTCCCACAGTCCTTGGAATTTCTGGAATGAATGGAATATCTTTTCTTATTCAAAACTTGACCATACGTGAGTTTATGCTAATAAAGTGACCCCAGGAAGGCCCTTAGATAGCTTGAGGATAGGTGCTGGTTGCCAGAGGAATCAACCATGTGATGAGGATTGAAACTTTCAGCCCACATCCTCACCCCTGATCTCCAGGAGGGAAGGAGACAGGAGATTGAGTTCAGTCACCAAAGGCCATTGCTTTAACCAATCATGATTACATAATGAAGTCTTGATACAAACTCTTGAACAATGAGATCTGGAGAGCTTCTGGGTTGGTGAACCCATCGGTGTGCTGGGAGGGTGGCACACTGGAGAGGGCACAGAAGCTCTGTGTCCCATGCCCCTTGCCCTGTGCACTTCTTCATTTGCCTGTTCTTTTGTAATAAACTGTAATTGTAAATGTAGCACTTTCCTTAGTTCTGTGAGTTGTTTTTAGCACATTATCAAACCAGAGGAACAATTGTGGGAGTCCTAACATTTGTAGTTATCCAGGCAGAAGTGCAGGTACCCTGTATTCCCTATTTGTGGCTGTGTCTAAAGCGGGTGCAATCTTGTGGGATTGGTTCTTTAACCCATGGAGTCTGTGCTAACTTATAAGCTTAAGCAACAAATGAGTCAAATAAAAAATCACAAGGGAAATTCGAAAATACTTTGTAGTGCTAGAATTGAATTCAATTGTAGGACACCCAGTTGGGGTGTCAGAGAATAGGACAATTGGTTGTTTATTTAAAAACCAAACAGGAGGACCAATGTAAATTATTCTTTAGATGTTTGGTGGAATTCACCATTGAAGCCATCTTATCCCAACCTTTTCTTTGCTGAGAGGTTTTTAGTTACTAATTAAATATCTTATTATAGGTCTATTCAGATATTTTACTTGTTCTTGAGTTAGTTTTGTAGTTTGTGTGTTTCTAGAAATGTGTCCTTTTCATCTAGGTTATGAATTGTGTCCTTTTCATCTAGGTTATCAATTGCCCTACATTTGTTCATAGTATTCTCTTGTAATGTTTTTTAATTTTTGTAAGATTGGTAGTAATGTCTTCTCTTAGTTTCCTGATTTTAATAATTTGAGGCTTCTTTCTTATTTTGGTCAGTCAATATAAAGGTCTTTGATTTGTGTTGATTCTTTAAAGGGATTGTATATTTTCCCTGGCCTGTTGTTTTTACATTCTCTATTTATCTCTGTTTTAGTCTTTATTATTTCCTGCCTTCCACCGGCTTTGGGTTTGGTTTGCTCTTCTTTTTCCAGTTTTTAAGGTGGAAGACTAGATTATTTATTTGAAATAGTTTTAAATGTAAGAATAAATGTGAAAAAACTAAACTGCTTTTCTTATAAGTTTTGGTATACCATATTTTTGTTTTCATTCATGTCAAAGTATTTTCTAATTTCCCTTATGATTTTTTATCTGACTCATTTGTTGCTTAAGTTTGTATTGTCTAATTTACACATATTTGTGTATTTTCAGATTTCCTTCTGTTACTGATTTCTAATTTTGTTCCATTGCAGTCATAATAAGATGCTTCATATTATTTCAGTTTTTTATAATTTATTAAGACTTGTTTTGTGGCCTAATTAATGGTCTGTCCTGGATAATTTTTTTATGTACACTTGAGAAAAAAATGTGTATTTTGTTATTGTTGGGTAGAGTATTTTATATATACCTTTAGGTCAGGTGGTTTATTTTGTTGTTCATATCTTATATTTGTTTGATCAATGTAGTTGTTCTATAATTATTTAAAGTGGGGTATTGACATCTCCAACTACTATTGTTGAAAGCCCTTAAATCTGTCAGTTTTTGCTTCATATATTTTAGGGCTGTGTTGTTAGGACCATATATGTTTGTTACTGTTGTATCTTCTTCATGAATTAACCCATTTAATAGTATATAATGTCCTTCATCTCTTATAACCGTTTTTATCTTAAAGCCTATTTTGTCTGACATTAGTAGAATCATTCCAGCTCTCTTTTGGTTACCGTTTGCATTGAATATATTTTTCTGTCTTTTAAACTTTTATTTGTGCCTTTAAATTTAAATTGAATCTGTTGTAGGTAGCATATGGTTGGATCATGCTTGTTAAAATCCATTCTGCCAATCTCTATCCTTTAATTGGAGCAGTAATCTAT
Source organism: Homo sapiens (assembly GCF_000001405.40). NCBI lineage: Eukaryota > Metazoa > Chordata > Mammalia > Primates > Hominidae > Homo > Homo sapiens. The sequence continues at coordinate 21,289,560 of NC_000016.10, forward strand.
TTATATTTAATGTAATCACTGATAGGGAAAGACATACTTCTACCATTTTGTCATAAGAATGTCATAAGAATTTACATATTAGGTGCAAACTTACCCTCTACCTCCTCACTCAGGTGACACCCTCTCTTCTGTCAAAGTGAGAGTTGAAGCCAGCTGGGCTGCTGGCACAGGTGCCCGGCTTTTATTCCCTTATTTGGCCCTGCCCACATCCTGCTGATTGGCCCATTTTACAGAGCGCTGATTGGCCCATTTACAGAGTGCCGATTGGTCCATTTTACAGAGTACTGATTGCCAGCTGGGCTTCTGGGTGGAGTGGGGACTTGGAGAACTTTTGTGTCTAGCTAAAGGATTGTAAACACACCAATCAGCACTCTGTAAAATTGCACCAATCAGCACTCTGTGTCTAGCTAAAGGATTGTAAATGGACCAATCAGCACTCTGTAAAATGGACCAATCAGCACTCTGTAAAATGGACCAATCAGCACTCTGTAAAATGGACCAATCAGTGTTCTGTAAAATGGACCAATCAGCAGGATGTGGGTGGGGCCAAATAAGGGAATAAAAGCTGGCCACCAGAGCCAGCAGTGGCAATGTCGGATCCCCTTCCATGCTGTGGGAACTTTTTTCTTTTGCTGTTCACAATAAGTCTTGCTGCTGCTCACTGTTTGGGTCCACACTACCTTTGTGAACTGTAACACTAACCACGAAGGTTGTAGGCTTCATTCCTTAAGTCAGTGAGACCACGAACCCACCGGGAGGGACAAACAACCTGGATGTGCCACCTTTAAGAGCTGTAACACTCACTACAAAGGTCTGCAGCTTCTCTCCTGAGGTCAGCAAGACCACAAACCCACTGGAAGGAAGAAACTCGGGACACATCTGAACATCTGAAGGAACAACTCTGGACACACCATCTTTAAGAATTGTAACACTCACCGCAAGGGTCCGTGGCTTCTTTCTTGAAGTCAGCGAGACCAAGAACCCACGGGAGGGAACCAATTCTGGCCACAAAAGCATCTTACAAATATGCTTTTTGCTCAGACTTATAATTTCATCTTTTTTTCCAGTAATTTGAACTCAGTCTTGAAGTCTTACAGTGACAGTTCAGAGCCTTACCTCTTAAACATGTTTCTTATTTACTCATATATATTCATAAACTGTTATACATATTTAATTTAGTATTTAGAGGAATCTCAGCATCAAGTTTGTTTCTCTGAGGATGTATGTCCTTTCAACTGATGATATATTCCTTATCCTCTTTCCACTGTTGAGTCCTAGGCTACATTTCCTATCACATCTTTGCTTTTTCATTGGTTATATAAAATAAACGGTATGAGAAATAATCAGCATTGGTTTCTTGTTCGCATGAGATGACAGGAAGACAGATGATATGGACATCAGCTTTCCCAAAAGGATTTTCCAAAGCTGTAATTATCAACACAAACTATGTTTCAAGAAATCAGGGGTAGTATACTTTATGCTAAAAACGGAGGGTTTGTGAGAATAATGTTACAGCTTTTAATTTTCTCTGTTTAATTTTATCAACTTGGGAGACTTTTGTTATCCTGGGACAGTTCATTTCATATAAAGCATGCTAACATTATCTTTTTCATTGCAGATTGGAATAATACTTTTAAAAACTTTCTGCTTGATTCATTCCTGCTGGTACCCATTTATAACCTTGGGATGAGCATCAGCAAATACTATGATATCCAAGAGGTGAATATGTTGTGTTCCTGTTGAAAAGTATTCCTAACTCCATAAATTACAGTACAGAAAGTGAGTATCTGAGGCTCTACAAATCTCATCAGAGCTACTGGTAGTCAATTACTTATTACATGTGAATAATTCTACCTACATTACTGTGAATCTTGACAATAACTCAAGTTATATGTTATCCTCATTTTGAAAAAACTAAACCTTACACAATGTAAAAACTTGCTCAACACCACAAAATTTGTACAAGATAGCACTAAGATTCAAAGCTTATGTGCATAATGCATTTTCTCTGTGGGAAAGAATCTCTGTGATTAGTATCTATATTGTATTATACATTAATCTCAATAGAGGGGAAAGCACTTGAAAAAATTTAACACCCTTTTATGATGAAACTTCTCAACATCTTTGCATGTGCTTATTTGCCACATGTGTATCATCTTTGGTGAAGTGACCGGTGAACTTTTCTTTCATTTATTGTTGAATTGGTCTTTTTTCTTACTATTGGGTTTTGAGAATTCTTTGTACGTTCTGAATATCAGCCCTTTGTGTAGTAAGCCATTTGCAAATATTTTGTCCCAGACTATGGCCTTTTATTTTTTTCAAAGCATCTTTTAAGAACCAAACGTTTTTAATTGTGGTGAAGTTAAATTTATCATTTTTTAGTGAATTGTGCTTTTAGTGCTATATCTAAAAAACTTTGCCCAATACAGAGTCACAAAAGCTTGATTGGATGTCTTCTTCTAGAAGTTTTACTTAAGAGAAATGAAAGCATATGAACATAGAAACACTTGTATGCAAACATTCATAAATAGCTTTAATTATAAAGGCCAAAAATTGAAAATAACCCAATGTCCATCAACATGTGAATGGGTAATCAAACTGTGAATTATTCATACAATGGAATACCCTCAGCAATAAAAATGAATGATCTACCAAAAAAGAGACTTTTCAGCAAAGGAGGACTAGAATGAAACATCTTCACTTTGAGTAAGGAAATCTAGAAATATCTATTGCTAATATCATTTTCAAGGCAATACCATTGTGGTAGCATGAAATACATAAAACATTTAGGGAAAATTTTAAAAAAGATGTGCAGTACCTGTACACTGAAGACTGAAAACATTGCTGAGAAAAATTAAAGATGACTTGAGATAATGGAGAAATATACCTTATTCATGGATCAGAAGACTCAATATTTTTAAATTGTCAATTGTCCCCAAATTGATTTATACGCTCAAAACAATCTCAATCAACATCCTAGAGGCTTTTTATTTTTGGTAGAAATTTAGCTGATTCTAAAATTTATATGGAAATTCAAAAGAACTTCATTATCCAAAAATATATATTTTCTTAATTGCAAGATTTTGTGACAACTCATTTTAAAACTTATTATAAAACTACAGTAATTAAGACAATGTGGTATTAACATAAGTAGAGACATAGATGACAGATGGATGGATGGATAGATAGATAGATAGAATAAGATACAGAGTTCAAAAATAGATTCACACATGTATGGCCAATTGATTTTGGATTCAAAAGAACTTTATTATCCCAAACTATACTTTTTTAATTGCAAGACTTTGCACCAACTTATTTGAAACCTTATTATAAAACTACGATAATTAAGACAGTGTGGTATTAGCATGAGTAGAGACAGAGAAGATAAATGCATGGATGGATGGATGGATGGATTGATGGATGAACGGATGGATGGATGAATGAATAGATGGATAGGTAAGTAGATAGAAGATAGATAGATAGATAGATAGATAGATAGAATAAGATACAGAGTCCAAAAATAGATTCATACATGTATAGTCAGTTGATTTCAGATGAGGTGCCAAAGTAATTCAAATGAGAAAGGATAGTCATTTCAATTAGTGGTCATGGCCCTAACCTGTAAAAGCTTGTGATTATTTGATACCTAGCAAACAGACAAATAAAATCCCTATAACCTCTTAACTCTATCCCAGTAGGAAGAAGGTTGTGAAAACTGTGCATTCTAAAAGACAGCGTAGATTGAAACACCCACTTTGGATGCACCAAGGGAAAAGCAAATCTGAGTGCTACAGGAGACAGTGAACAAGGGAATCTCTCATAGAGAGCAGGTGAGGATTCTGCAGAAAAGAGAATACGGAACACAGTGGCAACAGCGGTAGATCCATCATGAGCTGGGAAATACTGAAAAAAATCTCTGAGAACTAGACCTAGTCAATCAAAATCCTGGTTATAGGGGGAAATAAATAAAGAGGCTTGAAAATGTGCAAAGCTATAAATGTTAATCTTGAGAGATATTAATTTGGAGGTTAGAGAGAAGCAACTTAGAAAATAGAAGTGCCCTTTAGAATTAGGGTAGCAAAGAGAAATAAGGACATGTCCAGCATAATTTAACTTCATACAGATATTAGCAAGAATCACAGAATTGAGTCGCTTCATTCCCTTAGAAAAAGTTCTATTTGTTAAAGAAACTGCACTTCACTGTATTAATAGAAGAAGATGAATATGTACTAAGAAGCTTACAAACTAATCAAAATATTACCATTCATCCATTAAATCACTTGTTATTGTTGGTTCAGATAATCAATTTAATATGCCATAAGAAGGAAACAGAAGAATATCAAAATACTTCAATTGATGAAAATTCCTGTCCCTCACCTGCCAAAGGAAACTAACCACAAAGCAGAGGGAAATAGTAACTAAGTATCAATATACGGGAAACTGGAGAACAATTTGTCAGCAAAAAGGTAGAATACGCATAACTTCTCATTACCATCTCACAAAAGCTTCAAAAATTAGCAGAAACTGTCTGAACCAATTTTGTCAGGACTATGGAAAACAATCAAAAGTTTATAGCAACCAAATGAATACTGAACCAATAAAAAAGTCACTTCAAAACAGTGGATAGTTTTGTGATGATTTTACACGCCCTTGCCCCTCTCCCTCCCTGGCACAGGAGTGGTCGTGGTCTTGAAGCAGGAGTAGTCTGCAGTCCCAGTTTTGGACCGTTTTCCCTGGCTCTGGAGGGTGCGGAGCAGAATTTATTCGCAAATTATTATTATTTTTTTAAATTTACTTTAAGTTCCGGGATACATGTGCAGAATGTGCAGGTTTATTACATAGGTATACATGTGCCATGGTGGTTTGCTGCACCTATCAACCTATCATCTAGGTTTTAAGCCCCATGTGCATTAGGTATTTGTCCTAATGCTCTCCCTCTCCTTCCCCGCCACCCCCTGACAGGTCTCAGTGTCTGATGTTCCCCTCCCTGTGCCCATGTGTTCTCACTGTTCAACTCCCACTTATGAGTGAGAACATGCAGTGTTCGGTTTTCTGTTCCTGTGTTAGTTTGCTGAGAATGTTGGTTTTCAGCTTCATCCATGTCCCTGCAAAGGACATGATCTCATTCCTTTTTTTTTTTTTTTCTTTTTTTTTTGAGACAGTCTTGCTCTGTTGCCCATGCTGGAGTACAGTGGCGCGATCTCGACTCACTGCAACCTCCACCTCCTGGGTTCACACCATTCTTCTGCCTCAGCCTCCCAAGTAGCTGGGACTACAGGCACACACCACCACGCCCAGCTAATTTTTTTGTATTTTTAGTAGAGACAGGGTTTCACCATGTTGGCCAGGATGGTCTCGATCTCCTGACCTCGCAATCCACCCACCTCAGCCTCCCAAAGTGCTGAGATTATAGGCGTGAACCACCACACCGTGCTGATTTCATTCTTTTTATGGCTGCATAGTATTCCATGGTATATATGCACCACATTTTCTTTATCCAGTCTATCACTGATGGACATTTGGGTTGGTTCCACGTCTTTGCTATTGCAAATAGTGCTGCGATAAACATACATGTGCATGTGTCTTTACAGTAGAATGATGTGTATTCCTTTGGGTGTATGCCCAGTAATGAGATAGCAGGGTCAAATGGCATTTCTGGTTCTAGATCCTTGAGGAATCACCACACTGTCTTCCACAGTGGTTGAACGAATTTAAATTCTCACCAACAGCGTAAAAGTGTTTTTTCCTATTTCTCCACAGCCTTGCCAGCATCTGTGGTTTCTTGACTTTTTAATAATCTCCATTCTGACTGGCATGAAATGGTATCTCATTATGGTTTTGATTTGCATTTCTCTAATGATCAGTGATGTTGAGCTTTTTTTTATGTGTTTGTTGGCTTCATAAATGTCTTCTTTTTAGAAGTGTCTGTCATATCCCTTGCTCACTTTTTGATGGGGTTTTGGAATAGGTAGTTCTTTTTATGTCAGTTTTGTATGTTGTGCTTTTCAAGGAATTCGTCCATTTCACTTAAATTGTTAACTATAGTAATACAATGGTATAAAGTTATTTGTAATATCAAAAAAGAAAATTAGGCCAGATGTGGTGGTTCACGTCTATAATCTCAGCACTTTGGGAGGCCGAGGTGGGCAGATCACCTGAGGTCAGGAGTTTGAGACCAGCCTGGCCAACATGGTGAAACTCTGTCTTTACTAAAAATACAAAATTAGCTGGGTGTGGTGGCACATGCCTATAGTCCCAGCTACTTGAGAGGCTGAGGGAGGAGAATCGCTTGAACCCAGGAGATGGAGGCTGCAGTGAGCCGAGATCATGCCACTGCACTTCAGCCTGGGCAAGACAGATCAAGACTCCGTCTAAAAAAAAAAAAAGAAAGTTATTTTGTTGCACCCCATCTCCTATATATGAAACTATTTCCAAAACCATAAGAAAATTCATCTCACTAAAACATGAACAAATTAAAAGATTATAATTGAACTCCATAGAAAAATATCATAAGTAAAAGACCATTTTCCACCATGTCCAGCTAATTTTTGTATTTTTAGTAGAGACAGGGTTTCACCATATTGGTCAGGCTGGTCTCCAACTCTTGACCTCGAGTGATCCACCCGCCTTGGCCTCCCAAAGTGTTGGGATTAAACGTGTGAGTCACTGCACCCAGCTGGAGTTTTTTAAGTAAACATTTAAGAAACACTTACTTTTCAAGAGCTAATAGTGTGGAAAGTGTAAGGGAAATGGAGATTGGAAAAGAGAAAAATAGAAAAACAATCAAATGGAAATATAGATGAGAACTTGTCAGGGAGAAATAAGGCAATATCAATTCAAAACAATTATGAAAGCAGTCCACAAAGATAAAAAGCAAAACCACAGAACAAATACTAAAACCTATCATTCAAGAAAATTTCCTGAAATAAAAGAACACAAATCTACTCATTGAAAGGGCAACCAGTATACCTGAAAAAACTGACCCCTAATCACTAACACCAAGGAATATTCTAATAAACTACTTCACTTTAATAATAAAATGGGGCAGGGACTTTTATATATGTAGACAAAAAAGACAAGCATTTTATAATAGAAAAAGTCAGATCGAGTGCAGATTTTGTAACAAGAAGGTCTTATGCCAGGAGAGCAAGTCAGATGTTTAAGATACTCACTGAGGCCGGGGGCTCACGCCTGTAATCCCAGCACTTTGGGAGGCTGAGGCGGGCGGATCATGAGGTCAGGAGATCGAGACCATCCTGGCTAACACGGTGAAACCCCGTCTCTACTAAAAATACAAAAATTAGCCGGGCATGGTGGCAGACACTTGTAGTCCTAGCTACTCAGGAGGCTGAGGCAGGAGAATGGTGTGAACCTGGGAGGTGGAGCTTGCAGTGAGCCGAGATCGCGCCACCGACTCCAGCCTGGGCGACAGAGCAAGACTCCGTCTCTAAAAATAAAAATGAAAAATAAATAAAGATATTCAATGAAAGAAAAACACAAGCAAGGTTTTTACCTCCAGTCGAAGTGACCTTCAAGATTAAAAGTCACAAAAGGCCAGGCGCGGTGGCTCACGCCTGTAATCCCAGCACTTTGGGAGGCCAAGGCAGGTGATCACCTGAGGTCAGGAGTTCGAGACCAGCCCGGTCAACATGGTGAAACCCCATCTCTACTAAAAATACGAAAAATTAGCCGGGCATGGTGGCACATGCATGTAATCCAAGCTACTCGGGAGGCTGAGGCATGACCATTGCTTGATCCGGGAGGCAGAGGTTACAGAGAACTGAGATCTCACCATCGCACTCCAGCCTGGGCAACAAGAGCAAAACTCCATCTAAAAAAAAGAGAAAAGAGTCACAAAGACTCATGAACACAAGGAATGCTGTTTCTATTAGCTCTTCCTGAAGAATATACAAATGAAAAAAATTCCCATTAACTAAAAATTGATTGGCAGAGCTTGTGTGTAAGAACTAATGGTGGGCATTGACTATATGTGCCTCTAAAATTTGGGCTAAATGAAAGGTATCTGTGTGATAAAATATAACATAATTGATACATATTTTAAAAATGCATAAATGTTTCTGTATCATGAATATAACAATAAATAGAACCAACCAGAGTGGGGATATGTGCCATGTGAGTGTCTTATGCATGTATGTAGATATGTGTATTTCCATTGACATGTAATTACAGAACAGTGTGGGAGAACTTCTATAGAACATATTGGTCCTCTCAGTAAACATAGAAAGGCTTAATTCTCTGACTAGATGAAAAAAATATTTTTCAGATTGGCTAACAAGCAAAATCCAACTCTGCGGTATGTAAGAAACACAACTAAAGCAAACTGTATCACAGAGGTTAAAAATAAAAGAATGATCTTTATGTTCTCATGCTAGACCAATACTTGGCCTTTAGCAATGCATTAAAAAATGTTTAAATCTTCTTACCAATTGATATATCATTTTCAGTGTCTGCCTTGTATAAGTAGATGCTTGTCCTGTTGCTCCCTGCAGGCACCTGTCTCTCCCATGATGCTGAGTTAGGTGTTTGTCCAGTATTTGCCCAATCAGAGAACTGATAGGTTAAATAAAAGCTATTAATTTGCAGTTTGTCCAGCCTTTCCTTATGTGAAGAGTGAAAGGGATATTCACCAGTTCTGTGTACCTCCAAGGGAAAGCTAAAGTTGGCTTAACCAATTTTACAAAAAGCAATGACCCAAAAATTCTACCTTTAGGTATATACCCGAGATACTTGCATCCACTTCTCCCAAGAGATACGTAAAATAATATTCAAATAAGTTATATTCACAAAAGTCAAACACTAAAAACAACCCGCATGTCTCTATTAGTAAACAAATGGGAAATATACAACATTCATATACCAGATTACTGTGCAGAAAGGAAAATGATGAATTATAATTACATGCAACATGAGTGAAGTTTCCAAACATAATATTGAGTGAAGCAGAAAGAAAGGAATGAATACTGGATGATTCCATTCATATAAAGTTCAGAAGTAGAAAAATTGAAATCACAATTTTAGGGGTGCATGTGTAGATAAAATGATAAAAAGGGAACTGTTAGGGAATTGCTCAAATAACAATAAAAGCAATGGATACTTTTTATAGAGGACAGAAGCTGGGAAATAGCCCATGGGAATGTATGGGTTATTATTACTTGACCTGGATAGGGTGGTTTTGTGTGTATTTGCTTTAAATAATTCATTAAGCTCGATGTTTGAAATATCTCATATTTATTTGTGTGATCATGAAGGCAATACATGCTTTAAGACTAACATTAAGAAAAATCCCACACTGTTACAAACATGTGTTTTTTCAAACATTTTTAATCCCAGTTAATTTCATTTGCTATAATCTACAAATATGCAATAAAAGTGTAAATACAAATGTTTATTCTAAATTAGGAATAGACACCACCCTCTTTCCTCCTACTCCACCAGTGGATCATTACTCACCTGTATAAGAAACTAGAACAAGTGGCCTGACTTTGGTGATTTATATGTGATTTCCTGTTTCACACGTGAGGCTATTCTTACTATGATTATTCTTATTATGATTAATCCTTATTGTTATTAATCTTGTTCTTATTGTGATTATTCCTGTTGTCCTCCCCACCAAACACACTGTACCTGCCCACACACTGCCGGGAGGAAAACATCCTGGTTCAGATTCTCAGCACTGCGTTTAGGAATAAAGTCTCGTAGCAACATTAGGCTTTTAGTTTTTTTTTTTAATTTTTTTTTTACTTTTTGAAACAGAGTCTCACTCTGTCACCCAGGTTGGAGTTGAGTGGCGTGATCTCAGCTCACTGCAACCTCTGCTTCTTGGGTTGAAGCGATTCTCCTGTCTCAGCCTCCCGAGTAGCTTGCATTACAGGAGTGCACCACCACTGCTCGGCTAATTTTTCTATTTTTAGTAGAGACAGGGTTTCGCCATGTTGGCCAGGCTGGTCCCAAACTCCTGACCTCAGGTGATCCGCTCGCCTTGGCCTCCCGAAGTGCTGGGATTACAGGCGTGAGCCACTGCACCTGACCACATTAGACTTTTAGAAGGCTCAGGTGTTTTACATTGGGCAGGTGAACTGGCTAATATTTGTACCCTCAATCATTGCTATGAACTCCACATAATAAGACTAGTTCATGAGGAATAAATCTGCCGAAACCATTAACTATATCATGGATACCAAAGAGATTGGGTTAGCAGGTCATATTGCCTTTTGTATTAACCTCCTCTATCCACCCCTTCAAGTATATAGTTAAGTAAATGTAGCAATATTTTGGTGATTTCAAATTAAGTGTGTAAGATTATTCACCGGTCCTATTATCCTTTCTTGAGTAGTGTCTTAAAACACAAGAACCAAGGGATCCTTAACTGCTACATTCCCAGCAAGGACTGGGGAAAGGTGATGGTAGAAATCTTGCCCTTGTAACATTGCATGTTAAGTAAGAGAGCACTAATGGTGGGGAGTATTTGGGATTCGGGCATTTGGAATGGGAGCCTGGCATTGTTGGGAGGAGCAGCAGCGTTAGGTTACTTTCCAAACACCCCTAGAGTTTAATTGCCTTGATTTCTTCCCCTAAATCCGACTATTAGTCCATGTCCATCAAGAGATGGCCTCCTCTCACTTTCTCAATTCTCTGTTCTTCCGCCTTCTCACCTCACCCTTCTGTGCCTTTTGTCCTCCAACATACACTTGATAGGAGTGGGGGAGTGGAGGAGAGGCTCATCTGAGTTGGGGGCTGAAGGGGAGATTGCAATGGTAACTGTGTTTTTATTGCTGTTGTTAAAGGTGTTTGGCATTTTGGAGCAAGCTAAAGAGCAATTTGATTTAGAAGACTATTCTGTCAGATCACACTGGAACAAGTCTTCCTGACCTTTGCTAACCCAGAGAAATCATCCAGTGATGATGAAAACGAGGTGCCATGAGATTCCCTCTTAAAAAAAAAAAAAAAACAGAAAAAGAAAAAAAAAAGAAATGCCCTACACGTGAGTCCCAATAAACTCATCTACTCATCAAGCTGGACTGGTCTGAGTCATTCTTTGGTCTGTTGGCTCCTTTCCCAGTTTGGGGCGGAGGATGTTCTATACAGTCCTGGATTTTTCCCCAACCAGGAAGAGAACTCCTTGTCCTGCAGTGTTCCTCTTGCGCCCTCTCCTGACAAAGCTTAACTTCGGAGCTGGAGCAAGTCGTATCCGGCATTGCAGGGAAGAGTGAATTTGGCCTGTGATCCAATCAGAAGCTGCGATTCTAAACAGGAAGCCACACTGGATGCGAGAATTGGGGTGGGGCGCGCCAAGAGGAGCAAGCATTATAGAACGTGGGGAGCATGAGAAATACACGGAGGTGGAAACGCCGGAGTGGCTGGCGGGTAAAGGCAGCGGGCGCAGATGAAGCGGGCTGGGCGTCCCACGCGCAGAACCGTCCCGGACAGAAGCCGCAGGGCTGCGCTGGCTGGAAAAAGGAACGCGAGTACAGCGCGCGTGGCGCGGGGTCTGCTCCAGGACGGAATCTTTTGGGTGGCCCGCATGAGGGGTTTGCAGGACCCCGGGCCTTTGGGAAGTTATCTGCTAAACTCCAGTAGACCCTGAGGAGCAGCGGCTCATGAATCTTCTTAAACTTCTGTCATCAGCGGCTGGGCCAGCTGAAGGTGACCATGGCACACGAGGGAGAGAGAAGCCCGCGAGAGGCGGAGAAATGTGGGGTCGTCCAGGAGGGTCGACAAGGCAAAGAACCTGAAGACGACCCAAAAGGGTACCTAGGTGGGGCCCTTTCAGGGACTTGGGGCATAGGGTAGGGCGCATGGGACGAGGTGGGTGAGCGCAAGGGACGAGATGGGTGTGCGCATGGGACGAGGTGGGTGGGAGCATGAGACGAGGTGGGTGGGGCGGTGGGTGAGGTCTCCGCCCCCAGACGGGCTGGCGAGGAAGCAGGGAAGAAGTAACGTTGGGCTGGTGAGGCAACAGGTGGGGCGCACTGGAGCTGCGGGATAATAGGTGGAACAAACTGGGGACTACACTCGTGGGCGCACGTGCGGAAGAGGGACTGAGGAGGTTCTTGCGTGCTCCCCTCGAGCACCGCCGACAGCTTCACCCGCACCTCCTGCCTTCCGCACCGCTGACTCCTACCGCTCCGCGCACTGCGCGCCCCCAGCCCTAGTGCAGCCAGCTCCCGGCCGGGTCCGCGCGAGGGCCAGGCTGCCAACCTGCCCGCGGGCGGCTGGTGGTTGGGGAGGGCGTTGGGAGGAGGAGTCCCGCCGGGTGGACGCGCGCCCTTCAGCGGCGGAGGCGGAGGCGGCAGCGGCGAGGCCTGAGGGTGCGTGCTAGGGAGTCCTGGCGCGTCCTTCTTCTGCCGGCGTCCCCCTGCGCTTGCAGCTGCTCCCCGACGCCCGGGAGGCCCACCCGCTAGCCGCGATGGGCGCGCAGAGCCCAAAAGGGCGACCCCCAAACAAAACTCACGCATATAAATCCTCCAGAGACTTCCTCATCCCCCCGCCAACACACACACACCCACACACACATACACACAATCAAATCAAATAGAAGCACTGTTAGGAATTTTATATTGGCTATGCAAAGTGCTTGAACGCACTGACTTTGGAGGCAAATGCCTTGTCCCTAGTCCTGACTAGTCCAGAATTTATTTGCTGTGACCTATGGCAAATTGCTTGGTTTCTCTAAGCCTCCATTTCCTAAGGCTTATATCTGAAAATAACTATAAGAGGAAAGGATGCTATTGTATCCAACTCAGAGGGCAGTCCTGATACTTACATTGCGAGAACATGTTAAGTGTTCCATAAATGGCAGAAGGGGCTGTGGAAGTTCAGTGATTATAGGTAGTTTAATTTGTCTTAGTTTTCCTTTGTGAAAGCATAAATTACACCAGAGAAAGTCACATATGTAAGGAATACTTTATGCAAAGCTGTTGTCCTAGGGAAGAGAGACCAGAACTCAGTCTAAACTAACTCTGCTGAAACAAAGTGGGGCAGGGTTTTTAAGCTCTAGGATGAGAGTAGAAAGGTGCTGGAGGGCTGTCGGAAGCATACTGAGTTGTTTGCTGAGTTTACAAGTGTTTCCTCCGTGATTAGGCCAGCTGTGTTTGCTAATTGGCTCTCAGGGAAGTTAGGCTCCTACCCTCCCACAGAAACTGGGAGATAGGGGGACCGTCTTCCTTGATGATTGCATTTCAAAGGAATGGCTCCCAGGTCCTTGACAAAGATGATTCTGGTTTGTAAAACTAGTAAGAGGCTATTAAAAAGAGTTACAGATATCTCAAGACAGAGAAAGAATTTACAGTGAAAAGCTTTCTAAAGAAAATGCTCTGTATTAATCTGTTTTCACACTGCTGATAAAGACATACCCAAGACTGGGCAATTTACAAAAGAAAGAGGTTTATTGGACTTACAGTTCCACGTGGCTGAGGAGGCCTCACAATCACGGCAGAAGGTGAAAGGTATATCTCACATAGTGGCAGACAAGAAAGCTTGTGCAGGGAAACTCCCCATTTGAAAACCATCAGTTCTTATGAGACTTACTCACTATCATGAGAAGAGCACGGGAACAACCCATCCCCATGATTCAGTCATCACTCACAGGGTCCCTCCCATAACACGTGGGAATTATGGGAGCTACAAGATGAGATTTGGGTGTGGACACAGAGTCAAACCATATCATGCTCTAAGAAAAGAAAGTTTTGGGCCTAGAGTCAGGAAAAAGCCTTTTCAAGTCAAGCTGAGAACTTTAAGGTGGTCTTGGCTACCTCATTTTATGCAAAGTAGGCAGAAAATTTAAAAGAAAAGAAACATATTTAAGTACAATTAAGAAAATTACAGTGTTTCAGTTAAAGCAGTTCAGTGCTTTTTAGAAAAGGAGCTGAAATTAAATAGTAAGTATAAATTTAATTCTAATAATTCAGGGCTATGAACCATGTAATTGCTTAATTTCCAATAACTATTTGTTCTTTTGCGACTACAGTTTGGCAGGTTGCCCTAATAATTTTCAGGCATTTTAGGTTCATGCTCCTTCCAACCCTCCTTTTCCCTTACAAGGGTTGCATCCAAGTTATGAGGGATAAGGGTGGGGGGTGTTTCATATTTAGGACCAGGATGTTGATGTGTACTTATTCCTGGCCAGGCTGTTTTGGAGTCAGGACTCTTGCGCTATAAGATCCCCCAAATCTATTTTGGGAATAGTGAAAGGGATGGGATGATGCTGAGGAGCCGGGCTTCGGCATTTCCTTATTGTGCATTATTTCCAATCCGTTGTTTTACCCTGGAAAGGGTCAACTGAAAGAACTGGCCATTGTCTTTGTAGGTATTAAGTATTGCTCTGTCTTCCCCGAGACCAAAAAATAAAAGATTGAATGAGGGATGGTACTGAATTGAAAACTTATGGTTAATATTCCAAAACATTACCCACTAAAAGAGCAAGAGAAAAAAGTTAGTGGGAGAGTGTTTCAGATGATTCCTTCTTCACAGGTTTACCTGTTCCCCCACCTGAAGAGTTAATTAGAAAAACAATACAGGTACATTACATAAAATTCAAACTCTATAGACATACAATTTGTAAAATGTGTAAGTCCCCCATTTTCCACCTCCTGAGGACATACTATCAACAGATCTTCTACCATTTTTCTTTTCTGTACATGTACTTCTTTTCTCTACATATATATTTTTCCAAACAATGTGTTTATATCATGTATAATATTTTGCAGTTTACTTTTTCTACCTTAGTAGTATATTATCCTCTCATGACAGTGTATCTATATCTATCCCTTCTTTGTAACAGAGGAACAGGATTTTATTGAAGGTATTGGCATGATTTATGTAATCATTCTTTCTGTTTTCATTTGATCTTACTGTTTTCCAGTGTTATCATGAACATCTTTCTGCCTGAATCTTTGTTTTGCTATGGTTTTGCTTTATGAACTTTGTTTCTAGGTTTGTTTGCTTTTTTTTTAAATAGCCTTTAAGACTTGGATCTGCTGCATAAATTCCTTTAAAGTTTGCAGACATGTATTGAGTGTATTGATCAGCTGCACTAAGGAGTAAGCACCTGATGTGAAGCCCCCTTCCATGAAAAATCCTTTAAGAATGGCATAGTTGTGAAGTTGGAAGGCTGTATGAATCACAAATTGATTTTACCCCATCACCACATCAGCCAAACACCTGCTCTGCCATTTTGATTAAGATTCGTCATGTATTTCATGCCAGTAATCCCAGCACTTTGGGAAGCCAAGGCAGTTGGATCACCTGAGGTCAGGAGTTTGAGACCAGCCTCAACAACATGGTTAAACCCCATCTCTACTAAAAACACAAAAAATTAGCCAGGCGTGATGGCACGCACCTGTAATCCCAGCTACTTGGGAGGCTGAGGCAGGACAATCGCTTGAACCCGGGAGGTGAAGGTTGCAGTGAGACGAGATCGCGCCATTGCACTCCAGCCTGGGCAACAAGAGCAAAACTCCATCTCAAAAAAAAAAAAAAATTAATCATGTATTAATTGAGATTTGCAGGGCCGTGTGCTTTATATAAAACAATGCACAATGCACTAAGCTCCATGGTGTTTGAGAGACAAAGGAGAACAAGATACCATCCCCACCACTGGGTAGTTTAAGATTATTGTCTGTATCCAGTATATAGCAATTGTAATGATTTCTAAAATGTTTTTCTATTGAGATACAGTTTACATGAAATGAAGTGCTCAGATTTTGAGTGACAGTTTGATCAGTTTCAAAGAATGTGCACACCTAATCAAGACACAGAACATTTCTGTAACACCAGAAAATTCCCTCTTGCCCTTTCCTAATCAATCACAAACCCCTCCCCTATAACCATTGATGTCATTTTTGCCTATACCTTTATATGAATGGAATCATGCAGAAGATACTATTTTGGGTATCTTACTTTGTCTTCCTTGTACCCCTTTGTGAAATCCTCCCATGCCTAGACCTCGACAACTGCTGGTCTGTTTTCTGCCCCTGTAGTTTTGTATGAATTCTTTACGTATTCTGTTTGCCCAGGCTGGAGTGCAGTGGTGTGATCTCAGCTCACTGCAACCTCTGCCTCCCAGGTTCAAGCAATCCTCCCACCCCAGCCTCCTGAGTAGCTAAGGTTACAGGCATGTGCCACCACACCTGGCTAATTTTTTTTGTATTTTTTATCAGATATGTATTGTGAATAAATACCTATTGTGAATAAAATTCTTTATTAGATATGTATTATGAATATTTTCTTTCTCCACTTGCATTTCTGTTTCCTTAGCAGTATCTTTACAAGAGTACATTTTTTTTTTTGTATTTTAATGGAGTTTAATTTACCAATTTTTCCTTTATGGCTCATACCTTGGGTATGCAAAGTAAGAAATCCCTACCCCCTTGAAGGTAACAGAGATTTTCTCCTAAGTTTCTTCATTTTATTCATTCCTCCTGTTTTCTTTTAAATTTGTACTTTTAGCTTCCTTCATTTAGGTCTGTGACCCATCTCGAGTTAATTTCTTGTTCCTAGTATGAGGTAAAGTTGGTGCTATTGTTTTTCCCCCATAAGGATATTCAGTTATTCCAGCACTGTTTTTTTTAAAGACTTCTCTTTGTTCCCTTGGTACTTTTGTGGGAAAAAAAAATTGACCATCTTAGTGTGGGTCTATTTCTGGACTCCGTTCAGTTTCATTGATGTATGTATCTGTGTCTTCACCAATACCACACAGTTTTAATTACAGTAATTTTATATATCTTGAAATCAGATAGTATAAGACCTCTAGTTTTGTTCTTTTCTAAAGTTGTTTTTGACTATTCCAGCACTAGAATTTCTACACAGTTGCTTATTGGAACTTTGATGGGATTGTATTTATTTTCATAAAGGCTCACCTACAATGTGTTGTAAAGCTTCTGAAAGTAAGTAATGACTTGTCAGTTTTAATTGACACTATGGTTATGAGTGAATATGAGGATCTTTTGTTATGTTTGAGGACTATTTTTCTTTGAACTGTTTTTTTTTTTCATTTTTCAAATTTTTTTTATTATACTTTGAGTTCTGGGGTACATGTACAGAACGTGCAGTTTTGTTACATAGGTATACACGTGCCATGGTGGTTTGCTGCACCCATCAACCCATCACTACATTAGGTATTTCTCCTAATGCTGTCCCTCCCCTAGCCCTCCACCCACCGACAGGCTCCAGTGTGTGATGCTGCCCTCCCTGCGTCCATGTGTTCTCACTGTTCAACTCCCATTTATGAGTGAGAACATGGGGTGTTTGGTTTTCTGTTCTTGTGTTAGTTTGCTTAGAATGATGGCTTCCAGCTTCATCCATGTCCCTGCAAAGAACATGAACTCATCCTTTTTATGGCTGCATAGTATTCCATGGTGCATATATGCCACACTTTCTTTATCCAGTCTGTCATTGGTGTACACTTAGGTTGGTTCCAAGTCTTTGCTATTGTGAATAGTGCAATTCACGTACGTGTGCACGTATCTTTATAGTAGAATGATTTATAATCCTTTGGGTATACACCCAGTAATGGGATTGCTGGGTCAAATGGTATTTCTAGTTCTAGATCCTTCAGGAATCACCACACTGTCTTCTACAATGGTTGAACTAATTTATACTTCCACCAACAGTGTAAAAGCATTCCTATTTCTCCACATCCTCTCCAGCATCTGTTGTTTCCTGGCTTTTTAATGATCACCATTCTAACTGGCATAAGATGGTATCTCATTGTGGCTTTGATTTGCATTTCTCTAATGACCAGTGATGATGAGCTTTTTTCCATATGTTTGTTGGCTGCATAAATGTCTTCTTTTGAGAAGTGTCTGTTCATATCTATCACCCACTTTTTGATGGGGAGAACATTTTTGCAATCCATCTGACAAAGGGCTAATATCCAGAATCTACAAATAAATTAAACAAATTTTTTTTTCATTTTTCTAATGGTTATCCCTCCCCCTTCAATTTATAGACCTCTTCATATATATATATGTATATATATGTGTGTATATATACATATATGTGTATATATGTGTGTATATATACATATATGTGTATATATATACGTATATATATATATATGTGTATATATATACGTATATATATGTGTATATATATGTATATATATATGTGTATATATATATATGAGAGATTAGCCCTTTATCTGTGATACAAGTTATTTTCTCCCAGTTTGTTATTTATCTTTTGGCTTTGTGTTGACATTTACTTCATAAAACATATTTGTAAGTACTATGTTATCAGACTTATCTTGATACTAGATTTTGATTCATGGAGACTTTTCCCACTCCCACATTTTATATTTTTCCAAATGACTATCCATTTGTTACAACACCATTTACTATAAAGTAGAATTTTTTCCCAGTTAGTTGGGATGTTACCTATATAATAAACTAAATTTCTATATGTATTTTGGTTTATTTCTAGACTTTCTATTCTGTTCCATTTGGCTGTCTTTCAATTTACGTACCAGTACAACACATTTTTAACTACAGAGACTTTATAGTATGTTTTAATATTTGGTAGAGCTAGTTGCACAGCTTTTCCTATACGTTGTCTTCTAGTAGTTTTATAGTTTCAGGTATTACATTTAAGAATTTAATCCGAATGGCCAGGCGTGGTGGCTCACGCCTGTAATCCCAGCACTTTGGGAGGCCGAGGCAGGCAGATTACGAGGTCAGGAGATCGAGACCATCCTGGCTAACACAGTGAAACCCTGTCTCTACTAAAAATACAAAAAATTAGCCAGGCCCACGTGGTGGTGGGTGCCTGTAGTCCCAGCTACTCGGGAGGCTGAGGCAGGAGAATGGCATGAACCTGGGAGGCAGAGCTTGCAGTGAGCGGAG
The DNA here is from genome assembly GCF_000001405.40 of Homo sapiens. Taxonomy (NCBI): domain Eukaryota; kingdom Metazoa; phylum Chordata; class Mammalia; order Primates; family Hominidae; genus Homo; species Homo sapiens. Next base: position 21,308,420 of record NC_000016.10, read on the forward strand.
ATCATGCCACCGCACTCCAGCCTGGGCGACAGAGTGAGACTCTGTCTCAAAAAAAAGAAAAGGAAAAAAAAAAAGAATTTAATCCATTTTGAGTTGATTTTGTACATGGTATAAGAGTCTAATTTCATTCTTTTGCATGTATAATCCACATTTCTAAACTCCATTTATTAAAGACACTATCTTTTCTCCCATTGTGTGTTCTTGGCATCTTTGTCAAAAATCCATTAATTGGTGGTAAATGTGTGAGTTTATTTTGGGGCTATCTATTGTCTTCCTTTGGTCTATGTGTCTGTTTTTATAGCAGTACCATGCTGTTTTGATTACTGTAGATTTGTAATATATTTTGAAGTCAGGAAGTATGATGCCTCCATTTTGTTCATTTTCCTCAAAAATGTTTTAGATATTTGGGGTTTTGTGGTACAATAAAAATTTTATGACTTTTAATCTATTTCTTTGAAAAGTGTCATTGGGATTTTGATAGGGATTGCATTCAATCTGTAGATCACTTTTGGTAGTATGGACATTTTAACAATATTGTTTCAATCCATGAACATGGAATATCTTTCTTTTTATTTGTGTCTTCAAGTTCTTTCATCAATGTTTTATGATTTTCAATATACAGCTCTTTCACTTCCTTGGCTATATTTGTTCATAAGTATTTTTCATAGCTATCGTAAATACAGTTGCCTTTTTTATTTCACTTCAGATGGTTTAATGCTAATGTATAGAAACTTTTTTTTTTTTTTTTTTGAGACAGTTTCGCTTTTGTTTCCCAGGCTGGAGTGCAATGGCGAAATCTCGGCTCACTGCAACCTCCGCCTCCCAGATTCAAGTGATTCTCCTGTCTCAGTCCCCCAAGTAGCTGGGATTACAGATGTGTGCTACCATGCCTGGCTAACTTTGTATTTTTAGTAGAGATGGGGTTTCACCATGTTGGTCAGGCTGGTCTTGAACTTCTGACTTCAAGTGAGCCAATTGCTTCAGCCTCCCAAAGTGCTGAGATTACAGGTGTGAGCCACCATGCCCGGCTGAAACTATTATTTTTGTATGTTGACTTTATATCCTGTAACTTTATTGTATTTTATTAGTTCTAGCAGTGTTTTCACTGACATTTTAGGGTTTTCATGTTATCTGCAAACAGGAACCATTTGGCTTCTTCTTTTCCAATTTGGATGGCTTCTCTTTCTTTTTTTGCCTGATTGCTCTGGCTAGGTCTTCCATTACTATATTGAATAGGAGTCGTAAGAGTGGACATCTTTGTACCTTTCCTGAGATACTTTTGGAAAAAGCTTTCTATTTTTTACTCTTGTGTATGATATTAATGGTGAGCTTGTCATATATAGTCTTTATTGTGTTGAGTTACATTCCTTCAGTGCCTAATATGGTTAGAGTTTTTATCATGAAAGGATATTGAATTTTGTCAAATGCTTCTTCTGCATCTGTTGAGATAATATATGGTCTTTGTCCTTTATTCTGTTAATGTGGTGTATTAATATTTACTTGCATATGTTGAACCATCCTTGGATCTCAAAGATAAGTCTCACTTTATTGTGGTGAGTGAATGATCCTTTTAATATGCTGTTGAATTCAGTTTGCTAGTATTTTGTTGAGGATTTTTGCATCTATGTTCATCAGGGATATTAGCCTGTAATTTTTTTTTTTTTTTTGAGATGGAGTCTCACTCTGTTGCCCAGGCTGGAGCGCAGTGGCATGATATCAGCTTACTGCAACCTCTGCCGCCTCCCACGTTCAAACAATTCTCTTGCCTCAGCCTCCCGAGTAGCTGGGATCACAGGCATGTGCTACCATGCTCAGCTAATTTTTGTATTTTTAGTAGAGATGGGGTTTCACCACGTTGGCCAGGCTGGTCTCAGACTCCTGCCCTGCTCATCTCGGCCTCCCAAAGTGCTGGGATTACAGTCATGAGCCACCGTGCCTGGCCAGCCTGTAATTTTCTTGTATGTCCTTGTCTGGCTTTGGTGTCACGATAGTGCTGGCTTCATAAGATGTGTTTGGAAATATTTTTTCTTCAACTTTTTGGAGTTTGATAAGGATTGGTCCTATTTCTTATTTAAATGTTTTGTAGAATTCAGCCCAGAAGCCATCTGATTCTAGGCTTTTCTTTAATGGGAGACTTTTTATTACTGATTCAATCTTTTTTTTTAATCAGTCTATTTGTTATCAGTCTGTTGTCAGTCTATTTTATCAGTCTGTTATCAGTCTGTTCAGATTTTCTTTTTCTTTGTGATTAATACTTGGTAGGATTAATACAGGTAGGAATTTTTTCATTTCTTCTAGGTTATCTAATTTGTTGACATAATTGTCATCATAGTCTCTAATGATAATTTGTATGTCTGTAGTATCCATTATAATGTTTCCTTTTTTATTTCTGATTTTACTTGAATCTCCTCTCCTTTTTTATTAGTTATTCTAGCTAAAAGTTTGTCTGTTTTATCTTTTTCACAAGTTTTGTTGATTTTTTTTCTATTGTTTCTTTAGTCTCTATTTCATTTATTTCTGCTCTGATCTTTATTTTATCCTTCCTTCTGTGAACTTTGTGCTTAGTTTGTCCTTGTTTTCCTAGTTCCTGGTTTTCTAGTTTCCAATTGTAGTTCCTATACCTAGTTTCTAGTTATAATGTTAGGGTGTTTGAGATCTTTCTTCTTTTTTGATGTAGATGTTTATTGCTATAAACTTCACTCTTAGAACCATTTTTGCTGTATACTATATATCTTATATATTTTTGTATGTTGTGTTTCCGTCTTCATTTGCCTCAAGATATTTTTAAATGATCCCTTTAATTTCTACATTGACCCATTGGTTGTTTGGGAGAATGTTGTTTAATTACCATATGCGTCTGCATTTTCTGAAATTCTGTCTATTTTTGATTGTTAGTATAATACCATTGTGGCCGGAAAAGGTATTTGAAATGGATTTCAGGCTTCATAAATTTATTAAGATTTATCTTGTGGCCTAACATATGAACTCTCCTGGAGAACGTTCTGTGTGTGCTTGAGAAGAATGTGTACAATTGACCCCCCCATATCTGTGTGTTCTACATCCACAGATTCAACTCTGGGCCAAAAATAGTAAAAAAATAATAATATGATAATAATGCAAATAAAAAGCAATACAGTGTAACAAATATTTATATAGATTTTATATTAGGTACTATGAGTATCTAGAGAAAATCTGAGGCATAAGGAGTATGTGTGTAGATTATATGCAAATACTACACCATTTTATATAAGACATTGAGCATCCATGGATTTTGCTATCCTCAGGGGTCTAGAACTAGGCATTAGCATTGTGCCTAGTTGGGGCTTACCTGTAGCCTGTGTCCACTGGTGCCAGCCTGGAGGCTGGGTGTATGGTTGCTAGTCCAGAAGCTAGGTCTGTGAAGAACTGAGTCCTGGAGCCATGGTAGTGTCCCCAGAATTGGTGGGTTCTTGGTCTCACTGACTTCAAGAATGAACCCACGGACCCTCGCGGTGAGTGTTACAGCTCTTAAGGTGGCGCGTCTGGAGTCTGTCCTTTCTGATGTTCAGATGTGTTCGGAGTTTCTTCCTTCTGGTGGGTTCGTGGTCTCGCTGGCTCAGGAGTGAAGCTGCAGACCTTCGCAGTGAGTGTTACAGCTCTTAAGGCAGCGCGTCTGGAGTTGTTCGTTCCTCCCGGTGGGTTCGTGGTCTCGCTGGGCTCAGGAGTGAACCTGCAGATCTTCGCGGTGAGTGTTACGGCTCATAAAAGCAGCGTGGACCCAACGAGTGAGCAGTAGCAAGATTTATTGCAAAGAGCGAAAGAACAAAGCTTTCACAGTGTGGAAGGGGACCCGGGCGGGTTGCCAATGCTGGCTAGGGCAGCCTGCTTTTATTCTCTTATCTGGCCCCACCTACATCCTGCTGATTGGTAGAGCTGAGTGGCCTGTTTTGTCAGGGCGCTGATTGGTGCGTTTACAATCCCTGAGCTAGATACAAAGGTTCTCCACGTCCCCATCAGATTAGTTAGATACAGAGTTTCGATTGGTGCACTCACAAACCTTGAGCTAAACACAGGGTGCTGATTGGTGTGTTTACAAACCTTGAGCTAGATACAGAGTGCTGATTGGTGTATTTACAATCCTTGAGCTAGACATAAAGGTTCTCCAAGGCCCCACCAGAGCAGCTAGATACAGAGTGTTGATTGGTGCACTCACAAACCTTGAGCTAAACACAGGGTGCTGATTGGTGTATTTACAATCCCTGAGCTAGATATAAAGACTCTCCACATCCCCACCAGACTCAGGAGCCCAGCTGGCTTCACCTAGTGGATCCCGCACCAGGGCTGCAGGTGGAGCTGCCTGCCAGTCCCGCGCCGTGTGCTCGCATTCCTCAGCCCTTGGGTGGTCGATGGGACTGGGTGCCATGGAGCAGGGGGTGATGCTCGTGGGGGAGGCTCGGGCTGCACAGGAGCCCATGGAGTGGGTGGGAGGCTCAGGCATGGCGGGCTGCAGGTCCCAAGCCCTGCCCCGCGGTAAGGCAGCTAAGGCTCGGTGAGAAATGGAGTGCAGCACCGGTGGGCTGGCACTGCCGGGGGACCCAGTACATCCTCTGCAGCCACTGGCCTGGGTGCTAAGTCCCTCACTGCCCGGGGCCAGCAGGGCTGGCTGGCTGCTCCGAGTGCGGGGCCCGCCAAGTCCACGCCCACCCGGAACTCCAGCTGGCCCACAAGCGCCGCAGGCAGCCTCGGTTCCCGCTCGCGCCTCTCCCTCCACACCTCCCTGCAAGCTGAGGGAGTGGGCTCCAGCCTTGGCCAGCCCAGAAATGGGCTACCACAGTGCAGCGGCGGGCCAAAGGGCTCCTCAAGTGCCGCCAAAGTGGGAGCCCAGGCAGAGGAGGCGCCGAGAGCGAGTGAGGGCTGTGAGGACTGCCAGCACGCTGTCACCTCTCATTAGGACCTGGGTTCACAAGGCTTGGCACAGGGAAGGCCTGGGCCCTGTGTTTGCAGGTGCCTGCCAGGTGTTTGAGCCCAGGTGTGCCATCCTTGTTCTAGGATGGGGCTGAAGCCCAGGGCCACTGGGGCCTGCCTAGTGCTTGGGTCAGCCTACTGCAGGGGCAGGACCAGAGACCAAGTCCACCAGGCTGGGCTGGAACCTGGGACTGCAGAATCTGGCCTGACATTAGTATGGGCTTGGAGGCTCAGTTTGCTGATACTAGCCTGGCAATGGGTAAGCCTGGAGCCTGTATCCATAGGGGCCAGCCTGGCAGCTGGGTCTACCAGGTAGGCCCAGAACCTGGAGCTGTGAGATCTAGCCTGGTGCTAGGGCAGACGTGAAGGCTCAGTCCCCGACTTATTTTCTTGATGTTAGGTTAGATTTTGATGGGCAGAAATTTTAGATTTTGATAAAGCCCCTTTTTTATGGTTTGTGTCCTTAGTATCCATTTTAAGAAATCGCTGCCTACCCCAAGGTCAGAAAGATATTCTGTAGTAATAGTAGAGATTTTAAAGTATCTTATGTTCATCTTATGTCATATTCAGAAAAATTGCTTGTAGGAGTAGTTGACTATAGCATTTTGTTATTTTTTTCCAGAGAGGATTCATTTTTTATACTAGGCAGCTGTCAGTACTTGCAATCTTGGGAGCGCCCTCATCCAGTATCAAGGATTGAGATAATTTGAAGCCGGGATTTGTAGAAGCTAAAAGGATTGAGATTATTTGCAGTCCCAGGGAAGGTCAATCTCCTTTAGGTTTCTCCTTACTTATAAAGTCAAGTCCTAATCTAATCCCTTCCATTCTTGGCTCTGAATTCCAGCTCTCTTTCTCGTAGCCCCAAGAATTTAAGTCAGATATTCATGGTCACATAGTTGTGAAATCCCACATGGTAGTGGTACGATTTCAACCTAGGCAGTCTAACTTCAGATCCTGGGTTATTAAAAGGAACCTTCCACGTCACCCCTACCATGAGGGATGAGTTTCATTTGTTTTGTTTCCCATTGTACACCCACACCTCACATGACATGTAGTAGGTATTCAGAAAATATTCAATATAAGAATGAACCTTCTCTTGGTCCATTTGGGATACTATAGCAAGATACCACAGACTATGTGGCTTAAAAACAGTAGTTTATTGCTTACAGTTCTGATGGCTGTGAAGTCCAAGATCAAGGTGGCAGCACATTCCTTGTCTAGTGAGGACCCCTTTCCTGGTTGGCCTGTCTTTTCTTTGTGTCCTCACATGGTGGAAGGAATGAGGGATCTCTGTGGGGACTCTTTTATAAGGGAACTCATCCCATTCTAATACCTCTCTAAATCCCCACTTCATTTTTATTTTTATTTATTTAATTTTTTGAGATAGAGTTTCACTCGTTGCCCAGATAGAGTTTCACTCTTGTTGCCCAGGCTGGAGTGCAATGGCGCAATCTCAGCACACTGCAACCTCTGCCTCCCTGGTTCAAGTGATTCTCCTGCTTCGATTCTCCTGCCTCAGCCTCCCGAATAGCTGGGATTACAGGTGTCCACTACCAGGCCCGGCTAATGTTTTGTATTTTTAGTAGAGACAGGGTTTCACCATGTTGGCCAGGCTGGTCCAAACTCCTGACCTCAGGTGATCCACCCGCCTCGGCCTCCCAAAGTGTTGGGATTACAGGCATGAGCCACTGTGCCTGGCCCCTAAATCCCCACTTCAAAATACCTTAACCTTGGGTGTTAGGATTTAACATATGAAGTCAGAGGAACATAAACATTCAGTTCATTGCAAATCTGTTCCCCTTAGCAATACTATTAATGGTAGTTACTTCCAATCTGATAGATTATTGAATAGCATTTTGGGCTTATAGTTGTGCTGTGATTTTCTATACTGTTTTGTTGCTTTGCCATTGGTGGTGACTTACTTGTTTTTTGTTGTTTTTAAATTAGTATTTCCATGGGGATTGGGAAAGCTACTGGCAAGATTTACCTGGAAACTTGCATCAACAACTTACTGATCTTTGTTTTGTGGTTGGTATTTTATTCATATTAGAAGCTCCATAAATGTTGACTAAATTAAAAATGTAGGTTGGGAGGCTGAGGCGGGCGGATCACTTGAGGTCAGCAGTTCGAGACCAGCCAGGCAAACGTGGTGAAACCCCATCTCTACTAAAAATACAACAATTAGCCGGGCATGGTGGCAGACGCCTGTAATCCCAGCTATTCAGGCGGCTGAGGCAGAAGAATCACTTGAACCCGGGAGGAAGAGGTTGCAGCGAGCTGAGACTGCACCACTGCAGCGTGGGTGACAGAGTGAGACTCTGTCTCAAAAAAAAAAATAGGGATAAACAACTGCTCAAATATTTTAAATCTGTATATTTCTTATTTTAAATATTAAATATTTCTTGTCTTTAAAGCTTGATTATAAAATTAAGTAATTTAAATTTAAGTGATGTGCTTGTCTAAAATTTACACATCATTAGATAATCTTTTCTTTTTAAAAAATATTTACTCCCTCCATAGAGTTGAACTTCCTCTCTTTTTAGAAGAATGGATTTCTCGGAGTCTGAAAAATTTATGGTTCTTCTCTGGAAGAATTTTATTTTAAAGGTAAGTTGAACTACCTATAGGGTTATTACAACAGCTCAGTGGCCACAGGGGGAAATTCTGACAGCTTGATCCTTGAATTTCAATTTTTACTGTTTTACTTTTCTCAGTATGAAGGCTAGGTTATCTCTTCCAAATATAGAGTTCACACAGAGAGAGATTAATAGCAGGATGTTATGTAGAAAGGAGAAAAAAGTCTAGGAAACTGCTGCTATTATAGAGTAAAGCTGTGTTTTTGGCAATCTATATATTCTTTTATGAAGTATCTTTTATCTTAATATAAAAGAATTACAGTTATACACAATACAGGACTATTCAGCCATGAAAAAGAATGAGATCCTCTCATTTGCAACAACATAGGTGGAACTGGAGGTCATCATGTAAAGTGAGATAAGCCAGGCACAGAAAGACAAACTTTGCATGTTCTCACTTATTGGTAGAAACTAAAAATTAAAACAATTGAACTCATGGAGATGGAGAGTAGAAGGATGGTTAACAGAGGCTGGGAAGGGGTAGCTTGGGGTAGGTAAGGGGGAAGTGGAGATGTTTAATGGGTACAAAAAAAACTTGAAAGCATGGATAAGGCAGTATTTGCTAGCACAACAGAATGACTAGAGTCAAAAATAATTTGATTGCACATTTAAAAATATCTAAAAGAGTGTAATTGGATTGTTTGTAACACAAGGGATAAATGCTTGAGGGAATGGATACCCAATTTACCTTGATGTGATTATTATGCATTGTGTGCCTGTATCAAAATATCTCACGTAACCCATAAATATGTATACCTGCTATGTACCCACGAAAATTAAAAATTAAAAAATTCAAAAATGAACTTGCAAAGTTAATAACCTCTTAGGGCAATTAACATAATCTTTTTTCTTCTTCTTCTAGAGGCGGCGATGTATTGCTTTAGTTGTGGAAATGGTCCTCACATTTCTGTTTAGTGCTGCGCTTTTGGCAACACGCTCTGTTATTACTATAAATAAGAACGGACCTTTCGATTTTGCTGCTCAGCCTGTCGATGAAGTGCCTTTCTACATCACAGCTTCCTTAATTTCTCCTTCTCCTTTGGAATTGGCTTACGTGCCTTCCAGAAGTACTGTGGTTCAGGGTATTATTGAAAGAGTGAAAATGGATTTAAACCCTCAAATGAAAGGTTAGAAATTAACATTTTCTGAAAAAACATACAGAATTACTAAATCGATTTAGTGAAGACATACTTACAACCTTATTAACTGGTTCTTAACCTCCCAAGTAAAACATCGTTGGAATCCTCATACTAAGTATAAATATTATGGACTTTGTTAAACTTGAAAGTTAAATTTATATAAAATATTTTGTTCATAGAGCCCAGAACAAATAGTAATATTTCAAAATGAGATGACCAATTATTATTATTATTCTAAGTTGTTATCCAGTTTTGTGATACTGTTTTTTCTATCTGGTTGTGCTTCTTGAACCTGGGTAAGTATACCTCCAGGGGTGTGTGATTTTGTGCCACAGGTCAGTGGTCAGTTATTTAAAATAATGTTTTATATTAAAATGTGGTGTGAGTAATATAGGAAGGCTTTAGAAAACACTTAAGCTATGTAGAATTATTTTAAAAGCCCTCAGTCTCTCACTTACCTTCATATTCCCGGATCAGTTTCTTACCTCTTTCTCTTAGAGGTAAATACTGTGAGAAGTTTAGGTCGGCCGGGCCCAGTGGCTCACGCCTGTAATCCCAGCATTTTGGGAGGCTGAGGTGGGCAGATCACCTGAGGTCAGGAGTTCAAGACCAGCCTGGCCAACATGGCAAAACCCCATCTCTACTAAAAATATAAGAATTAGCCAGACATGGTGGTATGCACCTATAGTCCCAGCTACTTGGGAGGCTGAGGCATGCGAATTGCTTGAACCCAGGAGGAGGAGGAGGTTGCAGTGAGGTGAAATTGCACCACTGCACTCCAGCCTGGGTGACAGACCAAGACTCTGTCTCAAAAAAAAAAAAAAAAAAGTTTGTGGGCATCTCCCTAGCACACCTCTCTCTACACATGTGCGTGCATGTGCACACACACACACACACACACACACACACACAGTCAGGCAACTTTTCCATCTTTTTTTGTCTTTCAAGAGATATGAGAGTCCTTGAGAGTAGATGCCATCTCAAAGCATTCTTTTTTGTTGTTTGCTTTTTTTTATCAAAGCATTCTTTAAAATAAAGACTGAAACAGGAGAATATGAAGTTCCCAGTAATTTTTAAATTCTACAACAAAAATATCTCAACAAATTTAAAGTCTATTATGGGTTACTCCAATAGTCGCTTTGGGTTACTCAAAATATTTTCTGATTTCCACTCTGATGTCTTCTTTGATGCATGGAATTTCAAAATTTTTAGAAATGTGTTGCTGAACTTCCAAACACTGGGGGCTTCTTATCTTTCTGTTGTTGATTTCTGTTTTAATTTCCTTTCATCAGAGAGTATACTCAATTCCAGTTCTTTGACATTTTGAGAACTGTTTATGACTAGTACATGGTATATTTTGATAAATGTTTTCTGTGAATTTGTAAAAACTATGTGTGCTATAGGTTTTGCTTCTGGTGTTCTATAAATGCCACCTGGGCAAAGTTGGCTAAGTGTCATGCTTTTCAAGTCATCTGTATTCTTTTTTTTTTTTTTTGGTCTGCTTATTATATCAGTCATTGAAAGAAGTACCTGAAATAATACCTGATTTCCAGTCAGGTATTATTAGGATTAAATAGGTTATATATTGTATATATTAATTTTTTTTTTCTTGAGACGGAGTCTCGCTCTGTCACCAGGCTGGAGTGCAGTGGCGCGATCTCGGCTCACTGCAACCTCCCACCTCCCAGGTTCAAGCGATTCCCCTGCCTCAGCCTCCCAAGTAGCTGGGACTACAGGCGCCTGCCACCACGCCTGGCTAATTGTTTGTATTTTTAGTAGAGACCATGTTGGCTAGGATGGTCTGGATCTCTTGACCTTGTGATCTACCCCCTCAGCCTCCCAAAGTGCTGGGATTACAGGTATGAGCCACCGTGCCCAGCCTGTATATATTAAAATTTATACATTTTTAAGATATTAAAATTTCCAACTGAGATTTAGCTATTTTTCTTTTTGCTTATTTATTTTGAATTACAGTTCATGTGATCCTTCCATTGAATAATTTTAAAAACAATATTTTTCAGTTCTGGAATTTCCATTTATCTCTATTTTGAATAGGTTCCAGGTCTCTTGGAAAATGTACCATTTTTGAGTTTATTAACCATATCAACCATAGTTACTTTAAAGTCTCTGCCAGGAAGTTCTGGTATCTGGATTACTTGTTTATCTTTTTTTTTTTCTTTTATGCCATTGAGTTCTATTTTGTAACATGCCTTGTATATTTTTATCAAATCCAAGATGTTGCAGATGAAAAATTTTGAAGGCTCTTGGGGATATTTCTTTATCCAAAGAGGGTTAAATTTTCTTTTGGATCATTATTAGAGTACTGGTAACTCCCTCTGCCCCCACTGAAGGCTGGTTTTAGCTTCACTAAAGACTGCCCTATTTCTGTTTTCTCTTTACTTCTGGGCATAATCCTGGTCCTAGTGCGTGATTGATCCTTACTCCTAAGGCATGACCATTCCATGATTTCAACTGAAAGTCGGGGGTTCAAGAAGGCTCCTTACCTGTGGGGCTTGAACTCCATCCTCTGTCTCCCCAGCCTGGTGCTGCTGCTGAAATCACTGCTCAGCATTTTTGCCCTCCAGCCACTGTCATCTACCTGCCTGTACTCACTTGGAAGACTAGAAGTTCATACCCAGGCTTTCGCCCCTCTTCCTGGGTACACATAGTTAATTAAGGCAGCTGACAGTCAAAGATGAATACCCGGGGCGGATGCAGTGGTTCACACCTGTAATCCCAGCACTTTGGGAGGCAGAGGCGGGAGTTCACAAGGTCGGGAGATCGAGACCATCCTGGCTAACATGATGAAACCCCCATCTCTACTAAAAATACAAAAAATTAGCCAGGTGTGGTGGCAGGTGCCTGTAGTCCCAGCTACTCGGGAGACTGAGGCAGGAGAATCGCTTGAACCCAGGAGGCAGAGGTTGCAGTGAGCTGAGATCGCAACACTACACTCCAGTCTGGGTGACAGAGCAAGACTCAATCTCAAAAAAAAAAAAAAAAAAAAGAGAGAAATAAAAAGATGAATACCCAGGGAAAACATTTTAGATATCTGATGAGACCAGGAACAATGAAAGGAAGAAAGAAAATGGAACCTCCTATACCAGGAGAAGCAGAACTAGTGTAACTACTGGAGGGGTGAGGAGAAGAGCTGCCCAGGCATCTGGAGTTTCAGCTGGGGTTCAGCTCTGCCCCATCACCCCAGGCTGAGGCATTGCTTTCTTATGCATGACCATTATGGAAAGAACAACTATCCCCAGTCTAGGCTTTCAGGACATGGTTACATGTTTATGTGTGTTTAATGCTCTCCTTATTGGGGCTAAGCAAGTTGGGTATATATTGGAATGAAAAAAGTTGAAAGTTAGATTCTTTTAGGGTTGGGTTTTTTGTTTGTTTTGTTTTGGCCAGGTCACTAGGATTGAAGGTGGGAGAGACAAATGAATTGAAGAATTGGAAGAGTTATTGAAGACATAGGTCCTGGAATCTAAATTGGAAAGGAAACGAAGTTAGGAAAAGAATGATTTTAGATGTCAAGTGATGGGAATGTAAAATGGCTCTTGATCAAAGACCTCTGAAGCTTCACATCATATAACCAGTGCATCACCAGCTCCATACATCAATATCGCTCTACAGCAGTTTCTCTAGGACAATGGTCCCCAACCTTTTTGGCACCAAGGACCAGTTGCATAGAAGACAATTTTTCCACAGACCAGTGGCAGAGGGATGGTTTCAGGGTGATTCAAGCACATCACATTTATTGTGTACTTTATTTCTATTATTACATAGTAATATATAATGAAATAATTATACAACTCACCATAATGTAAAATCAGCAGGAGGCCTGAACTTGTGTTCCTGAAACTAGGCAATCCTATCTGGGGATGATGGGAGACAGTGACAGATCATCAGGCATTAGATTCTCAAAAGGAGCTTGCAGCCTAGATCCCTTACATACGTAGTTCACAATAGGGTTTGCGCTTCTATGAGAATCGAATGCCTCCGCTGATCTGATGGGAGGCAAAGCTCAGCTGGCAATGCAAGTGATGGGGAGCAGCTGTAAATACAGATGAAGCTTTGCTCGCTCACCGGCCGCTCACCTCCTGCTGTGTGATATGGTTCCTAACAGGCCATGGACCGGTACCAGTCCATGGCCTGGGGTTTGGGGGCCCCTGCTCTAGGACAAACCAAAATAAACTATACTTCCTCACTTGGAAAATGAAAATAATAATAGTGTCTTATTTATAGGGTAGTTGTGTATATGTGAAGTATTTAGAGCAGTTCTCAGCACATGGTAAGTACTCAGTAAAGACTAGATTTATTGGCCAGCCGGGTGCAGTGGCTCATGCTTGTAATCCCAGCACTTTGGGAGGCTAAGGCGGGTGGATCATGAGGTCAGGAGATTGAGAGCAGCCTGTCCAACATGGTGAAACCCCGTCTCTACTATTAAAAACACAAAAATTAGCTGGGTGTGGTGGCGGGCACCTATAGTTCCAGCTACTCTATTACTGAGACCAGCCTGACCAACATGGGTAAACCCCATCTCTACTAAAAATACTAAATTAGCCAGACGTGGTGGTGCATGCCTGTAATCCCAGCTACTCAAGAGGCTGAGGCAGGAGAATCACTTGAACCTGGGAGGTGGAGGTTACAGTGAGCCGAGATCGTGCCACTGCGATCCAGACTGCGCGGCAGAATGAGACTCCATCAAAAAAAAAAAAAAAAAAAAAAAGACTGGATTTATTATTACTATAGGAAACACAACTTTCTGCTCTGCCACCATCTGTGCTGAGTATCACCATAAGGCCAGCCTGCCAGTGACTATTTGGAAAAGCTGTAGCATCTAGCAATACTTCCAACGTGTCTTCTGTTTCCCAAATAGTAATACAAAATATGAAACAAAATGAACAGTAGAGGAAACATTTTGAACAGGAAACCATGTCTATCTCCTCTGTAAACCTGTCCATTTGAAATGTGGATTACTGCATCTTGGATTCATTCAAGGCAATGGAAATAACCAAACTTTCTGCCTTCAACTACCTGGTCCAAGGAAATCAATCCTGTCTTTCCTCTCTAATCTTAATCTTCCCACCTGGATCTTGTGGTTTTAAGCCTGCCTAGTCATAAAGGCCAACTGCAAATATTTCAGCTTTATTGGAACTCAAGAGCATTCTGGGTTTGTTCTTTGTGATTCTTCCCTTTTATTTCACTTCCACCTAACTTTTAACCTTTTTTTTTTTTTTTTTTTTGAGATGGAGGAGTGTCACTCTGTCACCCAAGCTGGACTGCAGTGACCCAATCTCGGCTCACTTGGCAACCTCCACTTCCCGAGTTCAAGCAATTCTCCTGCCTCAGCCTCTTGAGTATCTGGGACTACAGGCACCTGCTACCACACCTGGCTATTTTTTTTGTATTTTTGTTAGAGATAGGGTTTCACTATGTTGGTCAGGTTGGTCTTGAACTCCTGACCTCAAATGATCCACCTGCCTCTGCCTCCCAAAGTGCTGGGAATACAGGCGTAAGCCCCTGCGCCTGGCCGCTTTTAACGTTTGATGTTATATTCCATTTCCAGCATCTAGCTCTTAAATTTTGATATTATGTTCTATTTCCAGCTGTGTCCTTTTTTTTTTTTTTTTTGAGACAGAGTTTCACTCTTGTTGCCCAGGCTGGAGTGCAATGGTGTGATCTCGGCTCACTGCAACCTCTGCCTCCCAGGTTCAAGTAATTCTCCTGCCTCAGCCTCTCGAGTAGCTGGGATTACAGGCATGCACCACCACATCCAGCTAATTTTGTATTTTTAGTAGAGATGGGGTTTATCCATGTTGGTCAGGCTGGTCTCAAACTCCTGATCTCAGGTGATCCACCCACCTCGGCCTCCCAAGGTGCTGGGATTACAGGCGTGAGCCACCGCGCCCAGCCTACCTTTTTTATTCTTAAGAGTGGACTTAGTTTTACCAACTTTGATGATTTGAATTCTCTGAGGCCCATGTCTCCTCCTGCTCCTGACCAGCTCTTGTAGGTTCCCCCCTGATTCCAGCCCCCAAGAAGCTACTTTCAGCTTTGAAATTTATGTGCCAGCTTTGCCTACCCCCTGAGAAAGGGAGATTAGATCAGGTGCTTTGCATCTGGTATTTTGCAGTTTTACCAAAAGTGATGATTATGACCCCTCAGCGTAATTTCATAGCCACCAACAATGTTCTTAGGTTTGGATAGCAATCCAAATATACTTTAAGCTACCATCAGATTAAACTGTCTTAAGAAAGTAGAATTAACTGTCATTATTTGTGGATTCTGAATTTGTGAATTCAACAACTCACTAAAATTTATGTGTAACTCAAAATCAGTAACTGTTTCACTTTTGAGGTCATTTGCAGACATGCAGGGAGTGGCAAAAAATTTTGAGTTCTCCAAGGGTGGTTCCCAGCCTTGGCCAGGTCAAAGAAGATGACACCCTGTCCACCTTGTTTCAACCCTCATACTGCAAACAAGTATTCTTGACTTGATATAGTTAGTGCCTTTTTTTTTTTTTTTTTGCATCTTTGTTCTTTATGTTGGTGATTTTGTTGTTTAATGTCAGCCCCAGGCATAGTGCTGAAGTACTGTCTCATGTTCCTAAGTGCAAAAGGGCTATGATTATGTCTTTTTTTTTTTTTTTTTTTTTTTTTTTTGAGACAGATTCTTACTCTGTTGCCCATGCTGGAGTGCAATGGCGTGATCTCGGCTCACTGCAACCTCCACCTCCCCCAGCTCAAGCCATTCTCCTGTCTCAGCCTCCTGAGTAGATGAAACTACAGGCACACACCACTGCACCCAGCTACAGTTTTATATTTTAGGAGAGATGGGGTTTCACCAAGTTGGCCAGGCTGGTCTAGAACTCCTGATCTCAAGGGATCTGCCCACCTTGGCCTCCCAAAGCGCTGGGATTACAGGCATGATCCACTGTGCCTGGCCCTGATTATGTCTTTTGGAGAAAATATCTATGTTAGAGAAGCTTAATTCAGGCATGAGTTATACTGCTGCTGGCTGTGAGGTCAGTGTTAGTGAATCAACAGTATGTATTAAATAAGGTGTCTTTAAACGGAAACACCCCAAAAAACAGGTCGTGTATTGATCAATTGATGAAAATGTGACCAGAGGCTTGCAGGAACCTAGGAGTATTTTCCCTAGGAGTAATCTTTCAGTATTCCCTAACTCAAGTGTCTGTGATGACTTTATAGAACATAACCAAGAATGATGAAAATGGATGGTGTCCAGGATGGGAACATAACATGTACAGCATCAGCACTTTCATATGAAAGTCTCCCAACAGCACAGGTGCAGCTGTACGTTCCACCAGTACACAGGGCACATTCAGTTCAAGAGCTGAGGTCGATACGGTGTAGACTCTGTAATTATATGGAAGCCTCCACTTTTGTTTGCCAGAATTTGTGCAAAGTCCTACTTACTTTCTTCTCAAGTCAAGTGTAGTCTCTAGACGAGATATATGGCAGCAAACAATGTTGATGATGAGTTCCAGGCACTGCTAACATTCTGTATTTTTAAACTCAGCACATACCTAGGCACAGTGCTGCCAGAGAGTAAACTCATAGTTATCTTAGTGGGTACACCTGGGTCCAGGAAAATAGGATTTATGTTTGCTATTTACCCTTTCCTCACAATAATAAATCTGCAGGTTTTTTTTTTTTTTTTTTTTTTTGAGACAGAGTTTTGCAGTTGTCGCCCAGGCTAGAGTGCAGTGGTGCGATCTTGGCTCACTGCAACCTCTGCCTCCCAGTTTCAAGGATTCTCCTGCCTCAGCCTCCCAAGTAGCTAGGATTACAAGCATGCACCACCACGCCCAGCTAATTTTTTGTATTTTTTAGTAGAGATGGGGTTTCACCATGTTGGCCAGGCTGGTCTTGAACTCCTGGCCTCAAGTGGTCCACCCGCCTCTGCATCCCAAAGTGCTGGGATTACAGGTATGAGCCACCACACCTGGCCAAAATCTGCAGTTTTATATCAAAATGTATCATCAGTGACAGTCCCTAAGGGCAATTGCATGTTTTTCTGACACCATAGTTGTATCACAATATATCACAACTGTTAGCATTATGGACTAGAAAAGCAGTACATTTACTGTTTTTTCAAAACTAATTGGACTATCCTTGATACCTACCATCCCCAGCCTGTTTGAGATGCAGTAAGGGGCTCAGGTTGGTGCCAAAATATTGGGCACACCCTCAGCCATGAGTTACCATGATTAGCGGCAAGCGCAGATGAAGCCTTGTCCTGGTGTGTGCCCTTGGGTTCTTTGAAGCTGATGAGTGATTTAGAACATTGGCAGCCAAGTATAAGCTGGTCATATGGAGTCACACATGAAGCTGAGAGATGTCTGATTCATCTCATCATGAAAGCTGTTACTCTTATCAAAATTTCATCAACTTTGGGGAATGATTATGTTGCTGACTAGAGATCAACATGGAAATCTGGGTATAAAAAGCAGTCAGGGAGGCTGGATCCTTTCTTTCAGTGGCTGCCTCAAATCCAGCAGGCCCTTGAATAATGTCATTTTGTCCAACGTCATTTTGTTATAATTTTGATGGGAAAAAAGAAATTGATTCCCAGCCCGGGCTGTTGTCAGTGTGGAGCTTGCATGTTCTCTCCGTATCTGTGTGGGTTTTCTCTGGGCATTCCAATTTTCTCCTGCATCCCAAAGATGTGCACTTTAGGGGAATTGACGTGTTGACATTGTCCCAGTCTAAGTGAGTGTGAGGTGTGCGTGACTGTGCCCCGTGATGGCATTCATCCAGTCTAGGGTTGGTTCTTGCCTTGTGCCCTAAGCTGCAGGGACAGGCTCTGGCCCCCTGCGACCCTGAACTGGAATAACTATCTAAATCATTATTTTACTTGTGTTTGTTAATCTGTCTTAAATGTATATATGGCTCACATTATTTATTTCAGTGTTTAATATTAGAAGTGTTTTGGTATTTATTTAGATGTTTGGTGATGTTTTTCTGACCCCCGAAAAAAGAAAACAGTAATATACAATAAAAACTTAACTCTTTTTTTTTTTTTAATTTTTTTCAGAGACAAGGTCTTGCTCTGCTACCCAGGCTGGGGTGCAGTGGTGCAATCATAGCTCACTGTAATCTCAAACTCCTGGGCTCAAGTGTTCCTCCCACCTGAAGCTCCCAAGTAACCGGGATGACAGATGTGGGCCACTACTCCTGGGCTAATTTTTTTTTAATTTTGTAGAAATAGAGTCTCACCATGTTGGTCAGGCTGGTCTCAAACTCCTGGCCTCAAGCAGTCCCCCTGCCTCAGCCTCCCAAGTTCTGGGATTACAGACATGAGCCACCATGCTGGCCCTTAACTCTTGTTTATATCAATTAGATTATGGCAAAGTTAGTTTCGTTATACATCATTTCACTTAAAGTTACAGTTTCCAAGAACCTATTGATGATGATAAGTGAGGGCTTACAGTACATGTCTTGGAGATAAATCATTGTGAATGCACAGTCACCTCTCAGGCTAAATAAATATTAACTCAGGAACACCAGAATCCAGGTCAGTTCCAGAATCTGACCTCATTCTTCCCTCTTCCCTTTGGATAAAGGTGTTTCTTTGTTTATGAGAACTATAGGAATGCCTCATTTTTATGCAAATATAAAGCAAGTGCCCAACCACCGCATTCACCTAAATGCAGATGTTTTGGAGGCTCAAAACTCAAGGGTCTCCACCCAGGATCCCTACATACAGAAAAGACACTTGTCCAGGATGGGGGCTAAATCTTTGGAGTTGAGTGTTATGTTTTTATTTTGCTTTGTTTTTCATAGTTTTTTGTGCAAAAAATGAGTGGAGCAAAGTAGCTGAGGGAACTGACTGTATGCTAGTCTTTTTGAGATTCAGAACTAGTGATACGTTGGAGTCCAGGTGACAAGTGTGGCAGGGAGTGGAAACCCTGTTGAGAGACGGGGACTTGAGAAGCATGGAATAGTACCTTTGGTGAGGATGTTGATGTTCTCTCAAGCTATTCCATCTACATTGGCAATGATGAGGCTCCCGATGGAAGCTTTTGAGAATCAGACTATTGGGGATTTGCTGCAGGAAGAGTTGTGACAATCAAGCCATTTAAATCTGAGTAATAAAACCGCATGATATTTCATTTTCCCCTGCAGGCTTTTGAAGCCTTTGATATCCTGTTTACATCAAACACATTTACTCCTAAGAAAATCTTTAGTGTATACAATTCCACATACAGATATTTTAAATGACTAACTACTTTGGCTTAGAAGAGTACAAATGACACCCCAGTCTTTTAAAATTTCAATTAGATTAAGTTTAATCTAGGCTAAATTCATTGATTGATCACCTCAAATATTGAAACATAATTGCCTCAAATATTGAAACAATAAAGTAGTATTGTTCCTTAATTTCTTAGTATTTTCTCTACTAGAGATTCTCTTATTGTAGGATTTTGAATGAATTTCATGGATGGTTTCTTTTCTTTTCTTTTGAGTGGAGTTTTGCTCTTGCTGCCCAGGCTGGAATGTAATGGCGAGATCTCGGCTCACTGCAACCTCCGCCTCCCGGGTTCAAGCAATTCTCCTGTCTCAGCCTCCTGAGTAGCTAGGATTACAGGTGCCCTCCACTATGCCTGGCTAATTTTCGGTATTTTTAGTAGAGACGGGGTTTCACCACGTTGGCCAGGCTGGTCTTAAACTATTGACCTCAGGTGATCTGCTTGCCTCAGCCTCCCAAAGTGCTGGGATTACAGGCGTGTATTACGGGAAGTCAGGGACCCCGAACGGAGGGACCGGTTGAAGCCATGGCAGAAGAACGTGGATTGTGAAGATTTCATGACATTTATTAGTTCCCCAAATTAATACTTTTATACTTTCTTAATGCCTGTCTTTACTGCAGTCTCTAAACATAAATTGTGAAGATTTCATGGACACTTATCACTTCCCCAATGAATACCCTTGTGATCTCTTATGCCTGTCTTTAATCTCTTAATCCTGTCATCTCGTAAGCTGAGGAGAATGTATGTCGCCTCAGGACCCTGTGATGATTTTGTTAACTGCACAAATTGTAGAGCATGTGTGTTTGAATAGTATGAAATCTGGGCGCCTTGAAAAAAGAACAGGATAACAGCAATGTTCAGGGAACAAGAGAGATAACCTTAAACTCTGACTGCTGGTGAGCTGGGCAGAACAGAACCATGTTTCTCTTCTTTCAAAAACAAATGGGAGAAATATCACTGAATTCTTTTTCTCAGCAAGGAACATCCCTGAGAAAGAGAATGCCTGAGGGTAGGCCTCTAAAATGGCCCCCTTGGGTGTGGCCATCTTTTATGGTCTAGCTGTAGGGATGAAATAAGCCCCAGTCTCCCATAGTGCTCCCAGGCTTATTAGGATGAGGAAATTCCTGCCTAATAAATTTTAGTCAGACCAATTGCTCTCAAACCATGTCTCCTGTTAAGATGTTATCAATGACAATGGTGCCCGAAACTTCATTAGCAATTTTAATTTCGCCCCAGTCCTGTGGTCCTGTGATCTCACCCTGCCTCCATTTGCCTTGTGATATTCTATTACCTTGTGAAGCACAAGATCTCTGTGACCCACACCCTATTCGTACACTCCCTCCCCTTTGAAAATCACTAATAAAATCTTCCTGGTTTTGCGGCTTGTGGGGCATCACAGAACCTACCGACATGTGATGTATCCCCCGGATGCCCAGCTTTAAAATTTCTCTCTTTTGTACTCTGTCCCTTTATTTCTCAACCTGGCCGACGCTTAGGGAAAATAGAAAAGAACCTACGTGACTACTGGGGGCAGGTTCCCCAATAGGCGTGAGCCACCTCGCCCAGGCAGATCTGTTTTTTATTTCCCTTTAAGATGGAACTTCCCTTTTTTTGAAAAAATTTTACTTTAAGTTCTAGGGTACATGTGCACAATGTGCAGGTTTGATACATAGGTATACACATGCTATGCTGGTTTGCTGTACCCATCAACTCGTCATTTACATTAGATATTTCTCCTAATGCTATCACTCCCCCAGCCTACACCCCACGACAGCCCCCGGTGTGTGATGTTCCCCACCCTGTGTCCAAGTGATCTCATTGTTCAGTTCCCAGCTATGAGTGAGAACATGCAGTGTTTGGTTTTCTGTCCTTGTGATAGTTTGCTGAGAATGATGCTTTCCAGCTTCATCCATGTCCCTGCAAAGGACATGAACTCATACTTTTTTATGGCTGCATAGTATTCCATGGTGTATATGTGCCATATTTTCTTAATCCAGTCTATCATTGATGGACATTTGGGTTGGTTCCAAGTCTTTGCTATTGTGAATAGTGCTGCAATTCACATACGTGTGTATGTGTCTTTATAGTAGCATGATTTATAAACCTTTGGGTATATATCCAGTAATGGGATTGCTGAATCAAATGGTATTTCTAGTTCTAGATCCTTCAGGAATCACCACACTGTCTTCCACAATGGTTGAGATAATTTACATTCCCACCAACAGTGTAAAAGCATTCCTATTTCTCCACATCCTCTCCAGCATCTGTTATTTCCTGACTTTTTAATGATCGCCATTCTAACTGGTGTGAGATGGTATCTCATTGTGGTTTTGATTTGCATTTCTCTGATGACCA
Source organism: Homo sapiens (assembly GCF_000001405.40). Taxonomy (NCBI): domain Eukaryota; kingdom Metazoa; phylum Chordata; class Mammalia; order Primates; family Hominidae; genus Homo; species Homo sapiens. Next base: position 21,329,773 of record NC_000016.10, read on the forward strand.
GTGATGATGAGCATTTTTTCATGTGTCTATTGGCTGCATAGATGTCTTCTTTTGAGAAGCATCTGTTCATATCCTTTGCCCACTTTTTGATGGGGTTGTTTATTTTTTCTTATAAATTTTTTTGAGTTCTTTGTAGATTCTGGATATTAGCCCTTTGGCAGATAGGTAGGTTGCAAAACTTTTCTCCCATTCTGTAGGTTGCTTGTTCACTCTGATGGTAGTTTCTTTTGCTGTGCAGAAGCTCTTTAGTTTAATTAGATCCCATTTGTCTATTTTGGCTTTTGTTGCCATTGCTTTTGGTGTTTTAGTCATGAAGTCCCTGCCCATGCCTATGTCCTGAATGGTATTGCCTAAGTTTTCTTCTAGGGTTTTTATGGTTTTAGGTCTAACATTTAAGTCTTTAATCCATCTTGAATTAATTTTTGTATAAGGTGTAAGGAAAGGATCCAGTTTCAGCTTTCTACCTATGGCTAGCCAGTTTTCCCAGCACCATTTATTAAACAGGGAATCCTTTCCCCATTTCTTGTTTTTGTCAGGTTTGTCAAAGATCAGATGGTTGTAGATGTGTGGTGTTATTTCTGAGGCCTCTGTTCTGTTCCATTAGTCTACATATCTGTTTTGGTGCCAGTACCATGCTGTTTGGCTACTGCAGCCTTGTAGTATAGTTTGAAGTCAGGTAGCATGATGCATCCAGCTTTGTTCTTTTGGCTTAGGACTGTCTCGGCGATGCGGGCTCTTTTTTGGTTCTATATGAACTGTAAAGTAGTTTTTTCCAATTCTGTGATGAAAGTCATTGGTAGCTTGATGGGGATGGTGTTGAATCTATAAATTACCTTGAGCAGTATGACCATTTTCACGATATTGTTTCTTCCTATCCATGAGCATGGAATGTTCTTCCATTTGTTTGTGTCCTCTTTTATTTCATTGAGCAGTGGTTTGTAGTTCTCCTTGAAGAGGTCCTTCACATCCCTTGTAAGTTGGATTCCTAGGTATTTTATTCTCTTTGAAGCAATTGTGAATGGGAGTTCACTCATGATTTGGCTCTCTGTTTGTCAGTTATTGGTGTATAGGAATGCTTGTGATTTTTTCACATTGATTTTGTATCCTGAGACTTTGCTGAAGTTGCTTATCAGCTTAAGGAGATTTTGGGCTGAGACAATAGGGTTTTCTAAATACACAATCATGTCATCTGCAAACAGGGACAATTTGACTTCCTCTTTTCCTAATTGAATACCCTTTATTTCTTTCTCTTGCCTGATTACCCTGGCCAGAACTTCCAACCCTATGTTGAATAGGAGTGGTGAGAGAGGGCATCCTTGTCTTGTGCCCGTTTTCAAAGGGAATGCTTCCAGTTTTTGCCCATTCAGTATGATATTGGCTGTGGGTTTGTCATAAATAGCTCTTATTTTTTTGAGGTACGTTCCGTCAATACCTAGTTTATTGAGAGTTTTTAGCATGAAGTACTGTTGAATTTTGTCAAACGCCTTTTCTCCATCTACTGAGATAATCATGTGGTTTTTGTCACTGGTTCTCTTTATGTGATGGATTATGTATATTGGTTTGCATATGCTGAACCAGCCTTGCATCCCAGGGATAAAGCCAAACTGATTGTGCTGGATACGCTTTTTGATGTGCTGCTGGATTTGGTTTGCCAGTATTTTACTGAGGATTTTCGCATTGATGTTCATCAGGGATATTGGTCTAAAATTCTCTTTTTTTGTTGTGTCTCTGCCAGGCTTTGGTATCAGGATGATGCTGGCCTCATAAAATGAGTTAGGGAGGAGTCCCTCTTTTTCTGTTGATTGGAATAGTTTCAGAAGGAATGGTACCAGCTCCTCTTTGTACCTCTGGTAGAATTCGGCTGTGAATCCATCTGGTCCTGGACTTTTTTTGGTTGGTAAGCTATTAATTATTGCCTCAATTTCAGAGCCTGTTATTGGTCTATTTAGGGATTCAACTTCTTCCTGGTTTAGTCTTGGGAGGGTGTATGTGTGCAGGAATGTATCCATTTCTTCTAGATTTTCTAGTTTATTTGCATAGAGGTGTTTATAGTATTCTCTGATGGTAGTTTGTATTTCTGTGGGATTAGTGGTGATATCCCCTTTATCATTTTTTATTGTGTCTATTTGATTCTTCTCTCTTTTCTTCTTTATTAGTCTTGCTAGTGGTCTATCAATTTTGTTGATCTTTTCAAAAAACCAGCTCCTGGATTCATTGATTTTTTGAAAGGTTTTTTGTGTCTCTATCTCCTTCAGTTCTGCTCTGATCTTAGTTATTTCTTGCCTTCTGCTAGCTTTTGAATGTGTTTGCTCTTGCTTGTCTAGTTCTTTTAATTGTGATGTTAGGGTGTCAATTTTAGATCTTTCCTGCGTTCTCTTGTGGGCATTTAGTGCTATAAATTTCCCTCTACACACTGCTTTAAATGTGTCCCAGAGATTCTGGTATGTGTGTCTTCATTCTCATTGGTTTCAAAGAACATCTTTATTTCTGCCTTCATTTTGTTATGTACCCAGTAGTCACTCAGGAGCAGCTTGTTCAGTTTCCACGTAGTTTGCAGTTTTTAGTGAGTTTCTTAATCCTGAGTTCTAATGTGATTGCCCTGTGGTCTGAGAGACAGTTTGTTGTGATTTCTATTCTTTTACATTTGCTGAGGAGTGCTTTACTTCCAATTATGTGGTCAATTTTGTAATAAGTACAATGTGGTGCTAAGAAGGATGTATAATCTGTTGATTTGGGGTGGAGAGTTCTGTAGATGTCTATTAGGTCTGCTTGGTGCAGAGCTGAGTTCAAGTCCTGGATATCCTTGTTAACCTTCTGTCTTGTTAATCTGTCTAATATTGACAGTGGGTTGTTAAAGTCTCTCATTATTATTGTGTGGGAGTCTAAGTTTCTTTGTAGGTCCCTAAGGACTTGCTCTATGAATCTAGGTGCTCCTGTATTGGGTGCATATATATTTAGGATAGTTAGCTCTTCTTGTTGAATTGATCCCTTTACCATTATGTAATGGCCTTCTTTGTCTCTTGTGATCTTTGTTGGTTTAAAGTCTGTTTTTTCAGAGACTAGGATTGCAACCCCTGCCTTTTTTTGTTTTCCATTTTCTTGGTAGATCTTCCTCCATCCCTTTATTTTGAGCCTATGTGTGTCTCTGCACATGAGATGGGTCTCCTGAATACAGCATACTGATGGGTCTTGACTGTTTATCCAATTTGCCAGTCTGTGTCTTTTAATTGGGACATTTAGCCCATTTACATTTAAGGTTAATATTGTGTGTGAATTTGATCCTGTCATTATGATGTTATTTTGCTCGTTAGTTGATGCAGTTTTTTCCTAGCACTGATGGTCTTTATAATTTGGCATGTTTTTGCAGTCGCTGGTACTGGTTGTTCCCTTCCATGTTTAGTGCTTCCTTCAGGAGCTCTTGTAAGGCAGGCCTGGTGGTGACAAAATCTCTCAGCATTTGCTTGTCAATAAAGGATTTTATTTCTCCTTCACTTATGAAGCTTAGTTTGGCTAGATATTAAATTCTTGGTTGAAAATTCTTTTCTTTAAGAATGTTGAATATTGGCCCCCACTCTCTTCTGGCTTATAGAGAGAGTTTCTGCGGAGAGTTTTGCTATTAGTCTGATGGGCTTCCCTTTGTGGGCAACCTGACCTTTGTTTCTGGCTGCCCTTAACATTCTTTCCTTCATTTCAACCTTGGTGAATCTGATAATTATGTGTCTTGGGGTTGCTCTTCTCAAGGAGTATCTTTTGGTGTTCTCTGTATTTCCTGAATTTGAATGTTGGCCTGCCTTGCTAGGTTGGGGAAGTTCTCCTGGATAACATCCTGAAGAGTGTTTTCCAACTTGGTGCCATTCTCCCCATCACTTTCAGATACACCAATCAAACGTAGATTTGCTCTTTTCACATAGTCCCATATTTCTTGGAGGCTTTGTTTGTTTCTTTTTACTCTTTTTTCTGTAAAGTTCTCTTCTTGCTTCATTTCATTCGATACTCAATCACTGATACCCTTTCTTCCACTTGAACGAATTCAGCTACTGAAGCTTGTGCATGTGTCACGTAGTTCTCGTGCCATGGTTTTCAGCTCCATCAGGTCATTTAAGGTCTCTACACTGTTTATTCTAGTTAGCCATTCATCTAATCTTTTTTCAAGGTTTTTAGCTTCCTTGCGATGGGTTCGAATGTCCTCCTTTAGCTCGGAGAAGTTTGTTATTACCAAGTTTTTGAAGCCTACTTCTGTCATCTCGTCAAAGTCATTCTCCGTCCAGCTTTGTTCCGTTGCTGGCGAGGAGCTACAGTCCTTTGGAGGAGAAGAGTCACTCTGATTTTTAGAATTTTCAGCTTTTCTGCTCTGGTTTCTCCCCATCTTTGTGGTTTTATCTACCTTTGGTCTTTGATGATGGTGACATACAGATGGGGTTTTGGTGTGGATGTCCTTTTTGTTGATGTTGATGCTATTCCTTTCTGTTTGTTAGTTTTCCTTCTAACAGTTAGGACCCTCAGCTGCAGGTCTGTTGGAGTTTGCTGGAGGTCCTCTCCAGACCCTGTTTGCCTGCGTGTCACCAGCGGAGGCTGCAGAACAGCAAATATTGCAGAACAGCAAATATTGCTGCCTGATCCTTCCTCTGGAAGCTTCATCTCAGAGGGGCACCCTGCTATATGAGGTGTCTGTAGGCCCCTACTGGGAGATGTCTCCCAGTTAGGCTACTGAGGAGGTCAGAGACCCACTTGAGGAGGCAGTCTGTCCATTTTTAGAGCTCAAACTCCATGCTGGGAGAACCACTGCTCTCTTCAGAGCTGTCAGACAGGGACATTTAAGTCTGCAGAAGTTTCTACTGCCTTTTGTTCAGCTAAGCCTTGCCCCCAGAGGTGGAGTCTACAGAGGCAGGCAGGCCTCGAGCTGTGGTGGGCTCCACCCAGTTCAAACTTCCCAGCCGCTTTGTTTACCTGGTCAAGCCTCAGCAATGGCAGACGCCCCTCCTGCAGCTTGGCTGCCACCTCACAGTTTGATCTCGGACTGCTGTGCTAGCAGTGAGCAATGCTCCGTGGGCATGGGACCTACTGAGCCATGTGTGGGATATAATCTCCTGGTGTGCCGTTTGCTAAGACTGTTGGAAAAGCACAGTGTTATGGCGGGAGTGTCCCGATATTCCAGGTACCGTCTGTCCATCTGTCACGGCTTCCCTTGGCTAGGAAAGGGAAATCCCCCAACCCCTTGCGCTTCCCAGGTGACGTGATGCCCTGCCCTGCTTTGGCTCACACTCCGTGAGCTGCACCCACTGTCCAACCAGTCCCAGTGAGATAAACCAAGTACCTCAGTTGGAAATTCAGAAATCACCCGTCTTCCGCATTGATCATGCTGGGAGCTGTAGACCGGAGCTGTTCCTATTTGGCCATCTTGGAATGATCCACCTGCCACATTTTCTTTATCCAGTCTATCCTTGATGGACATTTGCATTGGTTCCAAGTCTTCACTATTGTGAACAGTGCCTCAATAAACATACGTGTGCATGTGTCTTTATAGTAGAAGGATTTATAATCCTTTGGCTATATACCCAGTAATGGATCATTATTTCTGTTTTTTCAATGGCAATTGTCTCCTGATCTGTTGGCTTCAGTATACTTGAGTAATGATAAAATCTACATTTTAAAACACATGAGATGTTTTTAATGTATATTTGCCTTCGTTTCTTTCAGCAATATTTTGTGGTTTTTCTTGTGCAAATCTTTCGTCTCCATTGTTGTTTATTCCTAAGTATTGTATTCGTTTCCATGCTATTGTAAATAAGATTGTTTTCTTAATTTTCATTTTGGATTGTCTGTTGTTAGTATATAGAAATGCAAATAATTTTTGTGTGTTGATTTTGTATCCTACAATTTTGCTGAATTTATTTTTTGTGTGTAAGTATGACTAAGATCGTGTCATCTACAGAGATGTTTTTACTTCTTTCTTTCCAATTTGAATGGCTTTTATTTTTCTTGCCTAATTTTTCTGGCTAGAACTTAAATTTCTAGCCCATGGAAAAAGCAGGCATATTTGTCTTTCTCCTGATCATTGGTGAAAGACTATGATGTCAGCTGCAGATTTTTATATATGGCCTTTATTATGTTGAGGAAATGTCCTTCTATTTCTAGTGTATTGAGTATTTTATCATTTAAAAAAGTTAATATTTTTCTGCATTGATTGAGATGATTATGTGTTTTTTCCATTCTTCTCTGCATGTGGTGCATTAAATTAATTGATTTTGTTTGTTGAATCCTCTTTGTACTCAAGGAGTAAATCCTCCTTGGTCATGATATATAACCCTTTTAAAATGCTGGTGAATTTTAGTTGCTAATATTTCTGTTGAGGAACTTTTCATCAATATTCATAATCTTTCCTTGTCATGTTTTTGCCTGGCTTTGCTATCAGGGTAATCCTGGTCTCATAAAATGAGTTAGAAAGTGTTACCTCCATTTCAGTTTTCTGGAAGAGTTTGAAAAGGATTATTGTTTATTCTTCTTTAAATATTTGGTAGAATTCACTGGTAAAGCCCTCTGGTGCAGGATTGTTCTTTGCTGAGTGGTTTGATTACTGATTTTATGTCCTTACTAGTTATAAGTCAGTTCAGATTTTGTATTTCTCCATGACTCAGGCTTGGTAGTTGTATGTTCCTACAAATTCATTCGTTTCATCTATGTTATTCAATATTTTGGCATGCAGTTGTTCATAGTACTCTGAGATCATCCTTTTTATTTCTGTAAAATCATAAGTAATGCTCTCACTTTCATTTCTGGTTTTAGTTATTTGAGTCTTCTCAATTTTTCTTAGTCCGGCTAAAAGTTTGTCAATTTGTTGATCTTTTCAAATTATTAAGTTTTGGTTTTGTTGAATTTCTCTATTATTTACCTATTCTCTATTTATCTCAATTCCTTTTTTCTGCTAAATTTATGTATACTTTACTTGTCTAATTCCTTAAGGTGTAAAGTTAGGTTATTTATTTGAAATTTTTATTTTTCTTTAACGTAGGTATTTACAGCTATAAATTTCCCTCTGAGTACTGCTTTCACTGCATCTCACAAGTTTTAGTATGTTGTGGTTTTGTTTTTATTTGTCTCAAGGCAGTTGCTACATTTTCTTCTGATTTCTTCATTTATCTTTTGGTTGGTTAAGAGTGTTTTGCTTAATTTCCACATATTTATGTATTTTCCAGTTTTCCTTTTGCTATTGTTTTCTAGTTTTATTCCTTTGTGATAAGAAAATATACTTTGTATGATTTCAGTCTTTTTAAATGTAATAAAATTTGTTTTGTGGAGTAACATGGTTTACCCTGGATATGTTCTGTGCACACTTGAGAAAAATCTGTGTTCTGTTTTTGTTGGGTGGCATGCTCTGTGTATGTTAGGTTAAATGGGCTCTCTCTGTTTCCTTATTGATCTTGAACCCAGGAGGCGGAGGTTGCAGTGAGCCGAGATTGCACCACTGCACTCCAGCCTAGGTGACAGCAAGACTGTGTCTCAAAAAAAAAAAAAAAAAAGAAAAGAAAAAAGATATGCTTGTCAATCTATGTAAAATAACCACAGAGATTTTGAAAGGAATCGTATTCAATCTGTAGGACAAATTGAGGGGTATTACCATCTTAACAATATGGAGTCTTCTGATCATGTAAGTGAGGCATCTTTCCATTTACTATGATTTAATTTCTTTCCATTTCTTTCTTATAGTTTTCTGTGTAGAACTCTTGCACTTCTTTTGTTAAATATACTTTGTCATTTTAATTGTTCAATTAAAATTGAACAAATTGAAAAATTGTTTGTTAAGTCTGGTTCTAGCACTGATCCCTAGAAAACTTAAAAGAGACACTTTATCTCTCTATTTTTGTCCCCTATAAGTAATAACATGGTCCTGTATTCATTTTTTAAAACTTTGAAAAATATGCATTTCCAAAGATTCTCACATTCATTCATTCATTTATTCAGCAAACATTTATTAAACACCTTCTATGTGCCAGGCAGATACAGATATCTGCCCTTATACAGACTAAAGCCATAGAATTTAATATTGACATATCAATAAAACTCAGTAAAAATATTTAAAATAGCCTCTGAAAACTTATATCACTTATTTGAATCTTTTATCAGACTTATACATTATATTCAAGTTTTTTTGTTAAAACTTGAAATACCACATATATCTATAAACAACTACCTCTAAAGAAAATGGATAGTTCATAAAGATTATTGCTAAAATTTTGTGAGCTTTTTCTTCCTTTTTATCTTATTTTTAATGTTTGTTTCTAACCATTGTGAGTGAATTAAAATGTATTTAAATTTTTTAAATACCTTCTGGGTGAGTACATAAAAAGAAAAGAGATGTTAATATAAGTGGTTTATAGCTTCATTTAAGTGTTTTTCATGTCTTAACAATATAAGGTGAATTACTGGGGAGATGATCTCTGGGCTTTTAAGAATCACAGTACTGCCACTCACTAGCTGACTCATTTTGATGAAGCTTCTTGACTTTCTGAGCCCTGATTCTATCCTTTATGGATAGATTAATGGAGATGATAATACTCATTATTTAACCCATTTTAATTGTAGACGTTAAACTAGATAATATTTGTGAATGTATTCTGAAAACTCTAAGGCACTGTATGGATGTATTATTTTACATGATATTCGATTTCTGTCAACTCTCCCACAGGAGTACCAGCTCATGATAGGAGTCAGTAATTGGATGCTCTGGGCAGCCTATTTCTTCACGTTCCTCTCTTTGTATTTTATTATCATCATTTTTATGTGCATAATTTTCTTTGTCAAGGCAAGTGTCTATTTGGCTGCAGCATGTTGTGGATAAACTTTGAGAGGGAAAGTAGAAACATGGTGTGGGGCCAGATGGGCCTCGGGTTTCTAGGGGATGAAAATGTGGCTTTTGTTGACTTCACAGTGGAAACTCAGAGACTGCTTAGTCTCTCAGCAAACAAAACTTTAGACCTAGAGGGATGGGCCATCTGTAGGAAATAAATTGTTAACTCTCCATCTCACTAAGCAGAGTCATCAGTTTCACTAAGACTATTAAAACACTTATGGATGTTTCATTTTTCCTCTTTGGTTTTGGTGTGATACCGCTTACAGCATGACTAAACTGGTTTCCTAATTGTTTTGCTAGGTTGAACCTGCACCAGTCATCCAAAGCAGTGACCCAACGCTTATCTTTATCTTTTTGCTGTTTTATGCCATCGCCACAATATGCTTCAGCTTTATGGTTAGCACTTTCTTCAGTAGAGGTGAGTCTGAGATTCCAGTGGTGAAATATTCTCAGTAACTACACTTTAGCTGCCAACTCATCTACAGCCTCTGTTTACACACTCTAACCGAAAAGACAAATATCATGTACACGTGAAATGATTTGGAAGGGAATGAAGAGAGCAATGACAATTAATGTAGCACAGGATACATGTGAAAAAAGACAAAAACCAAAATAAGATCATGTCTGTGTGTTCTTTCTAACCTTTAGCTGCTACTTCATGTATGGTATTTGTCCAACCCTTCCAGCAGGAAGGGTTGAGATGGAGATGGCTTCTGTATATTCCATTGGAGGGACTGATGTATGCTAGTATCTGATGATGAGAGTGATATATGTGAAGAGAAAGAAAATGGCAGTGCTACTTCAATGAAAGAAAGGGTTCTTGCACTTAATTAATAGATCCTCATTGTGTGTCTTCTGTGTATTTGTGTGTTTTTGTTTTGCTTTCTTTTCTGTTTTGTTTGTTTGTTTTGAGACAGAGTCTCACTCTGTGGCCCAGGCTGGAGTGCAGTGGCTCAATCTCGGCTCACTGCCACCTCCACCTCCCGGGTTCAAGCGATTCTCCTGCCTCATCCTCCCGAGTAGCTGGGACTACAGGCGCCTGGCACCATGCCCGGCTAATTTTTGTATTTTTAGTAGAGACGGGGTTTCACCATGTTGGCCAGGCTGGTCTTGAACTCCTGACCTCAGGTGATCCACCTGTCTCAGCCCCACAAAGTGCTGGGATTACAGGCATGAGCCACCGTGCCCAGCCTATGTATCTGAAATATACTGTCTGCCCCACAGAGCTAATATTGACCTTGGGGACATGAATATTATATGCACAAAAAGTAGTTTATAAAATACATTAGTCAGGGTCACATGATTTGCAGAGTACAACTGGGGACCCAGGAAAACCAGTGGTATAATTCCAGTCTGACTCTGAAGGCCTGAGAACCAGGGGAGGTGGTGGTGTAAATCCCAGTTCAAAGGCTGGAACAGACTAATGTCCCAGTCAAGAAGGCAACAAGGAAGAAATGAGAGCAAATTCCCCCTTCCTCCACCCTTTTGTTCTTTTCAGGCCCTCAACAGATTGGATGATGCCTGCCCACATTGGGGAGGACCATCTGCTTTACTGAGTCCACTGATTCAAATGCTTATCTCATTTGGCAACCTCCTCACAGACACACCCAGAAATAATGTTTAATCTGTATACTCCATGGAGAGTCAAGTTGGCACATAAAATGAACCACCATAAGAAGACATGCAGAGAACAATGAAAATTAACAAAGCATAGTGTACACATTTAAAAAAAAAAAAATGGATTAAGATATTCCAGGTCGAGGCCGGGCGCGGTGGCTCATGCCTGTAATCCCAGCACTTTGGGAGGCCGAGGCGGGCAGATCACGAGGTCAGGAAATCGAGACCATCCTGGCTAACATGGTGAAACCTCGTCTCTACTAAAAATACAAAAAAAATTAGCCAGGCATGGTGGCGGGCGCCTGTAGTCCCAGCTACTCGGGAGGCTGAGGCAGGAGAATGGCGTGAACCCGGGAGGCGGAGCTTGCAGTGAGCCGAGATCACGCCACTGCACTCCAGCCTGGGGGACAGAGCGAGACAACATCAAAAAAAAAAAAAAAAAAAAAAAGATATTGCAGGTTGAGATAGGCCTGGAAATGCTATGCTTCAATCAAGGTAGGTTTGTGAAGGATTTGAAGATGGGAATGAATAGGAAGTCAAGTCAGTGGATGCAGCTATACATTCATTCATTTGTTAACATTTTTGGATATCTGTGACTGGGCATGGTGGCTCACACTTGTAATCCCAGCACTTTGGGAGGCTGAGGTGGGTGGATCACTTGAGGTCAGGACTTCGATACCAACCTGGCCAGCATGGTGAAACTCCGTCTCTATTGAAAATACAAAAATTAGCCATGTGTGGTGGTGGGCACCTGTAATCCCAGTTACTCAGGAGGCTGAGGCAGGAGAGTCACCTGAACCTGGGAGGTGGAGGTTGCAGTGACCCGAGATCGTGCCACTGCACTCCAGCCTGGGCAACAGAGTAAGAGTCCGTCTCAAAAAAAAAAAAAAGAAAAATGTGGATATCTGAACTTGTACCATGTCTAATATACAAAGACCAAGAAAAATCATTTCTTTTCCCATTGAGGGCTCACATGCAAAGTGTTTTATGAATTTACAGCCTCACTAGAAGGAGATGAGAATTCCTCATGCTCCATATTCTTGCCAATATTTAGAATTGCCAAGCTTTTAATTGTGCCAAATTAGGGATATGAAATGTTATCGCATAGCAATTTAAATCTACATTTCCCAATTGTTAATGAAGCTGTGTGTTACTAATATGAGTCATGTGTGTCTCCTCTTCTGTAACTGTTAGCGCATTCTGATTTTTTATAGTTATTGAAATTTTCTGACAATATTTTTACTTAAAGTCTATTTTGTCTGATATTCATATAACCACCCTGATCTCTTTTTGTTATTTTCATGGAGTATCTTTTTCCATCCTTTCACTTTCAACCAGTTTGTATATTTGAATCATTTTTAAAAAATCCATTCTGCCACCCTTGCCTTTTATTGAAGATAATAATACAGAACATTGGCCGGGCGTGGTGGCTCACACCTGTAATCCCAGCAGTTTGGGAGGCTGAGGCAGACACATCACAAGGTCAGGAGTTCGAGACCAGCCTGACCAACATGGTGAAACCCTGTCTTTACTAAAAATACAAAAATTAGCTGGGCGTGGTGATACGTGCCTGAAATCCCAGCTATTCAGGAGGCTGAGGCAGAAGAACTGCTTGAACCTGGGAGGCAGAGGTTGCAGTGAGCCAAGATCGTGCCACTGCATTCCAACCTGGGTGACAGAGCGAGACTCCATCTCAAAAAAAAAAAAAAAAATACAGAACTGACATCTGCCGTTTTGGTATTTGTTTTATATATGTCATATCTTTTTTCTCTCATAGCTTCCATTTTGAGTCCCATCTAATTTCCTTTTCTGTATATTTTCTAGTTCTTCTCTGAGGGGATAATTTGGATTTTACAATTAGTATCTTAAACAATTTAATTTGGGTTAATAACAATTTAGCTTTAATACTATACAAAAGCTCTTCTGTCAAGCTTCAGCCCCTCTTTGTGTTGGTATTTTTGCAAATTACATCTTTATATTGTGTGCCTATTAACATGTTTATCATTATTTTATGCATTTATCTTTTAAATCATATAGAAGGAAAAAGAAACCATTATCATAACACTGGCTTTTATATCTGCCTATGTAGTTACCTTCACTGGAGCTCTTTATTTTTTCATGTGACTTCATGTTACCATCTAATGTCCTTTCATTCAGCTGAAAGAACTATATTATAGGGCAGGTGTATTAGCAAATTTTCTTAGCTTTTGCTAATCTGGCAATTTCTAATATCTCCTAATTTTTTTTTTTTTTTTTTTTTTTTGAGACAGAGTCTTGCTATGTTGCTGAGGCTGGAGTACAGTGGCCTTTCTACTACAATGAGGAATTCTGCCTTGGGACTTGAGAGAGGTAGCAGTCCTAGGGTGTGGGTTAGGGGCATTCACTGAAATACCATGTAGCAGCGTAACCTGTGGCTATTGAAATGTGGCTGTAGGAATATTGCTCATGACTTGACTTCTGCTCTTGAATATTCATAGCTGGGCAGCAGAGAGCGATGTGAGGACTATACTTATGGCATGATACCATTTTTATTGCAAATATATAGGTATATGTGGAAGTTGATTAAAAATTTATGTGTGATCATTTTTACAGTGCCTATCTCTAGGTAGTAGGATAATTTTTATTTTTCCCTTTGTCTTTTATTGTAGTTTCTCAGTTATTTCCAATAAGCACTGCATTAATTTTATAGTTGTAAAAAATGTTGTTTAAAAGTCAGGGAGCCCAGGCGTGGTGGCTCATGCCTGTAATCCCAGCACTTTGGGAGGCTGAGGCAAACTGATCACCTGAGGTCAGCAGTTCGAGATCAGCCTGGACAACATGGTGAAACCCCGTCTCTACTAAAAATACAAAACTTAGCCAGGTGTGGTGGCACATGCCTCTAATCCCAGCTACTTGGGAGGCTGAGGCAGGAGAATTGCTTGAATCCAGGAGGTAGAGGTTGCAGTGAGCTGAGATTATGCCACCGCACTGTAGCCTGGGTGACAGAGCGAGACTATATCTCAAAAAAAAAAAAAAAAAAAAAAAAAGCCGGGTGCTGTGGCTCACATGTGTAATCCCAGCACTTTGGGAGGCCAAGGTGGGCAGATCAAGAGGTCAGGAGATCGAGACCATCCTGGCTAACACGGTAAAACCCCATCTCTACTAAAAATGTCAAAAAAATTAGCCGGGCGTGATGGCGGGCGCCTGTAGTCCCAGCTACTCGGGGGGCTGAGGCAGGAGAATGGCGTGAACCTGGGAGGCGGAGCTTACAGTGAGCCTAGATCACGCCACTGCACTCCAGCCTGGGCTACAGAGCAAGACTCTGTCTCAAAAAAAAAAAAAAAAAAAAAAAAAAAAGTCAAGGAGAGGAGATTTCTGTCAGGCACAATTTCTGTCAGGCACAGTAGCAGGAACCAGATTGAATTCTCTTGCCATTGAAATCTGGACAAAAATCTGTGAATCGGCTGTCCTAAGACATTAGACAAGCAACAGCACAGGACCGTGATCCTGAGAGAAGGAACATGAGAGGAGGGGACAGGGAGATGCCAGGCAGAGATAGCTACATCACTGCATGGAGGAGATGGGTTGGAGTTGAGAGAGGCTGAGGCAGCAGAAAGTTGTGGAATCAAGTTCTTAAGAGCAGAGGGTTACACGGGGACCTTCTTGGGTGTTTGGGGGATTCCAAGGCAGGCATGAGCTCAATGGCTCCTAAGCTCACCCCAGGCTGGGTGGTGGTTGGATTCCCACTAGCCAGAGTCCTCAGTGATCAGTCACTGCACTAGCTGGCCATGCCTACTGGCAGGCTAAACTGTCCCTAGAATAAAGGCAGAGCTTAAGAGAGCCTGAGAAAGATCACATTAAATCACAAGTAACAACACTTTTAAAAGAAAGACAGCAAAACCTAGACACCCAACAAAGTAAAATTCACAATCTCCGGTATCTAGTCCAGAGTACCAGGAAGCAGGAGATTGTGACCTATGATCAGAAAATCAGTAAATAGGAAGGGACCCTGTCTGGAATTAACTGACCAGGACATTGAAATCTATTAAAATTACATTCAGGAATTTAAAGGAAAAAAGGAACATAGCAAGGAGAGAAATAGAAGACATAAAAAAGAACCGTATGGAACTCCTAGACTCGAAGAGCGAGGAGAGTTGCTGCCAGGCTTGCCTTCCATGTGTTTCGGGTACGTGCATTTGGTAAGGTTAGCGGTCTGCTTCATCCAATGGGGAATCAAAACCCAAGTTAAATGACTTGCCAGGACCTTAGTGAGCAAGAAGCTGCTGTTATATAACCTGACGACTGCCAGATATGTTGGCCTGCGTCATTAGGATACCAGAATCTTGAAAGGGTAAATTTAATGAGCTGAAATTTCATAGCTGGAAATGTAGACTCAGAACATTTGCACAGTAGTAGACGGTGGTGTAACATTGTGTGAAGCCGAGTGTTTTGCTGGCTGCGCTGGTGTGCAGGAGCTTCCTCGGAGCCCTTGTGGTTGGAAGGTGCACTCTGTAGCACACCCATTCTTAGCTTGTCTACCCTGTGGCCCCAGTGGAGCGTTTTGGAGCTGCTGGGAGGAGCTGTCCAGGGACAGACTGTCATGGTGGCAGTGGGCTGGAAACTGTTGTCTTTGGGGAAACGGTTAGAAATTGAGATTTCACAAGGTTTGATAATGGTTAGATGCCTGGAGAAGCAGCACATAAGTGAAGAATTAGGCTGGTTTTGTAGGTGCTAAGAGGGTCAGTGGAGGAACAGCAGCTCCGCGGAGGTGGGCTTCAGCCCAGCTGGGATTTTGTCATTTTCTTCCTGGGGTGCACAAGGCTTGCTCGAGGACCTGTGGTGGTGAGTGCTCTGTAACTGCTCAGGCGGACAGGAAACCGCCGTGGAGCACGCAGCACTGCCTGGCGGTGGTTGCTTTGGGACATGACCCATCACTGGAGGTGCTCAGGTGGAGTCAGGGTCTTTGGCTGGAGCCAAGCTCTCCACATGCAGCATGCAGGTGGGCATGTTGAATCTCCTTTGAATCTCATGAATTTGAGATTCTGATTTAGTGTAGCTAGGCAATTTCTAGCATATTGCAAGTATCAACATTCTGTTATGTGGCTGGGCACAGTGGCTTACACCTATAATCCCAGCATTTTGGGAGGCCAAGGCAGGCGGATCATTTGAGGTCAGGAGTTCAAAACCAGCCTGGCCAACCTGGTGAAATCCCTTCTCTACAAAAAAATACAAAAAAAAAATTAGCCCAGCATGATGGTGGGTGCCTGTAATCCCAGCTACTTGGAAGGCTGAGGCAGGAGAATCGCTTGAACTTGAGAGGCGGAAGTTGCAGTGAGCCAAGGTCACACCACTACACTCCAGCCTGGGTGACAGAGCAAGACTCTGTCTCAAAAAAAAAAAAAAACCAACATTTTATTGTTACTTTAAAAAATGTATTCAGTGGAATCTATGTACTATGGCAATTTAATACCTACCATTAGCTATTGGTAAAAAATACATGGAAAGCTTTTCTCTCCCCTTCCCCTCTCCGCCCCTCCCCTTCCCCCTCTCCGCCCCTCCCCCTCCCCCTCTCCGCCCCTCCCCCTCCCCTCCCTCCTCCCCTCCCCCCTCCTTCCTTCCTCTCTCTTGCCCTCCCCTCTCTTGCCCCTCCCCGTCCCTTCCCCCGCTCACTCTGTTGCCTGGAGCTAAGTGCCATGGTGCCATCTCAGCTCACTGTAATCGCCTACTCCCAGGTTCAAGTGATTCTCCTACTTCAGCCTCCCAAGTAGTTGGGACTACAGATGCGTGCCGCCACACCTGGCTAATTTTTGTATTTTTAGTAGAGACAGGGTTCACCATGTTGGTCAAGCTGGTCTCGCACTCCTGACCTGAAGTGATCTTGCCTGCCTTGGCCTCCCAAAGTACTGGGATTACAAGCGTGAGCCACCACGCCTGGCCCGCTTCTCTTTAATAATCAGAAATTTTATGTCTTTCATTTTTCTCCTTTCATTCATATCAACATTCTACTTCTCTCACAGAATTTCATCTTTCTGCTTCCCTCCCCTGTCCCCTCGAGATGGAGTCTTGCTCTGTTGCCCAGGCTGGAGTGTAGTGGTGCCATTTTGACTCATTACAACCTCCGCCTCCCAGGTTTAAGTGATTCTCCTGCCTCAGCCTCCTGAGTGCCTGGGATTACAGACCCCCACCACCACACCTGTCTAATTTTTGTATTTTTAATAGAGATGGGGTTTCACCATGTTGGCCAGGCTGGTCTTGAACTCGTGACCTCAGGTGATCTGGCTGCCTTGGCCTCACAAAGTGCTGGGATTACAGGTGTGAGCCACCGTGCCCAGACTACATTTTTATGCTTAAAAGCTTTTTAAAATTAGTCATTATAATTCTCTGCAACAAAACTACGTGTATACAATGAAAATTAAAGTTTTTCTGTGCTCTTAATATTCTAAGAGTTTAAGAAAATTATGATTGAGACATCATTACAGTGAAAATTAATACACAGTACATCAAAGCAAATGTATCTCATTTTGATTAAACACAGCAAGTAAAATTTGTTGGAAATGTATCTTTAAGTGCGTGGATGAGACTTTTGCTCTATTAGTTTAATTACCCATGGACAAATATTGCCAGCCTGAAACAGCTTTTAATGTCCACTTTAAGAACTTCATTCATTTAAATAAGTTGGGACTAAAAGGGGTTTTGTCATAGCAGCATCACGCCACTCTCAGGCCCTTCTGCATTCCATGTCGGAAACCTCAGTTCCTAAGACTCACTCGTAGTGATCTCTGCAGAAGAGTGGAGATGCAGTGAGCCGAGGAAAAATGAAGCATTTCCTCTTCTCTGCTGTGGGAGTCGAGAGTGAGGGACGGGGGTGCACACATGCTGCACAAGGCAATGCCTAAGAAACTTCTCGTTCACCCCGTTCACACCTGTTGCCCCCACAGAGCCGATGATGAGCACCCCACCTCCTGCCAGAGAGCTCCTGCAGCCACAGCCGCAGCCGCAGGCCCTGCACTACGCGCTGGCCAACGTGCAGCAGGTGCAGATCCACCAGATCGGAGAAGACGGACAGGTGCAAGTAGTACGTACCCTCTCCACCTCGCACCTTGGGAAAGGGGGCTGCGGGGTGGGCCACGGCAGGGCCCTGGCGGCTTCCACCAGTTCCGCTGTGTTTCGGGAGCACAGTGATAGCTTGGGAGGAGGCACAAGGTTCCCATTTAAAGTAGAGGTCATCATGGCCATGAGCTCTTAACATTTCACAGGTGGGGGCGGCTGCTGCAGAGCCTAGGGATTGAAGCACATGGTGGGGTGGGGCGTTCAGTCAGCTCACCTCAGTCCTGCCAGCAGGCAGGCGGGCAGTCAGCTCCAAGGGTCAGGCTGTGCAGTGGTCCCTGCCCCAGCTCGTGCTCCTGGGAAGCATCGGAAATATTTCTCAGCTCAGAAGTGCAGGCGTCCTCTTACTGAGGGAAAGAGTAATTTCCTTCTAGGATCAGTGGCAAAAGCTTGAGGTCATTGTTCCCATGCAGCGTTTCCCTTGGAGTTACTCAGCACACCCAGGTTGGGCGGGCACTGTCCCAGCAGCAAGTCAATGTCCTGCCTTGCCCATGCGGAGTTCTCTGTTGGGGTTTTGTGACCCAAGCTGTGGTCAGTCTGATGCGCCTAGGGGCTCGCTCCCGGGTGAAGTCCCTCTACAAACACCTCCTGGATTCTGTGGCACGAGAGTAGGGGGCGGCTGAGAAGAAGACTTTTCTGGAAGCTTTGCTGAGTGACTAGAAATTTTACATGCACCACTAGACATCGCCTATGTTTTTAGTGGCACCAGCCCCCTTGGGCCCTCTGAAGACAGGTCATCGTGTGCCTCCGTGTTACCAGGGCTTTCTCCTGGAAACAAGGTCCTCCACTGTTGAGAGTGGGTCGTGGCTCTCATCTCAGTGTGGCTTCAGCGTGCTGTCTGGAAGAGGGAAGGCTTCCAGAAAATTCTGGGGCTTTTAGAGGGGGCATTACCCTTCCTCTTCCAAAGGAGATGAGACAGTTATGAATAGTGAATCTTATTTAATAAGCTTATTAATTTATTTGACATTCACAATGGCAGTTCCTCTCATCTTGTTAGTAAGAAGTTCTTTGAAAGCGTTCCAGAGTAGATAACTTTGTCATAAGGCTTACATAGAACATTCTACAGGAGTTTAAGATCCATTTCGACTAAGAGAGAATTTCAAATAAGATAAGTATTCATTTCATTTACAGGTTTATAGGAAATATTTGTCTGCCCATATGTATAAACAGTGGATTCTTTGATTTTTTTTGAATCACATTTGTTAGTGTTTCCTCAAACTGTTTAAATAGTCATATGAGTGTTTCTTTGATTTGAAAAATGTTGCCTGCCCTGTTGTGAGTGTAGGCACGCAAACAGCTCCCCTGCTTCAGCCATACACTGCTTGCGTAGCCTCCCAGCATCCCCAGAGAGCTGAACGTATCATTTGAAAAGAGGTGTCATTGTGATTTTCTATTTCCCCTCTTTTCTGTGTGTCATGCACATTTTAAAATTTACTTGTTTAGTAACATTTAAAGATGTATATATCTTTCCTGGGACCTATTGCTCCTTTGTGAAGTACTGGAACATGTTCTGTGTTACACAGTACCCCCCCTTACCCATGCTTCCACTTTCCTAGGTTTTAATTACCCATAGTCAACTGTGATCTGAAAATATTAGATGAGAAACTCCAGAAATAAACAATTTGTAAGTTTCAGATTGCATACTCTTCTGGGTAGTAGCATGATGAAGTCTGATCGTCCTGCTGTGTCCAGCCTGGGACGTGAGTCATTCCTTTGTCCAGCATGTCCAAGCTGTGTGGCACGTATGGGCAGGAAAAAGCATAGCATATACGGGGTTCCGCACCATCCACGGTTTCTGACGTCCACGTGGTGGGGGGAGGGGGCGCTTCTTGAAACCCTCATGGATGAGGGGGACTACTGTGAACCAAAAGCTTAATTTAAAGAGGTGACCACAGACTATATTGCACTATTCAGGATTTAGTTATCTTTTTGAATTGTAAACAGATAATCAAGAACAAACATTCCGGAAGATGTTTCTTGTTTCCTTTGCTTTTTATTTTCTTCTGATGCTTCTTGGTGTCTTTTCTTGCTGCGGATCCCACAGGGACACCTCCACATCGCCAAGGTGCCGCAGGGGGAGCAAGTCCAGATCACGCAGGACAGCGAGGTGAGTCATCTCTCGCTGCAGCCCTGTCCCTGCAGGCACTGTGCCCGCATGCTCCTGACCTTCATCGGTGTCACAGTGCGAGGGCAGCAGGGAGCCCCCAGGATGGGGAACATGGGCGAGGGCTGCAGGACTCCGCTTCCAGGGTGCACATAGCAGGCCTGCAGTCTCTGTGGCCTCACTGCCTCCCCCTCCTGTCCGTTGGTCTCCACAGCTTCTGGTCTGTCTTGGCAAAGATCTCCTGGGTAGATGTTTCTGCTTCTGGCTCGAAGTGCCCTCTGAGTACCCTTCTCTCCCTGTCTGGCCCTGCCCTTCCTGCCAGGGGAGGGCCCCAGTGTGGCCGAGATGGGGTCTGCCCCTGCACAGGTGACCTGACATACCCCCTCACCTGCCATGTGGCCCCAGCTTCCTGGTGGCCTCTACGGGATTAGTGCCGATTTCATAGGATGGTGGGGAATCCCACAAGGTGATGCTGCCAGTCCTGAGAGCTGGTCATAGCCCTGACGCACCTGCCATGTCTGTGATTGTCTCAGTTTCTGGAGCTCTACCCAGCCACGCGCTCAGAAGTGCGGGCTCAGCTGCTGTTGGGGTCTGGAATGTGAAGGCGGGAGTGACAGTCTGAGTTCTTGGAAAGCCGAGGCCGGCCGGTTGCGATGCTCCGTGTTTGCGTGCCAGAGCAGGACTGTCTTCCGGGTGGCTGGTGACCATCCTTCGACTCTGGGCTGTTTCCTGCAGCACAGGCAGCAGCAGGCACAGGGCAGTAAGCAGCGCACACGTGCTGTACTGAGTGACCGTGGTGCGCTCTGGGGGATGAGGAACATGGCTGTTTCTAGGTCGTGCCAATGGCACCAGCTTTGTGTTTGGTGTATAGTAGTGTATCGCTACGAAGATCTCAGGCTTCCCCACACACACCAGCAGCAGAGACTAGGAAGCCCGGGTGCTGAGGTCAAGGGGACTCATGGAGATGTTGGCGTGCGAGGGCTCCCGGGAGCTCATGCTGGGTGCAGGTGCTGTGGGGGAGCAGAGGAGAGAGAAGCCCTGCCATCGGGGACTCATAGCGGGCGCAGAGCCTCCTGCCCAAGTGCCCATGAGCAAGACTGTGGACACATGCATGCCGTGGCACGTGGAGCACCAGGGACTTGGGCGTGTCTGCTGGCAGTGGCTTTAATTTGGACACCAGCAGTTCCCAGTGGGTTATTCTGAGAGGGGAGCACATGCATAAGGGTTCCGGGGCGGAATGAGGAAGAGGTGAAAGGGGAGGAATGAATTCATATGGGGGCCATGAGCGACTGGGAATGAGTGGGCTCATCCACACAGCGACATGACCAGGTCACTAAGAAACATATGGTCAGATGGATGGATGGAAGGAAGCACCAGGGCGGGGAGCAGGTAGGGGACGGTCCCAGGAGGCCAGAGTGTCCAGGAAGGGGCAGGGCCTGGTTCTGTGTCTGTGGGTGGGCCAGGGACCATCTCCCTGGAGATGTCGGGAGATGCGCCTGTCAGCTCAGCAAGGTCAGGTGCAGGAGTTGGGGGCCTGAGTGGCTGCGAGGTGCAGGATCCCAGCAGCACCTTCCAGTGCAGGAGCTGCCTTTGAGGGGCAGGGGAAGGTTGGCTTCTCAAGGCACAGACAGGTGGGGGCTGGGAGGCTAAGCTCACTGCCAGAGACCTCAGCCAGAGTTCTTGAATACCTGGAAGCCTATGAAGTTCGTCGGAATGCTTAATTTCCTTAGAGTCATTGAAAATGCAGGAAAATTGAAACGGCAGCAAAAGAAAAAAATCAACACACATTTGCTTTTTATAGTTTATGCTAAAAAATCTTGACTACTGGAATTTCAATTTTTTATTATTAGTTTTATCCTTCAGTTTTCAAAACTGAATCCATCTTGTATAGGTGATTGTCTTTCATTTTCATTAGGAATTGAATGCAGTAAGTTAGAAATTGCTAATAATACTAACGATGGCTTTGTGATAAGTGACAGTATGCAGTCTCCTCACCATAAATTCATACCATGTTCATTTAAAATTATTTTGTTAAAACAGGATATCTGCAAATAAACATTTAGCAGGGTCTAACAGACATAAAACAGTTCCTTTTTACAACAAATGAAAATGAATTTCTAACTGGAGAGCTCTTAGTAGCTCTGTGGTTGAGTGAGTTGGTTCCTTGCGTGCAGCCCGTGACCTGGCGTGGTGATGCCGCACAGCTCAGCAAGGCGTCCCCCTTTGGGGAAGCTGGGTGACATGCACATAGCACCTCTCTCTGCTACTTTCTGTACTTTTTGTGAGTCAGATTCTTTCAAAATAAAAAATGAAGTAAAAATGACATTTTCATTTGGGGTCAGGGTGGGGGAATGGGTACAGTGCTTTTTGAGTTGTTTGTTCATCTTTAAAATAATAAATAGTACCTAGAAATCTAAATATTTTGTTTTGGGGCTTTTGTTGCTACTGGAGGTTGAATTTTTGCAGAACTAGTGTTTTTCTTGTTATTCTCAAGTGGCCTGTGATGTGTCTTGGCGTGTTTGCCGTGTCTGCGGGTGTCTTGGCGTGTTTGCCGTGTCTGCGGGTGTCTTGGTGTGTTTGCCGTGTCTGCGGGTGTCTTGGCGTGTTTGCCGTGTCTGCGGGTGTCTTGGTGTGTTTCTACTCATGACCGTTCCTCCTCTCGTTCTTTGTAGGGCAACCTCCAGATCCATCACGTGGGGCAGGATGGTCAGGTGAGTGTCCCAGTCCCCATGCACATGCGGGCATTGCGCTGCCAAGGGGTGGGGTTCTCAGGGGAGGGGGTGGGACGGTCAGGTGAGTGCCCTGGTCCCCATGTACATGTGGGCATTGTGCTGCCGAGGGGTGGGGCTCTCATGGGAAGGGGGCGGATGGTCAGGTGAGTGCCACAGTCCCCCTCTCACATATAGGCCATTGTGCTGCCAAGGAATGGGGGCTCTCATGGGAGGAAGCGAGGGTGCAAAGGCCTCTCAGTGTGAGCCCCAGAGCAGGACTGGCTTTCCTCACCATGGCAATGCACAGGCCTGGAAGGGGGAGGGCGGGGCTTGGGGGTTACATTTGCTGCTCTGTAGGATTTCAGCAGCTTTTGCATTATGGCGGAAACATGCCCTCCCACCCCCACCACCCCACCCCCTTCAGATGGTTATTTTCTGCACACGCATGCGTATGTTGATGGTGGTCATATCTGCACAGATAACTCTGTTAGAAAAAGGTGGTTTCGCTCCTGTGTATTGCCATCAAACTCACAAACTTGCCTGCTTTCTAATCCTTGACAAAAAGAGTGACCATTGGTTGAACACCCCAGTACGAATGGTCTTTACAAAATGATGTGCTCCGACGGTGCGGGTCCTGGGGAGGGTGTTGCTGTGCAGGACAGAGTCAACTCTCTGGTGGTTTTGAGGCTGTGTGTTCCTAGGTCCTGGTGAAGACCCTTTCTGTTCAGGAGATGGCTGTCACCTCTGGATCATTGAAGAATCTGGGTGATCTTCCCATTTCATAAAACAGAAGCTGGGAAGTTGACAGTGAGAACCATAAACAGAACTCACTGTGTAGAAAGATAATACTAATTTTTCAAAACCACAGCACACTGTCCTTCGAGAAACCTGCATGTGTTCCCTTTGTCAAGGCCAGGCCCTGCAGATCTCTGACCCGACTGAGCCTGGGGCACCCCCAGAGTGAGGTGCTTAACACAGAGGGGGACAGAAGGGCATGTGCTCCCGTGGGCTTTCCGTTGACCCCTCAGAGGCACCTTGGGAGAAGGGCTGCAGACCCTCCAAAACTGGTTTATGTCAGAGTTTCTTAGTTGGAAAGTTTCATCTTAAAGATCAGCACGAGGTTTTCTCAGGTAGTCCTGCAGCATCGCTCGTCTGTAAGTATGAAATTGCTGCTCTGGAAAAGAGCCAAAGGAATGCGCAGCTTTTAAATCCACAGTTGTGGCTTTGCGCTCACTCCACTGGGGTAATGAGGCTGCGGTCGGCGCAGTGCAGGTCAGTTCTCCGCGCCTTTGTCCCCCGTGGTTCTCACGGTCACGGGGGCAGCAGAGGACAGGGCTCATAGCTGGCGGTCCGTCTTAGTTTTCTGCAACATAGTGGTTTATGGTTCTGCTGGTAGTGGAACTGTATCATAGTTGAAACGCTGCTGGACGTTTAATTCCTAGGAAAAGTAAGGCACGTCACCTTCGATATTCCCTTGTTCCTGTCTCTACCCCTGAACAAAATCCACTTGGAATTTTAAAGATAGAACCAGGCTTTTACACTGTATCACTGCAGTGCTTCTGTTTGTGATTGTAGACAGAATTCTCCCAACTCTACTGTGGGGACAGAGATTCCAGCTTTTCTCAGCAGGCATGGAGGCCCATTGGCTCCAGCACAGATCTGAGTTCAGGAAGGACTCAGGGCTGATGTCGGAGGAGTTGCTGTCTGGATTTCTCTGAACAAGATTCCGTTCTGGTGTCTCTCGTTCCTCCGTCACTGCTGCCGCCCCACGTGCCTTTGCACTGCAAGCAGGGTCGCAACTGCTGCTCATTCCCGCCTCTTCCGTGGCCCCTCCGAGTTCCCACTGTCTCTAAGTGGCCTCACCGCAGAATGAATAAAGCTGCCGTACTACCACTTTTTATGTGAAACAAATAATAATTTATAAATCACCTTTTTTTTTTCCCCTTGTGAACTCTCATACGCTCCTGATTCCTATTATCGGTCACATTTCTGGGACCTCAAATCAAAGACGGCTTCAGGAGAGGCCGGTGCTGCACTCAGGGTAACGGGCGGAATCTTGGTACACGGTCCCTGCTTCTCTTGGGAAGGAAACTGCTGTGTGATTTAAAGAAACCGCTGTGTTCAACTGAAGCTGCCTTTTCTGGTAAATCTGTGTAGTGAACCCCCTCATTTTCCATTTGTGGAAATTCTTTTTTTTTCCCATCATTTGGCCAGTTCTCATTCCTGCTGAGCTACACCCTGCTCATGCAGGCTTTGTCCTCCGGGCTGGCCACACGTTTGGGAGACAGAAGGATGTTTCAGAAAGCACAGAGAAGCCCACTCACCTCGATGTTGTTGACTGGGCTAAGAAGCCCCAAGCCGTGGTGGGGGTCACACAGCCCATTCGCTCTCCTCCCCGTCCCCATTGCCTACAGAAGCCCCGAGCAGTGCGGGGGACACACGGCCCATTCGCTCTCCTCCCCGTCCCCGTGCCTACAGAAGCCCTGAGCTGTGGGGGCGGTCACATGGCCCATTCACTCTCCTCCCCATCCCCATTGCCTACAGAAGCCCCGAGCAGTGCGGGGGACACACGGCCCATTCCCTCTCCTCCCCACCCCCATGCCCACAGGAGGATAGTGCATGCAGGTCTAGGGCTCTCTCTTCTCCAGCCAGACTTGATCTCAGAAGCATCCTTCATGTGACACTGCAGATGGCTCAGCTCCCCGTCCTGTCCCAGAGGCCCTTGGCCTGCCCTGGTGTGAGCACTGGCTTGATTGACGGGAGACCCTGCAGCCCACGCTTGTTCCAGGTAGTTGGGGGAAGGCGAGGAACAGCACCCCAACTGGAGTAAGAGAACACAAAGAAATGGACGCGGCTGCTTTAAGTTCCTAGATCACTGAGGATTGGCTTAGTATTCCCTTCTGATTCCCTAGTTCCAACTGTCATTTAGGAGTGGTTATGTGGCAGTAGACTCAGAATCTGACAGAGCAGCTAGAAATCCTCTTGGGAGGGTGGCCAGGCCTCCCCTCTTCCGGCCGTCCGTTTTCCATCCTGGGGCTGGGGCCTGTGCCCTGCGCCCTGCACCCCACATCCTGCACACCACCCCCTTTCCTTGTGCTGGGCTCACACTTGTTGCTGTTCTCCTCCTATTCCACTTCTGAGATGATTGTTGCTATTACTTCTTGTAGTTAATTGATTATTTTCAGAATTAGTGGACAGCTTCTCTGAAAATAGCCTCCATTCTTAGTTCCACGGAGGGAGGGATGTGCGCTGTGCTTGTGGATTGCTGCTGGGGCGACGGGTTTGAGGCCACGTCTGCGGCCAGCAGCAATGTCAGTTCCAGGAGGACCTTGGTGGCTGCGGTGCTGGGAAGTGCCATTGTGCTGCGTTGGTGTGACCCTGTGGCACCTGCTGCCAGGGGACCATTCTTTTTGAGTCATGTTTTCTTCAAATTAAATATTGAGAGATTCTAGTCACATCCCACAGTTGCCATTTGCTGTCTGAGTAGAAAATATGAAGAATCGCCTGATTTGAAGCTATGTGGTCAGTTTCATGTCCATAGCAGCCTTGCTTTTCTTCCTTGCTGAGAGATGGAATGCCCCGTCTCACGCTCTTTCTGCCATTATGTCTCTGTCTGCTCTGATACTGAGGTTCCAGGAGGGCTGCCTTGGCCTCCTTTCCCTGTAGCCCACGACCCCCGCATTCTCTGGCTTCTTTGCCGACAGTTGTGGTGTGCGCTTACATCTGGTGCTGGGTTGCAGGCAGGGTGGGACTCACAGCTGTTCGTTGACTCTGGGAGGGCTCCCCTGGCTGAGGCTGTCTGCTGACAGGTGCTCTTCAGGTGAGCGTGAGCCTGCACTAAGGAATGCTGATTAGAGTCCATTTCAGGCCCTGTTGGGCACACTGGGAGTGCGCAAGAGCCACAGAGCCTGAGAGACACAGTAGGAGGGTGGGAGATGCAGTAGGAGGGTGAGAGATGCAGTAGGAGCATGGGAGATGCAGTAGGAGGGTGGGAGACACAGTAGGAGGGTGAGAGACACAGTAGGAGGGGTCGGGAGAGCCACCTGCACCAAGGCCTCAGGACAGCGAATGGCACAGCCATGGGGAGGGTGACTGCCTGTGCAAGGCTGGAGGCCATGGGCACCCAGGTCCAGTGAGGTCGGATGGAGCCCCCGGTGCTCAGCCTCCTGTGACCAGTGTTGGGGGGTAGCAGTAGCGGATGGTGCATCCCAAATGTGGGCAAGAAGTTTGGAAAGATTGGTGGAGCACCAGAGGCTTCATAAAGAGCCATTTGGGAAGACAAGGTTCAGGGGATGGTGGTGGGTGCACATGTGTGGGGACGCACTGGCTGCATGGTGCCCGCTTCCTCTTCCCCGAGCCGTGCTCTCCAGCGCTGTGTCTCAGCCTCCCCTCCAGGAGCGCTCACTTCCTCTCAGCTCTGGGCCCCTGTGGCCTCTGCTTTGCCAGCTGCCCAGCCGT
This sequence comes from Homo sapiens, assembly GCF_000001405.40. NCBI lineage: Eukaryota > Metazoa > Chordata > Mammalia > Primates > Hominidae > Homo > Homo sapiens. The sequence continues at coordinate 21,356,597 of NC_000016.10, forward strand.
GATGACTAGTTTCCACTCCAGTGCTATCTCTGTCTTTATTGTTCTTTTTGACCTCTAGGTGCACATGCTGTCGTGCCCCAGTGTTCCAGCATCGCTGACTGGGAGAGGGAAGAAGAGGTGAGGGAGAGGGAAGAAGAGGTGAAGGGCTTTCTTAGAACACTGACATTGAAATTGCAGCTGAATCTTTAAAAAAAAAATGTTTTGTGCTGGCTCACATCTGTAATCCCAGTACTTTGGGGAGGCAGAGGTGGGAGGATCGCTTGAGCCCAGGAGTTTGATGCCAGCCTGGGCAACATAGCAAGACCCTGTCTCTACAGAAAAAAAAAAAATTAGCCACATCTGGTGGCATGCACTTGTAGTCCCAAGCTACTCATGAGGCTGAGGCAGGAGGATTGCTTGAGCCCAGGAGACCCAGGCTGCGGTGAGCCATGATTGTGCCACTGCATTCCAGCCTGGGCAACAGAGCAAGACCCTGTCTCAAAATAAATGAAGTGTACAATTCAATGGTTTTTCAAAAAATTAAAATACTTAAAAAATTATTTGGAACCACTTTGGCTGGTTTCAAAGGTTGTGTATTATCTTTCCTCCTGAATAACAACTTTACATAAGAACAAGCATTCAGTTCACTGTGGGAGGTGCCTAAGTGAGAGTCTCAGTCTCGGGCTTTGTAGAGCTGAGCCCCTGTGTGTGTGTGGACGTGTGCTGCCCTCCTCGCCTCCTGCCCTCCACCGCGTCCTCATCATGCACCTAATCTGCTGCCTTCCAGGGAAGCCAAACAGCCACTGCTGTTGGAGTTGAAATTAAAATGCAGTGGCTGGTTCTGGTCATGGCTCCAGGCATGGGTAGCTCCTTCGGGTGAGCTGTGTAGAGCTGAGCCTGGGTCTTTGGCTGTTTAGATGCATTTGTGGCTGTGTTCTGGGTGCTTCTTCGTTGAGAGTGGAGTTGTGGAGAAATGGCTCCTTCATCAGCTGAATACACTGTGCTGATTTCTTTTGTCCCTGCCTCACTGGGGGTGTGAGGCATCCGGGCAGCATTTTCCTTTACTGGACAATCCCCTAGTGTTGGCTTTGTTGCTCAGTGAGTATTTGAAATTAATTATTTGCTGCCCTGGGCATGAAGATCAAATGATATCATAGCAGAAATTCGGAATGATTTAAGTAGAGGTGTTATTGTATTGCCCATATGGTTAACTTAAGGGATTGCAGAATTGGTTTGAGTAGAGGACAGGCCTTGTATGGTAAATTAGACCAGAATCAGGGGCATCTGGAATTCCCTGAAATTCCCTGGAGCAGGGAGAGGCAGTCTGGTGTGCCAGCGATTCACAGAGCGAGAGAGTACGTTCAGACAGATGGTGCCAGGAGTGTAAAATAATTTATTGTCTAAGGAATTTCAATTTTCAGTTAGTGGTAAGGATAATAGAATCTTTAATTTGGTGCAGATTTTCAGAAGATTCTGAAAAACAAAAAAAGCCCTTAAAAATTAAGAGTTGTAAGGATTGAAATTTGCAGGGAGGTGGATGACTTTATTTTTGAGTGCATTTTAAATGAAAATTGATGGGTTTTTTATGAGGTCATGGGAACTTTTGCATGAGGTGGATAGACCAGTTGGCCACTTCAGGGGGCTGGCAGGGGAACCGCTGGTTGGTCATACCCGCATCTTGGTGCAGCTGCTTTGCTGCCGTGGGTACCCTGAGCCAGTGCTGCGTGACCTGGGCAGACTCCCTATAAAGGTGAACTCGCATTCTGCGGCGATGCTGCCTCTGGAGTGATGAGTGCACGCGAGCTGCATGGCTGGACTCTACCAGCATCTGCGCAAGCCACAGCAGGAAGCAGCTTTCCATCGCGGTTCTAGAACCCTCCTCTCTCACTCATGCGTGTGCACACACACAGTCGGAACAGGTCCACAGGACAACAGGCCACAGCGAGAAGGCAGCTTTCCATTGTGGTTCCAGAGCCCTCCTCCCTCACTCACGTGTGTGCACTTACACGGTCCGAACAGGTCCACAGAATGGTATTACTGTGTGCTGATTGCACTAATATTTTTTATTCTGTTTTCTGTTCTGCTTTTCTGTTTCTCTTCCTTTTTGTCTCTTTGAAAACTGGCTATGACACATTGCATTGATTTTGCAACCCACACTTTGAAAAATACTGGAATAGATGATCGCTAATGTCTCTTTCGTAAGAGTTTGTAGTTCTAAAAGTTGTAATTGAGTAGCTGGGACTATAGGTGTGCACCACTGCATCTGTGTAATTAAGTAATTTTTAAAAATTTACAACTATATAGGCCGGGCACGGTGGCTCACGCCTGTAATCCCAGCACTTTGGGAGGCCGAAGTGGGTGGATCACGAGGTCAGGAGATCGAGACCATGCTGGCTAACACAGTGAAACCCCATCTCTACTAAAAATACAAAAAATTAGCTGGGCATGGTGGCGGGCGCCTGTAGTCCCAGCTACTCGGAAGGCTGAGGCAGGAGAATGGCTTGAACCCGGGAGGCAGAGCTTGCAGTGAGCTGAGATCGCGGCACTGCACTCCAGCCTGGGCGACAGAGCGAGACTCCCTCTCAAAAAAAAAAAAATTTACAACTATATAAAGTTTACACTGCAAATATTAATATTCTTCCTCTCATATTTTGATAAATCAAAAGATAATTGTTCTTGAATTGGGAAGCTTTTTAAAAAATCACATTCAATCTAAGAAAAATGATTATAAATGTGCTAGTTAAAAAAATGTTTAGCGTGCTTCTCAGGGCTTTTCATCTAGATCAGGAAAATTAGGATTATCCGTGTCACTTGGGCATTAGAGTGAAGTTTCCCTGCTTTTCATCTAGATCAGGAAAATTAGGATTATCCGTGTCACTTGGGCATTAGAATGAAGTTTTCCTGAGAACTGCAGTCAGGTTTTTGGCATGGCTGGCCTTCTGTTGGTCATATGTTAGGCATGGAATGGAAGATGGCTCGATGTTTGCTGCGGCTGTCCATGCCCCTCTACGCCATCCACAAGCCTCTGACCGAGTTATCCGTGCATGCATTTGAGCGTTTCTTGCAGGAGAGGCCGGGGCCAAAGGAACGCTTCAGTTGCGCTGGGCTGTGCCAAGGGGCCTCAGCAGGAGCAACCCTTGGGGGCCAGAGCCCAGGCTCTTCCAGCAACAGGAAGGACCTTTCTTCCCTCTGCAGCACCTGTCGAACAAAACATGCTGGACTCCCTCATTCATTCCCGGCAGAGAAGCACTCCCCTCACCCCCCACAGAGCCCTGCTATGCCGGGCACTCAGACCAGCCAGAGGTGGGGGAGCCTGTGAGTAAAGTGGAGAATTGGAGGTGTGGTGCCACCCTGACCACAGCACCTTTCTTCTCCCTGAGGCCACCTCCTCAAATACTCTTCTTGGCCACAGATGAGGGCCCAGCTGTGGTTGGCAGATCTTTTGGGAGATAACTGGATGTGTGGGGGTGGGAGAGTTGCCATGGGTCCCAGTCTCAGGGCGGCCGCTCCCTCAGTGTCTGTCGTCTTGGGATGCGGCAGTGTCGCTTCCTCGTGCTTCAGTGCCCTCTTCACTGCGGTGGGGTGGCAGCAGCACCTGCTCAGGAAGTTGGTGGGCTTTGCTGGGTGCACACGGCCCACGTGGCACTCACCAGCCTCTGGGCTGCCCTTGGCAGGTGCCGTCCACACTCCAGCACTCAGGGAGGGGCGGTGCAAATCCTCAAAAACTGACCACACAGGCACTGGCACCCAGGTGGTGAGTAGGCAGGCTGTGGTCTGCAGACAGAAGCTTTACCCTGTATACGTACGAGGAGTAACAGCTGCTCATTTGAGTGAAGTCACTGGACTGCGGCCCTTAGAGCCTCCTGACGCGGAGGTGGGCCTTTCACTTCTGCCTTTTGCATGTGTGGAATGTGTGTGTGTGTGTGTGTGTGTGTGTGTGTGTGTGTGTGATTTTAGAGATACTGTTTTAAAACTGTGTACTCAAAGCATTAGTTAATTAACTAGGAAGTTTTGTCTTGTGAAAATGATGACCAGGACTGAACCTTTTAAAACAGATCATCTGAACCTCATCGCTGTAAAGCAATCTGGACTACAAAGTTCATTCTTTCACGTGAATTAAATGGTTTGGTAAAGAAATACTGAGCGTAACATGGACGTGCTCTAGTGATCTTAGGGAGCTGTGAGCTCGTGCAGTCTTGGGTGGGAGTTGGCATTGTTTATGTTCTTTTTTAAATTTTTTAAAAATGTTTTTAATTTTTATATTTTTGAGATGGAGTCTTGCTCTGTTGCCCAGCCTGGAGTGCAATGGCACCTTCTTGGCTCAATGCAACCTCCGCTTCCTGGGTTCAGGTGATTCTCCTGCCTCAGCCTCCCGAGTAGCTGGGATTACAGGTGCCCACCACCATGCCCGGCTAATTTGTGTATTTTTAGTAGAGACAGGTTTCACCATGTTGGCCAGGCTGGTCTCGAACTCCTGACCTTGTGATCTGCTCACTTCGGCCTTCCAAAGTGCTGGGATTATAGGTGTGAGCCACTGTGCCTGGCCTTGGTACTTGTGATATTTTGATACATGCCTAGAATGTGTAATGACTTTGAACAGATGTTTGCTTTTTTTTTTTCTTTCTTTGAGCAGTCTCCCGGGGCTAGGGTAAGTTCAGAGAGGCTCCTAGATCTTTGTTTCTTGTTTATTTCACCAGTTACTCATTTTCAGAAATGAATCAAAGATCTAGGAGCCTGAGCCTACTCTAGCCCCCGGAGACTGCCCAAAGAAAGAAAAAAAGAAGCAAAGATCTGTTGAAAGTCATTACACATTCTAGGCATGTATCAAAGTACCACAGGTACCCTATAAATATGTACAAATATTATGTATCAATAAAATAATTTTAATAATTTTTTTTAAAAAAAAGATCTGTTGGAGCCAGGCATGGTGACTCACATTTAGAATTGCTTGAACCCGGGAGGCGGAGGTTGCAGTGAGCTGAGATCGTGCCACTGCACTCCAGCCTGGGTGACAGAGAGAGACTCCGTCTCACCAAAAAAAAAAAAAAAAAAAAAAAAAAGGATTCCTGTCCCTGTTGAATTTTCTGCCATGCTTCTGTGCTCCTTCAACAGCCAGGGACGGAGGGATCCAGTCTGAGAAAAGCCAGCATCAGGGACTACTTCAGTCCTCATAGAAATCACTGCCAATGGCTTTGGCTACCTCCTGTGTCCTGGATTATGTCTCTGCAGCTTCCCGTCTCCCGGACGCCTCCCTGAGTCCCTGTGTATGAGTGACTTAGTGTTACAGGCTGGGTGAGGAGCTTTGCAGGGATTTAGCTTTTCTCAGGGCCACCTGCCCTCAGGCTTCCTGGGCCCTCATACTTCTTCTTGTTTATATCTTATCTGCCTTTGGGGGAATGACCTTAGAGGAATTGGTGTGAGTAAGCCATGAGGTTCTTGGTCCACTTCCATCCAGCCAAGGGCAGCTGGCAGCTGGGCACTTACATCCAGCAAGGCAGAAGCAACCCTGGCTTTGAAGTCAGACTGCTAGGGTGAGTCTGAATGGCCTCGGGGAAAGTTCCCTCTGAGCCTTCGTTTTTTTCACTTGCGAAGGCGATAGTCTCGCCTAGCTTGAGGGTTTGTCAGGGGGATTCAGTGAGAACCTCATTTGAAGCAGCTGCTTTAGTTCCTAACACCTAATAAATGTTTAACCACTTACCCTCCTCTCCCACCACCCTTTCAACTTTGAACCTCTTCCTCCATGTCATCCCTTCTTAAGGCGCTGACCTTTTGGCCACAAAGAATGGCTCTTTTTGTTCCCATCAGGACTAGAATTCTTATCTTTTTGTTGCTTGGCCCTGGTAATCAAAGAACCACCAACACATTTGCAAGGCATCTCCAGCCTTCTCGTTCTGGCCGCCCCTCTCTGTCTTAGGGAGAGTGCTATACCGGTATGGTGATGAGATGAACGAAAGGGCAGTCTCTGGCTGTTTTCTGCTGATGAGGATGTGCTGAGCAGCCTCCTGCAAATGACAAGCAGGGAAAAGACCAAACTAGCTTAGCTCATTAGCTGGGCATGGTGGTGCCCGCTTGTAATTGCAGCTACTTGGGAGGCTGAGGCAGGAGAATTGTTTGAACCCGGGAGACTGAGGTTGCAGTGAGCTGAGATCGTGCCACTGCACTCCAGCCTGGGCGACAGAGCGAGATGCCATCTCAAAAAAAAAAAAAAAAAAAAAAAAAAAAAAAAAAAAAAGACAAGCTTGACTGCCTTTGTCTTACAGAACAAAGGACAGGAGATTCCACTTTACCCCCTCATTGTCACACCATATTCAGTTTTCTGTATATCCCACAAAGTAGCATGCTTTTTTGAAAGCAGGACACCGTGTTTACTTTCTCTTGACACCTAGCATAGTGTCTGCCACTACACAGGTTGTTCAATAAAATTATGTTCACTAAACAAATACATCTTGGTTGGAAGGAAGGGCATTATTCATTGCGTGCAGTACTGTATTTCATGGTTCCTGAGGTACCATATACCAGGATCACTACAGTTTGCTACAGGGAAAGTGATTAATTTTTAAGGAACAAAGCAAAAGTTAATGAAAAGCAACCCAGAGCTCTACACAGACTTGGCTTGCTGTCTTTGTAGCCACTGGAAACCCAAGTAGCCAGTACAGAATACAGTATGGAAAAATGAATTATTTTCCATTCCACTTGGGAAAGGAGAAAGAACCACTGTCGTTACTGGCGTTTGATGCATTTGATGGCATGACCTTGGAATTTGATTTTTTTTTTTTTTAGATGGAGCCTCACTCTGTTGCCCAGTCTGGAGTGCAGTGGCATGATCTCAGCTCACTGTGACCTCTGCCTCCCAGGTGCAAGTGGTTCTCCAGCCTCAGCCACCTGAGTAGCTGGGACTATAGCTGTGTGCCACCATGCCTGGCTAATTTTTGTATTTTTAGTAGCGATGGAGTTTCACCATGTTGGCCAGGCTGGTCTCGAACTCCTGACTTCAGGTAATCCGCCAACCTCGGCTTCCCAAAGTGCTGGGATTACAGGCATGAGCCGCCACGCCCGGCTGGAATTTGATGTTCTTTTAATCACTGATATATCATCATCAGGTTATGGATTGGCAGTCAATTACAAGGTGATCGGGGCCATTCAGAATATACCAGAGACACAGTTACTGTTGCTGAGCTGCCTGTAAAATTGAAGCCTAATCTTCCCTTTCTGTTGGGCAGCCTTGGGCATCGAGGATCTTCTGACTTTGAAACACTGGCTTCCCTTGCTTTCTGTGATGCCATAGCCTATTGGCACACTTTCTTCTTTTCTGATCCTTGTTGGCATATCACTTCCATACCCTCAAATATTATTCATCCTTGGATTCATTGTTGGCTCTTGTTTCTATGCATACTGTTTGGATTCCTTGGTGAAGTTGCTCTGTATGTGCCTGTCATTCTTAGTCATACCCACAGCCCGGAGCACTTCCTCAAACTCTGTCTCATGAATGTCTCTATTTGGTGTACAGCACGGGCTTGTCAGTCTCCAAAACTGAATTCTGATCTTCATCCATATGTGTTCCTGTGTTTCTTGCTTAGTAAATGGCTCTGCCCTTTACCCAGGTCCCCTGGACAGCTCTTGGGCTTCCTCCCAGCCTTCTCCTTCTCCCTTTCCTCTGCCCCAAAACCAGTCCCACAAAGAGCACTGTTTTCTGTCTCTCACATGGGTCCCTGAGCCACTCGCGTTTCCTCCATCATCAGTGAGTTCTCTTCTTTCTCCCCGACTTGTGTTTTCCTGCCTTCAGTCTTGATCAGCTCTGATGCACTTTGCATATCATGGAGTGGTCTTCTTTAATTACCATCCCACTCCCCCACTTATTCCCCGTAACCCACTAACTTAAAGCTCTTCCATGGGTCTCTTGTAGAATTGGGACAAAGTATCGAGTGCTTGATATGGCTTCTTGGGCTCTCTTCGGTGCTGGCTGTGTCTGTCTCTGTTCTACCTCTTATGCCGTGCCGTACGCCAGGGCTGACAGGCAGCGGCAGGTCCAACATCACAACTCTTTCATCCAGTTTGCAAATAAATGATGGCCTGAGTCCCACAAGCTCCCCTCCTGCCACACCCCTGCCTTGGGACTCTTGAGACCTCTCCATAATTCAGCAGCTAAAGCACTAATGCCAGATCCTGTGTGGGGCAGGGCCTTCAGTGCCACTGCCTGTGCTTTGCTTGGTGCCTCTCAGTAATTTAGATGATTCAGTTCTGTTTTTTTTGTTTGTTTGTTTGTTTTTTTTGAGACAGTGTCTTGCTCTGTTGCCCAGGCTAGAGTGCAGTGGTGCGATCTCGGCTCATTGTAGCCTCTGCCTTCTGGGTTCAAGTGATTCTCATGTCTTGGCCTCCTGAGTAGCTGGCACTACAGGTGTGTACCACCATGCTGCCTAATTTTTGTATTTTTGGCAGAGATGGGTTTTCCTCATGTTGGCTAGGCTGGTCTCGAACTCCTGGCCTCATGTGATCCACCTGCCTCAGCCTCCCAAAGTGCTGGGATTACAGGCGTTAGCCGCTGTTCCTGGCCCAATCCTGTATTTTGAACAGCTCTCCTGGTTTCTATTGTCTTGAAACTCTTCAAGTCTGGCAGTTCTTTCCCTTCTGCTACCTTCCTTCCTTCCCCAGCTCTCACCCAAGCTCCTACTGGCCAAACTTCTATTCTCTCTTAAAAAAAAATATGGCCGGGCATGGTGGCTCATGCCTGTAATCCCAGCACTTTGGGAGGCTGAGGCGGGTGGATCATGAGGTCAGGAGATTGAGACCATCCTAGCTAACACGGTGAAACCCATCTCTACTAAAAATACAAAAAATTAGCCGGGCGTGGTGGCGGGTGCCTATAGTCCCAGCTACTTGGGAGGCTGAGGCTGGAGAATGGCATGAACCCGGGAGGCGGAGCTTGCAGTGAGCCGAGATCGTGGCACTGCACTCCAGCCTGGGCAACAGAGTGAGACTCCATCTCAAAACAAAACAAAACAAAACGAACAAAAAAAACTGGTAAAATATACATAATGAAATTTACCATTTCAGCCATTTGAAGTGTACAATTCAGTGTGAGTGTACTTAATGTACATTCACATGTCATACAGTAATCATTACCACCATTCATCTCAGAACCTTTCCATTTTTACAAACTGAAACTGTGTACTCGTTAAACAGTAACACTCACTCCCTCCAGACCCCTGCCTCTGGCAGCCAGCATTCTACTTTCTGCCTCAGTGCATTCTACTACTTTAGGTTCCTTGTACCAATGGAATCATGCAATATTTGTTCTTTTTTTGTCTGGCTTTATTTAGCATAACATCTTCAAGGATCGTCCGTGTTGTAGTATGTGTCAGAATTTCCTTCTTCTTCTTTTTTTTGATGGAGCCTTGCTCTGTTGCCCAGTTTGCTAGAGTACAGTAAGTAGCGCTATCTCAGCTCACCACAACCTCTGCCTCCTGGGTTCAAGTGATTCTCCTGCCTCAGCCTCCCAAGTAGCTGGGACTATAGGCAGGCGCCACCATGCCCGGCTAATTTTTGTATTTTTAGTAGAGACGTGGTTTCACTATGTTGGCCAGGCTGGTCTCGAACCCCTGACCTCGTGATCCGCCTGCCTCGGCCTCCCAAAGTGCTGCAATTACAGGCATGAGCAACCGCGCCTGGCCCAGAATTTTCTTCCTTTTAAAGGCTGAACAATATTTTTGAGGGTATGTAGAGCCCATATTTTGTTTATTCCCATGACAGTTGGGTGTCTTCCACTTATGGGCTATTGCGAATGGTACTGCTGTGAATATGAAGATACAAATACTTGTTTTTTCCACTTTTAGTTCTTTTGGGGCATATACCCACAAGGACAGTGCTGGATCATATGGTAATTCTATGTTTAATTGTTTTTTAGAAACCATCAGAGGGTTTTCCATAGAGGCTATACCCTGTTGCATTCCCACTAGCAATGCACACGAGGTCCATTTTCTCCACCATCCTTCCACATCCTTGCCAACTCCACAGCCTTGCCAGTGCTGGCTTTTTATTTATTTTTTGAGATAGAATCTCGCTTTGTCACCCAGGCTGGAGTGCAGCAGTGTGATCTTGGCTCACTGCAGCCTCCACCTCCCAGGTTCAAGTGATTCTCCTGCCTCAGCTTCCCAAGTAGCTGGGATTACAGGCATGCGACACTGTGCCTGGCTAATTTTTGTATGTTTAGTAGAGGCAGGGTTTCACCATGTTGGCCAGGCTGGTCTTGAGCTCCTGGCCTCAAGTGATCTGCCTGCCTTGGCCTCCCAAAGTGCTGGGATTACAGGCGTGAGCCACTGTGCCCGGCCAATGCTGGCTTTTTAAATTAGAGAAAAGGTATACAGCTTTAATTGTATACATGGGGAGAACCAGAGAGTGATTACCACCCCCTTTTTTCATATATATATATATACACACACATATATACATATATATATATATGTATAGTAATTTTATTATTTTTTGTAGGGACAGTATCTTACTATCTTGCCCAGGCTGGTCTCGAATTCCTTGCCCTAAGTGATCCTCTCACCTTGGCCTCTCAAAGTGCTGGGATTACAGGCCTGAGTCACCGTGCCTGGCCTCCTTTTTTCTGTTTTCATAATTGCCATCTTAATGGGTGTGAAGTGGTGTCTCATGTGGTTTTGTTCTCTTCTCTCTTGAAGTTTCAGAATTGTTTTCAAAAAGCCATTCATGAGCTCCCTACATGGTTCAGCTGGACTGTGCCCCTCCTATAGTCCTGAGTTCTTCTTCCATCAAACCTATGTATGGAACTACTTGTTTTCTTTTTTCTTTTCTTTTTTTTTTTTTTTTTTTTTGAGATGGAGTCTGCTCTGTTGCCCATGCTGGAGTGCAGTGGCGCAATCTTGGCCCACTGCAGCCTATGCCTCCTGGGTTCAAGTGATTCTCCTGCTTCAGCCTCCTGAGTAGCTGCGATTACAGGTGCACATCACCATGCCTGGCTAAGTTTTATATTTTTAGTACAGACGGGGTTTCATCATATTGGGCAGGCTGGTCTCGAACTACTGACTTCGGGTGATCCACCTGCCTTGGCCTCCCAAAGTGTTAGGATTACAGGCTCATCCTTGTAGCTCTAGTGTCTTGCAAGGTACCTGGCCACCTGCACAGTAGAGGCCACCAAAGGACTGCATTCAAAATAACCACTTGAAGACCCTGACTTCATAACATGCTGCTCATTTTCCCGGGAAGCCAAACCCCTACTCTCAGTGGTCTGTATGCATCTTTAGTCAGTGGGAAGCGGTGATAATATCCCCACAACTGTAAAACGAGAGAGACCGACTTCCTTGATCTTCAGTGGGGATTTTTGAAAATGGTTGATTGCACTCAAAGCAGAATTTGTATTTTGCTTCATTGGGTCACCTTGGGCAACAATTTCATTTCTGTAGAAAATTAATTTTGGAGGAAGCTGCATGTGCCAGGGGAGCCCTGGGTCCATCCTTTTGATGGTGAGGGGAAGTCCAGTTCCTCACTCGCCCATCCCTGCTTTTGGTTCCCTGTTGGTGATTTTCTTTTGTATTCCTGCACGTGCAAATCAGCTGCTTTTGGTAAGGGAAGCCTTGGAAGGATGTCTGCTGAAGGTGCAGAGAAAATGCAGAGCTCCGTTCAAGGTGAAAAAAGTGGTTGACAACTGGCAGAAAGAAGCTGGCCTTAGGGAGGAAGTCAGAAGCCAGGGTGCTGTACCCCTTGGGCTGTGTGTTAACTCCTGGGTCACTGGATCATGGGGATGTCCACAGGGTCCCTCGGGGGTGGGTTCTTGACACCCAGGGTGGCAGGGACCTGGGCCGGTGGCTATTTACTAAGGGGTATGAATGTGTCCCAGCATGTTAAGATCTAGTGGAGCTGGACTGATACCTATTGGCCGAATGTGACCTCTGCCTGTTTCAAAGGTGTTTAATCCTGATGTCTCATAAATTAAGACTCAGGCCTGTAATCCCAGCACTTTGGGAGGCCGAGGTGGGTGGATCACTTGAGGTCTGGAGTTCGAGACCAGCCTGGCCAACATGGTGAAACCCTGTCTCCATTAAAAATACAAAAATTAGCTGGGCATGGTGGTAGGCACCTGTAATTCCAGCTACTTGGGAGGCTGAGGCAGGAGAATTGCTTGAACCCAGGAGGCGGAGGTTGCAGTGAGCTGAGACCATGCCCTGGCACTCCAGCCTGGGCGACAGAGCAAGACTCCACCTCAAAAAAAAAAAAAGTAAAAAAGACTCAGTTTGGCCTCTGAGTTGTCAGTTTTTAGATCACAGTTATCCAGCCTGAGTTCCGTGGGTCCTTTGCTTTGCTCCTTTCAGAATGTAAATGACTCTTCAGCTCATGATGGCGTATGCCCCTAAAAGGAAGTGAGATACAAGTTTTAGAAGTCCTTCTTAGAAATTTTCCTTTTTTTTTTTTTTTTTTTTTTTTTTTAAATAAGAGACAGGGTCTTGCTCTGTTGCCAGGCTAGAGTGCAGTGGTGCAATCATGGCTCTCTGCAGCCTTGAACTTCCTGGCTCAAGCGATCCTCCCACTTCAGCCTCTCAAGTAGCTGGGACTGCACATGCATGCCACTGTGCCTGGTTAATTTATTTCCTACTCTTTAATAAAGGAGGTGGTATGCTGTAAACTCTTGTAGGATGCGGGTGTGTTATGCTGAGCCCTGGTTCTGGAAGGCAGTCTTGTGGCTAGTTGGAAGATGGTAGAGTGACAGAGCTCAGCCCCTTGTTGGCACTCTGCTCTGCCAATCCATTTGTGCCTTGCAGTCAGGCTGGCTCAGTTTGGGATGTGACAGATTTAGGAGCACTTGTATTCACTGAGTTCTCAGGCTGGCACATGAGTGAACTTGGTTTACCTTTGTTCCTGGCATGGCTGATACCATGTGTGGCTGATTCTGTTAGAGTGTGCCCTCAGATTCATCCCTCTGTCTTCTTTGGCTTTGATAGAACCCAGATTTTGCTTGAGGCTGTGGTATGTACTCCTTTATCTCGGTGAGGGATTAAGCCAGTTTTGAGTTTTGTTCTTTGCTTTCTTTGCTCCCTTGTGATTTTCTGGGATTACTTGTTCTTTCCTGATAAAAGGGGCGATAAAGCTGGCTTCATCCCATTCCCTTTCTTCCTGCTCAATTGTAAATGAGATGCCCAAAGTTAGGACAGTCCTCTGTGACAGCGAGGTCAAAAGGTTGGAGGTTTTGGCCTGACATAGCCTTTGTATCACTGGCCTATTTCCAGACTAGCCCAGCTCCATGGGGTTGGATTTTCTTTGTGTGTGGGTTTTTTTGTTTTGTTTTGTTTTTAGAGACAGGGCCTTGCTCTGTTAACTAGGCTGGAGTGCAGTAGTGCAATCATAGCTCATTACAGCCTCAAACTCCTGGGGTCCAGCCATCCTCCTGCCTCTGCCTCCCAAGTAGCTGGGACTACAGGTGTGTGCTGCCACACTCGGCTCCTTGTAGTTGGGTTTTCTGTTTCCTTTTTTTAGAGATGGGTTCTTACTATGTTGCCCAGGCTGGTCTTGGGTTTTCTGTTTTTTTCTTTTTTTTTTTTTTTTGAGACAGAGTCTTGCTCCATTGCCCAGGCTGGAGTGCAGTGGCACCATCTCGGCTCACTGCCAGCTCCGCCTCCCGGATTCACACCATTCTCCTGCCTCTGCCTCCCAAGTAGCTGGGAGTACAGGCGCCCACCACCACACCTGGCTAATTTTTTGTATTTTTAGTAGAGATGGCGTTTCACCGTGTTAGCCAGGATGGTCTCGATTTCCTGACCTCGTGATCCACCTGCCTCAGCTTCCCAAAGTGCTGGGATTACAGGCGTGAGCCACCGTGCCCGGCGGGTTTTCTGTTTTTTTTGTTGTTGTTGAGCAATGCTTTGTTTTGGGGCAGTGTTGTCACATTGATGAGACACCCCTCACCCCCCATGGCTGTGGAGCACAGGTGTTGCTCAGCACTTGGTGTGTTCTTGGTCTTCTATAGATGATTGTCAGATGACTGAAGAACATGCCCTGTCTCACTGCATTATTTCCTGTGGTTGCAAATGATAGAAAATTCTTTAGATTGATTTAAGAAAAAAAAAGATGAAGGACATTTATTTATTGACTCAAGTATCTAAGAAATCATCTTGGAGTTGAGCTGGATTCAGGGGGCCTGCCCTTCTCCCAAATCTGTCTCCATCTGTCATCCCTCAGCACCGCTTCTCTGTGGTTGGGTGTCTTTCCAGGTGGGGGGTCTCTACATGATGGGGTGGAAAATGGCCCCAAGTAGCTCCAGGTTTCCAGGATGATGAGAGATCCTACTTCTAGGACGGGGTCGGCACACTCCCTCCTTATGGGTCATATTATAGGGTTTGTGAGCCATGCAATCTCCATCGCAGTGACTCAGCTCTGCCACTGGAGCAGAAACTCAGCCACAGACCATATGGGAGCAAATGGGTGTGGCTGCGTTCCAAGACCACTGTGCTTACAAAAACAGTTTGGAGGCCAAATTTGACCCCCAGGCCATTGTTTGCTGACCTCAGCTCCTGGAGGAGACAAGGCCTCTTTTCTGGTGGCTCTGGTAGAACTTGTGCGAAGGGACCCTGTGGTCCAGGGCTGAGACTGGGGTGAGGTTAGTGACACACTCACTTTGGCCACAAAATTGAAGGCGGTACCAAAAAACTTATCAATCAAGATAAATACTATTTTTATGTAATATTAAAAAAAAATGAAAGTTGCATATGCCATGGTTCCGGCCAGTTAATTGCCTGCCCTGGGTTAGCTGTCCACCCCTGCAGTAGGGGGAGGTTAGGATAGTGCTGAAGGATCCCAGTGGAATGTGTTTCCCATAGGAAAGAGGGGTGGTCTTACTAGAAGAAAGGGAAAGGGACCAGGCTCGGTGGCTTACGCCTATAATCCCAGTGCTTTGGGAGGCCGATGCTGGATGATCATTTGATTCTAGGAGTTCAAGACCAGCTTGAGTAACATAGTAAGACCCTTGTCTCTACAGAAAAAAATAAATTAGCCGTGTATGGTGGTGTACACCTGTAGTCCCAGCTACTCATGAGCCTGAGATGGGAAGATCGCTTGAGCCCAGGAGTTCAAGACTGCAGTGAACTATGATCGTGCCACTGTGCTCTAGCCTGGGCGACAGAGTGAGACCTTGTCCGCACCCCACCCCTCAAAAACAAAACAAAACAAAACAAAACCCCAAACAAGGAAAAGGAATGCTGTTTGGTGCACGTGTAGTAGTGATATTAATAGTTGGTTTTCGTTGAGCACCAATTATATGCCAGGTATGTTAATAACTATGGCTAACATTTATTCACTGCATTTATTGGATACACTTTACATGTATTCCTTTTTCTCATTTTTCCCTCATAGCAATCCATACACATAGGTACTGTTCTCCCCACTGTACAGATGAAGAAAGTAGAGGACAAAATAAGTTTCCCAAGGTCACACAGTGCCTGAACTAGAATTTGGGACAAGGTTTTTGTCTTCCTTGTGGTCCCCAAGGAATGAATTCTTGGGCATCGGTGATAGTTAAGTCTTGATAGAAACTTTCCCAAAAGCCTGGTGCTGTTAGTCATCCTCTGTTAATAGGTGTCCCGGGGCAGCTCTTCTCAACACCCCTTCCTGGCACTTGTTCTTGTTGGCATTCGGCTTTCAGGTGTTTGGAGAACCAGAAGCCCTTGCCCGCTTTTTGACTTAACCCCATGTTTCAAAGCAGATCAGTGTATATCCCTAAATTAAATTACGGACACCGCAGGCGCTAATTGGCAGGTGAGCTGCCCTTTAAATAGACCACATTAACTCTGGCAGTGGAAGCGGAACCCTGCTGGGATAATTCTTATCATCAGCAGCATCACCCTGACAAGCTTTAAAAGGATTCTGTAGCAGTAAGCAATTTTGCAGAATTGAAAGGTGAAAACACACTTTAAAGCGTTCATGTAGATTCAAGGTCGGAGGGAGGTGACTGCATTTTTCAAGACAGGCTGCAAGTGAGAGTCACTTGACTGGAAATGTGATGGACGTACCGACAATGGTCTGGGGTATTTTGAAATACGTTGTTGGCCGGCTGGCCCAGGGCGTTGTTGTCGCCAGATTCCCCGTCCTGGTTTCTGAGTGAGGCGGAGAGTGGAAGGAAGGCTGTTTTGTACAGTTGTGTGGATTAGACTGATCGGATGAGCTTGGGAAGTGGATTAGTTTGACATTTAGGGATTGAGACAGAAGACAGTCTTGAGGGACCTGCCCTCTTGCTGGTTTTTGTTATTCCTGGGAAGTTTATCCTAAATGATCCCAGTGATTGTCTTGATCCACAAATACTTATGCACGCTCATACGGATGTATACATTTAGATGCTGCTAACACAAAAAGGAACCCACGCGAATGCCCTCTGCTATGAAGAGAATTAATTATTAAGCAAATGCTGATTGGTCATCATGGACTGGGCACTGTGCTCGGTGCTTTCCTTCCCTTTCTAGTTACCCCAGTAACCCTGGGCGATTCTGCACTTTTGTGTTGATTTTATGGGAGAGGATTTTCAGGCTTAGCATGGTTGAGTGACTTGCTCAAGGTCATTTGGTTGAATGGACTTTTTCTCTGTTGTCCTGCCTGCTAGACTGGAAGCCCCTTAGGGACGAGTTCTTGTTGTCTCTAGCTGGTGACACATAGCCTAGCTTGGTTCACAGCTCCCAGGAAGAATGCAGTGGATCCTAGTGAAGTTGAATTGAAACATTAGAGTGAACTTAACTAGCCTGCCATGCAGTTTCTGGAGATGGGTGTACTTGCCTCCTTCTGGAAGGCAGGTTCAAAGCCTTTGTCACATTTCAGAGGGGACTGTGAGCCTGTTTAGCTCCTAGATTGGAAGCCAGGTCCGACTGCAAAGACTCAGCTTCCCCCACTTGGAATATTAAACAGTTGTGAACGTGATCATTTTGAAGAGGGCCAAGTCCCCTCATTTTGCAGGGCAGTGTGATTTAGTGGTTTGCAGTGAGCTCTGGGGTCCCTTTCTGCCATACTGTTTACTAACTGTGTTGCTGGGCGAGTCACTTCACTTGTCCTGGCTTCAGACCTTGTCTTTCACATGGAGATGGCCTTGGTTGTGATGATGTCAGATGTAAAGTGTTTACTGCAATGGCTGGTGCATAGTTAATGCTCAGTAAATAGTAGTTGCTGTTGCTGCTGTTATTATTATTGCCAGCATGAAAAAATGTTAAAGAGCCAATGTTAAGTGAAGAAAATTGATCACAAAATTATGTATACACTAGCATTACAACTATGAAAATATCTGGGGTTGGGCAAGGTGGCTCCTGACTGTAATCCTAGCATTTTGGGAATCTCAGGCAAGAGGATCGCTTGAAGCCAGGAGTTTGGTACCAGCCTGCACAACATAGCAGAATCTCATCTCTACAAATAAATAAAAATTAAAAAATTAGCTGGGCATGGGGGTGCGTGCCTGTGTCTCAGCTACATGGGAGGCCGAGACAGGAGGATCACTTGAGCCCAGGACGTTGAGGCTGCAGTGAGCTCCAGCCTGGGTGACAGAGGGAGAGGCCCTGTCTCAAAAATAAATAAATAATAATTAACTTAAAATGTATATAAAAAATTTTAAAAATCTGTGTACATGTGGATAAAAAGTGGTGGGATGTGAGGAGATACAAGTAGTTGTAGGAATGACCGTCTTATGGATAAAAACAAACTTTCTTAGGTTTCCCATAACGCCTTAAATCTGTTCCTATCCTCAGACTGAGTAATTTGACATGTGGAAATCTTTCCTAAGGAACTAGGAATGAGGACAATTATTTATGTATAGGGGTGTTCTTTACTGTACAGAGGGAAAGTTGGCCATGTGCCATGCCCTTAGCAGTATGGAAATAGTTGTTTTACTGGAAAGCCATCAAAAATCATCTTTGAAAGACTTTTAATTGTAATAGGAAAATGTTCATGCTCTAGACAAGAAAATAAATGAATCAGGATACAAAATTACACATACAAATATGTATGCGTATACACTCATACAATATGATGTGGTTTTATTTATTTATTTTTTGAGACAGAGTGGAGTATAGGGGCATGATCTTGGCTCTCTGCAACCTCCGCCTCCTGGGTTCAAGTGATTCTCCTGCCTCAGCCTCCCAAGTAGCTGGGACTACAGGCGTGTGCCACCATGCCCAGCTAATTTTTGTATTTTTAGTGGAGACATGGTTTCACCATTTTGTCCAGGATGGTCTCGATCTCTTGACCTCGTGATCTGCCTGCCTTGGCCTCCCGAAGTGCTGGGATTACAGGCGTGAGCTACCGCGCCAGCCTGTTTTTTTTTTTTGAGACAGAGTCTTGCTCTGTCGACCAGGCTGGAGTACAGTGGTGCGATCTCGGCTCACTGCAACCTCTGCCTCCTGGGTTCAAGTGATTCTCCTGCCTCAGCCTCCTGTGTAGCTGGGATTACAGGCACCTGCCACCATGCCTGGCTCATTATTGTATTTTTAGTAGAGATGGGGTTTCACCATGTTGGCCAGGCTGGTCTCGAGCCCCTGACCTCAGATGATCCGCTCGCATCGGCCTCCTGGAGTGCTGGGATTACAGACATGAGCCACTGTGCCTGGCCTGATGTGTTCTTTTCTTCTGGCTGCTGTAACAAAGTAATACACAGTTGGTGGCTTTTAAACACTATAATTTATTCTCCCACAGTTCTGGAGGCCAGAAGTCCCCAATCCATTTCACTGGGCTAAAGTCAAGGTGACAGCAGGGCTGCTTCCTTCCAGAGGCTTCAGGGCCGAATCCGTTTCTGGCCCTTCCAGAGTCTGCTCGCTGCCCACCTTCCTTGGCTATGGCTGCCCCATTCTAGTCTTTGCTTCTCTGGCCACATCATGTCCTCCTCTTCTGTGTCAAGTTTCTCTCTGCCTGCCTCTTATGAAGATCTTGTGATTACATCAGCCTCACAGGGATTATGCAAGATAACCTCCCAGTTTCCAGATCCTAACACAGTTGCACAGACTCTTTTACTATATAAGGTAATATTCAGAGAATTCTGGAGCTTATGACGTCGATATCTTTGAGGATTATAATTCAGCCTACAGCAAATGTTGATTTTTTTTATAAAAAAGAAAAGTGCAGTAAAAAAGACTGAAAATTCTTGAAAATGTCAATATTGGTCTTTTCTGGATGAGAGGTTTTAGAGTCATTTTTATTTTTGATATACTCTTCTGTATCTCCCACCTTTTTTTCTTATTTCATTATTGTTTTTGAGGCTGAGTCTTGTTCTGTCACCAGGCCAGAGTGCAGTGGTGCAATCTCAGCTCACTGCAACCTCCGTCTCCTGGTTTTAAGTGATTCTCCTGCCTCAGCCTGCCCGGTAGGTGGGATTACAGGTGTGCGCCACCATGCCCAGCTAATTTTTGCATTTTTAGTAGAGATGGGGTTTTACTGTGTTGGCCAGGCTGGTCTTGAACTCCGAGCCTCAAGTGATCCACCACATCAGCCTCCCAAGTACTGCGATTACAGGCATGAGCCACCGTTCCCAGCCTCAATTTTTATTTTAGATTCAGGGTGTACATGTGCAGGTTTGTTACCTGGGTACATTGTGTGATGCCGAGGTTCAGGGCACGATTGAACCCATCTCCCAGGTAGTGAACATAGTACCTGGTAGGTAGTTTTTCCGTCCGTGCTCTCCTCCCTCTCTACTCTCTCTAGCAGCCCCCAGTGTCTGTTGTTTGCCATCTTTATGTCTGTGTGTACCCAGTGTTAAGCTTCCATTTATAAGTGAGACTATCCACTATTTCGTTTTCTATTTCTGTGTGATTCGCTTAGGATAATGGCCTCCAGTCATCCATGTTGCTGCATAGGACACAATTTTGTTCTTTTTCATGGCTGCATAGTATTCCTTTGTGTAAATGTACCACATTTTGTTTATCTAGTCCACTATTGATGAGTATCTGGGTTGATACCATGTCTTTGGTGTTATCTCCTACCTTTTCCATGCTAAGGGGATACTCTGTTACAATCTCCAACATTGCCTAGAGGCTTTGTGTGTTCCTCTCCCAGTGCTGAGTGCCCCAGGCCGAGTGCCAGGCGCCTGCACCCTCTCTCCGTAGAGCCCGTGTTCTGGTACTACGTGAAGGAGGTCCTCAACAAGCACGAGCTGCAAGCGCTTCTACTCCCTGCGCCACATCGCCTCAGACGTGGGCTGGGGCCGCGCCTGGCTGCGCTGTGCCCTCAACGAACACTCCCTGGAGTGCTACCTGCACATGCTCCTGGCCGACCGCTGCAGGCTCAGGTACGTGGCCGGGATGGGACCTGGAATGGGATGGAGCAAGGGGTGAAGATCTTGGAGTCTGTAGTCAGACCACCTGGATTTTCATCCTAGTTCCCCGATCTGGGGCAAGTGGGCCTCCCTCTGACAGCTCCGGAGTGTTCTGCTGAGCTGTGGAGAAACTTGGGGGAGAATCATTGAGAGACTGCCTGTAACGGGCTCGGCATGGCACTTGCATACAGCCAGCTTGGATGTGGAGAGAGCTGTTGTCCTAGGACATAGCTTCCTCTTCACTTTCTGGATTTTTTTTTTTTTTTTTTTTTTTTTAAAGACAGGGTCTTGCTTTGTTTCCCAAGTTGGAGTGCAGTGGCATGAACACGGGTCACTGTAGCCTGGACCTCCCTGGCTCAAGCAATCCTCCCACCTCAGCCTCCTGAGCAGCTAGGACCCTAAGTGTATGCCACCCTGCCTGGCTAATTTAAAAAATTGTTTTGTAGCGATGGGGTCTCAGTGTGTTGCCCAGGCTGGCCTCGAACTCCTAGGTTCAAGTAATCTTCCCGCCTCAGCCTCCCAAAGTGCTGGGATTACAGGTATGAGCTACCATGACAGGTGCAGAATTTTAATTTGGGATTCTTGCATTCATTCAATCCCAAACTGAAAAACACATGGAAATTTTACATTGGGGAAGGAAGTCATTTTTGTTTGTTTGTTTGTTTTTGAGACGGAGCCTCACTCTGTTGCCCAGGCTGGAGTGCACTGCTGCTATCTGGGCTCACTGCAACCTCCATCTCCCCAGTTCGAGTGATTCTCCTGCCTCAGCCTCCTGAGTAGCTGGGATTACAGGCGTGTACCACCATACCCAGCTGATTTTTTGTATTTTTAGTGCGTACGGGGTTTAATCATGTTGGCCAGGCTGGTCTCGAACTCCAGACCTCAGGTGATCCGCCTAGGCCTCCCAAAGTGCTGGGGTTACAGGCGTGAGCTACTGTGCCTGGCCGTGGCCATTACTTTTGCTCTGAGAATGGTGGACTAGACAAGTTGTTTTGTGTCCTTGAGTGATACGGAGTGACCCTGATGAATCCTGTTCTGGTTCCTTAAGTAACTTCCTGATCAGCACCGCCCAGATCTTCAACAGTGAAATTTCACTGAATTCAATAAGTGGGCAGTTTGTGAGTAGTGTGGCATGTTCCCTTGATTTTATATCTTGCCCTGTGTTCCCTAGTTTAGGTCTCCTCTTCTGCTTTATCTACTGCTGTGGTCACCTCTCTACTGGTAATGTCTCAGATCTTCTGGGATTGTGCACTGGGGCTCTTAAAAATACCCTTAAAGTTCTCTGTTGCCTGTGGCTCCTTGTTCAATTGTATGGCAAGACTCTATGTGTCCAAAATGGGAGGGCTTGGGAGCCAGGAGGACTGACACTGACGACACCTGTGTACTGCTCACGGTCGGAGTTCGGAGGCTGAGAATGTCTGGACCTCTAGGGCATTAACCAGCTTTAGTTAAGGAAAACACACTCCTGTTTCTTTCTTTCCTTTTTTTGGAGAAGAAGTCTCGCTTTTTTGCCTAGACTGGAGTGTAGTGGTGCGATCTTGGCTCACTGT
Organism: Homo sapiens; assembly: GCF_000001405.40. NCBI lineage: Eukaryota > Metazoa > Chordata > Mammalia > Primates > Hominidae > Homo > Homo sapiens. The sequence continues at coordinate 21,378,407 of NC_000016.10, forward strand.
AACCTCTGCCTCCTGGGTTCAAGCGATACTCCTTGCCTCAGCCTCCCTAGTAGCTGGGTCTACCAGTGCCCGCCACCATGCCTGGTTAATTTTTGGTATTTTTAGTAGAGACGGGGTTTCACCATGTTAGCCAGGATGGTCTCAATCTCCTGACCTCGTGATCCTCCCACCTCGGCCTCCCAAAGTGCTGGGATTACAGGTGTGAGCTACTGTGTCTGACCTACTCCTTTTTTTTGAAGTGAGTTTCTGTGAAGCTCCTTCCAGCATATCATTTACGGGTAGTTCAGAGTTACATACTCAGTCTCAAAGTTGAAGTGACCAACAAGGAGAAGTCAGTCCAGCAGGTAAGAATCACAGTTGACTTTACCTGGATCACCAGCCACTTCCCTAGCTGGATGTTGGGAAAACACATTCATTTAGATGCGTGAAAACGGGCTCAGATTTTTAAAGGATTATGATTTTAGGAATCAGGTGCAGTCAGAATGTCAGCTTGAGCATGTGGTTTGTACGTCTACTAACATTTTCTGGGAAAGTATATTGGAAATGCTCCTCTTCTTTCTTTCTGTCAGTTGTATTCAGTCACTTCAGTGGCTAATTTTTCCAGTCTCTCACCCAACTACAGGTCATGTATCCCTGACTTTGCTTTAGTGAAATTGACTTTTTCCTTGATTAATTTAGAATTCAATGACCTGGCGGGGAAGTTATGGCACTGGGGATTTTTGGTTTCCATTGCTTAACAGGAAGTCAGAGAGAGCTTGGAAGCTGGACTCGGGAGACCTGCTTTTAAGCCCTGGCTGGACCATTTATTGGCTAGATGACCTTGGACAGGCCCTGTAGGCTTCCTTGACACCCCTACCCCAACTGCCATCTAGATTTGTGGGGCATTTTTAGCCTCCTAGCCTTTTCCAAGGATAATGTGGGCTTTCAGGCCTGTAACCTAGGCAGGCATTATATTATTATTATTATTATTATTATTATTATTATTATTATTATTATTATTATTTTGAGGTGGAGTCTCGCTCTTTCGCCCAAGCTGGAGTACAGTGGCGCAATCTCTGCTTACCAAGCCTCTGGGTTCAAGCGACTCTCCTGCCTCAGCCTCCCGAGTAGCTGGGATTACAAGCACCTGCCACCATGCCCAGCTAATTTTTTATATTTTTAGTAGAGATGGGGTTTCACTGTGTTGGCCAGGCTGGTCTTGAACTCCTGACCTCTAGTGATCCTCCCACCCTGGCCTCCCAAAGTGCTGGGATTACAGGTGTGAGCCACCGTGCCTGGCCAAGGCAGGCATTATATTAAATGCCCTGGTTGATGAAGCCATAGAGGCTCTGTAATTTCTGTCTGAAATGGTCTCTTCTTGTATTAGGCAAATCAGGCGAGCCCTGTTGGCAGGCTTGGATTTCCTGTCTGTCTCTTGGGGACATTGCTTGAGTGGAAGTCACCCACCTGACTGCTCCGTTCCACTTTGCTGCTTTATAAATACATTTACATATCATGTCTATTTTAGTACTCTAAAGCTGAGGGTCGGGGGGGACCAGCGAGGAAGTTGTAGGATGTATGTGTTCAATCTTCTGTTTGTAACCAGAAGCTTTAAACCAGCAGAGACCTCAGACAAATCATATCCCTCCTGGGGTGACCAGGTGCAGATCTTCCAGGGAGCCGTCTAATGGAATTTCCTGGTTAATGGACACAGAGAACCACTGCTAAGAACGATTTCCTTTTCTCTTTCAATCTGCAGTACTTTTTATGAAGACTGGTCTTTTGTGATGGATGAAGAGAGGTCCAGTATGCTTCCTACCATGGCAGCAGGTAAGCCTGGCCCAGATCAGGGCGCCAGGCCTTGTGACACATGGCAGAGGGGCTGCCTTGGGGCAGTTCCACAGCGCCATGGAATGTTGTGATTCTTCTGTCCCTCAACAACTCAATGAGTCACTTGCTGCTGTCCTTCTTTTACTAGCACTGAATGTTGGTTTTTAAATTTTTATTTCTTTAAAGAGAGAGCCTCACTCTGTCACCCAGGCTGGAGTGCAGTGATGCAACCTCAGCTCACTGCAACCTCCGCCTCCTGGGTTCAAGTCATTTTTCTATCTCAACCTTCCGAGAAGCTGGGATTACAGGCGCCTGCCACCACGCCCAGCTAATTTTTGTATTTTAATAGAGATAGAGTTTCACTATGCTGGTCAAGCTGGTCTCGAACTCTTGGGCTCAAGTGATCCACCCGCCTTGGCCTTCCAAAGCGTTGGGACTGCAGGTGTGAGCCACCATGCCCAACCACAGTGTTGGGTCCATTTATCTAGAATGTGAGACCCTGGCAGAGAAAGCGAAGATTTGAAGGTTTTTAGTTGGGCTTTGGAGATGTAATATGCATTGCGGGGAATTGGAGGTGGGAGACCTATCTTTGAATCCTGGCTTTACTCCTTGCTACCTGGTGACCTGGGGCAGATGCCGTAAGCTTTGCTGCCTTTTCTTTCCTCTCTGTGAGGTGGGAATCATGCTGTCTCAGCAGTCATCTTCATGGGGCTGTGAGAGAATCATGTGAGATCAGGAGTCGCACACACGACGAATCAACATGGAGAGACCCTGGGTTGATGTTAGTCGGTGGACTGTTACATTGTTCACCCTTTGACTCAAAGGGTGAAGGTGGAATCAGCTGGACTGAAGTGGGCAACTTGCTTCCTCTTTCCAAGTTCTTTGTTGCCTCCTTTTTGTTTTTCCTTGAAAATTTATACTAAACTCATATATCTGGGCTTATGTTAGTCCTGTCCATTGATGAGAAAAAGAATTTGACCATGATTTCCTTTGTAGATCATAAGATGCCCAGTGTAAGTTTCTGTCCACATTAATGATGATGATGTTACCAGTGCACATTTGATGGTTTATGGAGCTGAGTGTTTTGTGAGAGATTGCCTTTAATACTTACAATCCTGTGAGGAAGATAATATTGTCCCCATCTTACAGATAAGGCGACTGGAGTACAGGGAGATGATAAGTTGCTGGACCAAGGTCTTTTTTTTTTTTTTGAGACGGAGTTTCACTCTTGTTGCCCAGGCTGGAGTGCAATGGCATGATCTTGGCTCACCACAACCTCTGCCTCCTGGGTTCAAGCGATTCTCCTGCTGCAGTCTCCTGAGTAGCTGGGATTATAGGCATGCACCACCACGCCTGGCTAATTTTGTAGTTTTAGTAGAGATGGGGTTTCTCCATGTTGGTCAGGCTGGTCTCGAACTCCCGACCTCAGGTGATCCGCCTGTCTCAGCCTCCCAAAGTGCTGGGATTACAGGTGTGAGCCACCATGCCCAGCCTGGATCAAGGTCTTGTAGCTAGTAGGTGGCAGTGCTGGGATTTACCCCCAGGCAGCCTGATCCCGGGACTTGTGCCTTTACCTCCTCCCAGTTGAATTCTTATTCATATTCATCTTCCTGGCTGTTAGGGAGAGAATGTGGCATGACTCAACTCCCATGATAACGGATGTCTGCTGACCCCAGTTTCATGGGAGGTTGTTTTTTTTTTTTTTTTTGAAGCCGAGTCTTGCTCTGTCACCCAGGCTGGAGTGCAGTGGCACGATCTCGGCTCCCTGCAACCTCTGTGTGGCAGGTATTTTTATACCTATTTAAGATCAACGTGTCTCCTCTTCTGTAATCTGTTGTCTGCAGCTGTCTTCTCTTATTGGTGGTATGACTGCCCATCAGCAAGCACTCCAGACTTTTCCCTTTTTTTGGACAGGTCCGAACTCCATACTCTTTGCGATTAACATTGACAACAAGGATTTGAACGGGCAGAGTAAGTTTGCTCCCACCGTTTCAGACCTCTTAAAGGAGTCAACGCAGAATGTGACCTTGCTGAAGGAGTCCACGCAAGGAGTGAGCAGCGTGTTCAGGGAGATCACAGCCTCCTCTGCCATCTCCATCCTCATCAAACCTGAACAGGAGACCGACCCCTTGCCCGTCGTGTCCAGGAATGTCAGTGCTGGTGAGTGGGAACTGGTGCTCGAGGCGGAGCAGAGGGAATCAGAATGTGGCTGATGGGGTGGACATACCTCATCATCTGAAAGTCATTCCAAGGGGAATGGAGTCCAGTGCACTTGCGTTTTCCATTTGTGTTTCTGTTTCTCATCCTCATTCACTCTGAAAGGGCTCTGATGGCCTTACCTAGATGTGAGAATTGCTGGGTGGAAAAATGAACAGCTCAACCAGAGCGAATGGAAAGTGAGGGTGTGAGAGACACCGGGAGCCAGATGACGTTGATCCTCATTCATTCATTCCTTTATTTGTTCCTTCATCGTATTCTGTGTGTTAGGCGGTGAGCCGAATAGGAAAGACAGATTGCCAGCAGGTAGCCTGCAGTCTCCTTTGGGATGGGTGTGGGTGGGTAGTTCATGACAAAATATATAATTTAGGATCCTTAGGATAAAAGGGATGAAAGCCAAGCATAGACTGCTATGGGGAACATCTGCCATTGGGCTTGCCTCTGATTGGGGATGGCATTTAAGGCCTCAGGAAAGAGAGGAGTTGTCAGGTTTGACTCTAGGCTCTGGGGAGGCAAAAGAGAGTTGATTCAGGCTGGGCATGGTGTCTCATGCCTGTAATCCTAGCACTTTGGGAGGCCGAGGCAGGAGGATCACTTGAGTTCAAGGGTTCTAGACCAGCCTGGGCAATGTAGTGAGACCCTGTCTCAATTTTTTAACTTTTTTTTTTTTTTTTTTTGAGACAGAGTCTCGCTCTATTGCCCGGGTTGGAGTGCAGTGGCATGATCTCAGCTCACTGCAACCTCCACCTCCTGGGTTCAAGCAATTCTCCTGCCTCAACCTCCCGAGTAGATGGGACTATAGGCATGTGCCAACATGCCTGGTTTCTTTTTGTATTTTTAGCAGAGACAGGGTTTCCCCATGTTGGCCAGGCTGGTCTTGAACTCCTGACCTCAGGTGATCTGCCTGCCCTGGCCTCTTAAAGTGCTAGGATTACAGGCGTGAGCCACTGTGTCCAGCCTGTTTTTAAAAAATTTTAATTAAAAAATTAAATATAAAAAAAGAAAGTTGATTCAGTTAAGATTAATTTGGTGAGAAGTTTTCAATACCCTTTGATTCCTTTGGGACATTAAGATGTTACTACAGCAAAATTGGAAATTTTGTTGTAGTATGTATGTGTATATATGTAGAGACAGGGTCTTGCCATGTTGCCCAGGCTGGTCTTGAACTCCTGGCCTCAAGTGATCCTCCTGCCTTGGCCTCCCAAAGTGCTGGGATTACAGGTGTGAGCCACTGCATCTGGTTGAAATTGGAAATTTTGGGCTTAAGTACTTAGTATTCTCAAATCTCTTAAACAAGGCAGTAACTGTGGCCATCCCTTTGGAATTATTGATGGTGACCCTGCATGAACCTTGTAGGAGATAGGGCTGTTGACAGCTTTGTGTAACAGACACTGAAATTTCTACACCCACAGGAGTAGCAGTCCCACCCATTTTTGGAACTGCTTTTGAGGTGATCTCAGAGTTGTGCTATACCAGTGAGGCCTCACCACATCACACATTGGTTTAGACAGATTGGGTTTTTGGAATTGGCTCAAAGTGTCTTACATCCAAGTGTGATGATTAAAATAGGGGCACAAAGTGTCTTCTGTGAGAGCTGGTCACTAAGGCAAGCTTGATTTCTTTTTCAGTTAGCATTTGCTATATAACAAGTGATTTAAAAATGTAGTGGCTTAAAACCACCGCAGTTCGTTACTTTTTTGTGTAGGTTGGCATGGTGGCTCTGCTGCTGGGCTCCTTCGGCTCACTCATGGGAGCTCGTGGTTAGATTGGAAGATCTAAGATGGCCCCATCCACATGTCTGGAATCAGTGCTGGGGCTGCTCAGATTCTACTCATGGACTCTCATCCTCCAGTCGGCTGAACTGGCTTCTTTATGTATGGGGTCAGGGCCACTGTCCAGGAGAGCAAAGGCAAAGCTGAGACCTTTTAACGCCTAGCTACTAGAACTCACACAGTGTTATTTCTGCCACTTTTTTTTTTTTTTTTTTTTTTTGAGACAGAGTCTTGCTCTGTCACCCAGACTGGAGTGCAATGGCGCAGTCTCAGCTCACTGCAACCTCTGCCTCCCATGTTCAAGAAATTCTCCTGCCTCAGCCTCCCAAGTAGCTGGGATTACAGGCACCTGCCACCACGCCCAACTAATTTTTTTTTTTTTTTGTATTTTTAATAGAGACGGGGTTTCACCGTGTTTGCCAGGCTGGTCTTGAACTCCTGACCTCAGGTGATCCACCCGCCTTGACCTCCCAAAGTGCTGGGATTATAGGCATGAGCCACCGCACCCGGCCCTTTCTGCCACATTCTTTTGGTAAAAGCAGGGCATGGTGGCTCATGCCTATAATCCCAGCAATTTAGGAGGCTGAGGTGGGAGTATTGCTTGAGGCCAGGAGTTTTGAGACTAGCTTGGGAAGCACAGCAAGACCTCATCTCTACAAATAATAATAAAATTAGCTGGGTGTTGTGGCATGCACCTGTAGTCCCAGCTACTCGGGAGGCTGAGGGCAGAGGATTGTTTGATCCCAGGAATTTGAGGTTACAGTGAGCTATGATTGCACCAATATACTCCAGCCTGGGCAATAGAGCGAGATGCCCCAACTCTTAAAAAAAAAAAAAAAAAGGCAGAGCACTACGCCAGCCAGATTCAAGAGGGTGCAGAAATAGACATCACCTCTGGCTGGGAGGAGCCACAAAGACCCATTGCAAAGGGGCATGGCACAGGAATGGCAGGAATTTGAGGCTGCTCAACACTTGACTACACCCCCCAGCTGGTTCTCCTGGTCTCATCTACCAGCTATGAGAATATTTTCCAAAGTGAAGCATTGAAGATCATTTTGGTAATGGTAGCATCCTTCACATCAAAGTGACTGCTTGGAAGGAACAGTTTCAAGGTGTGCTCTGTGGTGTGTTTATTTAAATCAGTGGGAGAGGCCTGCATCCATTCTGCTCAATCTTCTGTACACAGATTTTCACTGAGGATTTTAAAAAGTCTGAATTCATGTTACAGTGTATTTCTCACTAGAATAGTATTTTCCACAACCTGGAAGTGAGTTGGTTTCATCATCCTTTTGTCTTGCCTACTTTTTCTTATACTGTATCTTTTCTTTTTTTTCTTTTTTTTTTTTTGCCAGATGCCAAATGCAAAAAGGAGCGGAAGAAGAAAAAGCAAGTGACCAACATTAACTCATTTGATGATGAGGAAGATGAGCAGAACTCTGGGGACATGTTTAAAAAGACACCTGGGGCAGGGGAGAGCTCAGAGGACAACTCCGACCGCTCCTCTGTCAATATCATGTCCGCCTTTGAAAGCCCCTTCGGGCCAAACTCCAATGGAAGTCAGAGCAGCAACTCGTGGAAAATTGATTCCCTGTCTTTGAACAGGGAGTTTGGGTACCAGAAGCTTGATGTGAAAAGCATCGATGATGAAGATGTGGATGAAAACGAAGATGACGTGTATGGAAACTCATCAGGACGGAAGCACAGGGGCCACTCAGAGTCGCCCGAGAAGTAAGTTCCCCTCACGCTTCTGTGTGTGTGTGTGTGTGTGTGTGTGTGTTTGTATGTAAGATGGAGTCTCACCGTCCCCCAGGCTGGAGTGCCGTGGCGTGATCTCAGCTCACTGCAACCTCCACCTCCCGGGTTCAAGCGATTCTCCTGCCTCAGCCTCCCGAGTAGCTGGGATTGCAGGCACCTGACACCACACCCAGCTAATTTTTGTATTTTTAGTAGAGATGGGGTTTCACCATATTGGCCAGGCTGGTCTCAAACTCCTGACCTCAAGTGATCCGCCTGCCTTGGCCTCCCAAAGTGCTAGGTTTACAGGCATGAGCCACCAAGCCCAGCCTCCCCTTGTGCTTTTAATGAGGGGGTTAAGTTCACCGTTTTCTCTTTCTATGGTATTGGGTGAAATAGGTCTGCAAGTTTTATATTTGCCCAGGGTATCATTCATTCTTCAGGTGTTGATTTAGGAGTGTTATTTGGAAGGAGTGTTATTTGCTCTTCCCTTGAGAACTGAAAGAGGGGAAGAGAGTACATTTGAGGGCACTTAATACAAAGTTAATGTCAGAATGTGTGCCTTGAAATTCTTGCTTTATACATACATCTGTAATTTTCATTTCACAGGGTTCACAGGGTTTCACAGTCTGATGAGACTGTGCCTGTTATTGTTTTTTATTTTTACTCTGGATTTTCCTTGCATCTGACTTGCCACTAGCACAGGAAGCTCAGGACGAAGGCAGCGTTAGGAGAATAGTTGTGGTATGGTGACTTCTGTGTTTATCTGCAGGGGTGTGAATAGCTGTAATATCCACTGCACCTGCTGCCTTAACAGTGGAGTTGGCCAGGCGCAGTGGCTCACACCTGTAATCCCAGCACTTTGGGACACCAAGTTGGGTGGGTCACCTGAGGTCAGGAGTTTGAGACCAGCCTGACCAATATGGTGAAACCCCTTCTCTACTAAAAAAATACAAAATTAGCCAGGCATGGTGGTGCATGCCTGTAACTCCAGATACTTGGGATGCTGAGGCAGGAGAATCGCTTGAATATGGGAGGCAGAGCCAAGATGACACCATTGCACTCCAGCCTGGGCAACAAGAGAGAAGGTCCTTCTCAAAAAAAAAAAAAAAAAAAAAATTCCCAAAATACCCCAAATAAGCTAGTTACCTCTTAGGCTTTGTGGTGCACAGTGCCCTCCTAATCATGACTACTGCAAAATCCAGTCCATTAAAGTGTAAAATGAGGCCAGGTGCAGTGGTTCATGCCTGTAATCCCAGCACTTTGGGAGGCTGAGTTGGGAGGATTGCTTAAGGCCAGGAGTTTGATACCAGCCTGGGCAACATAGCAAGAACTCCGTCTCTACAAAAAATAAAAAGTGTAAAATGAATATACAGAAATGTATCTCTCTATTTGACCTAAATCTTATGGATCGCACCATTGCACTCCAGCCTGGGCAACAAGAGTGAAACTCCGTCTCAAAAATAAAAAATAAAAAAAACATTAAACTTCAAGTCCGGGTGCAGTGGCTCACACCCGTAATCCCAGCACTTCAGGAAGCTGAGGGGGGTAGATCACTTGAGGTCAGGAGTTTGAGACCAGCCTGGCCAACATGGTGAAACCCCATCTCTACTAAAACTACAAAATTAGCCAGGCATAGTGGCAGGCACCTGTAATCCCAGCTACTGGGGAGGCTGAAGCAGGAGAATCACTTGAACCCAGGAGGTGGAGGTTGCAGTGAGCCGAGATCACACCATTGCATTCCAGCCTGGGTGATAGAGCAAAGCTCCATCTCAAAAAATTAAAATAAATAAAATAAAATAATAAAATAAATTAAACTTCAGAAGGAAAGAGAGTTGTAGCCTTGATTCCTTTTTTCCCAAGACACTCCTTGAGGCCTATGCAAATTTTCCCAACTCCTCAGCAGTCACAGCTAAGTGGGCCAAAGCAAGGGCTAGTGGAAGGAGTGATCGCAGACCCCATGACACCCTTCACACAGAGCCATAGATGACTACTCAACTTACGGTCACGTCACCATGGGAGAGTCACCAAACAGCATCTCTCTCTCTGAAATGTCAACATCTATACACCCATCTAGTGTCTGGTTTAGGGTGGAAATGTGGGTGTAAGAAAAGTAATTTAGAGGTAATTACTGGCAGCTGAGGGGAGGAGACTGTTCCTCACCCAGCCTTGGGTTAGTGGAGATTTGGTGCAATGGACAAAAACAGAGGTTTTGATTTGGAGGCGAAGAAAGGGGGCAATGGCTCCAGAGGCCAAGAGCAGAGAAGGACAGCCAGGAAGTGGGCTGAGCATGGTGGACTCAGGAGATGGGGAGCCCCATCTTGGGATGCCTCAGAGACATTGTGGAGGGGGCCTGGTTTTCCTTTTTGAACATTTTTTATTGTTATTATTAATTAATTAATTTATTTATTTTTTATTTTTATTATTATTTTTTGAGATGGAGTCTCACTCTGTCATCCAGGCTGGAGTGCAGTGGCATGATCTTGGCTCACTGCAACCTCCGACTCCTACGTTCAAGCAATTCTTCTGCCTCAGCCTCCCGAGTAGCTGGGACTACAGGTGCACGTCACCACACCCAGCTAATTTTTGTATTTTTAGTAGAGACGGGGTTTCACCATATTGGCCAGGCTGGTCTTGAACTCCTGACCTCGTGATCCACCTGCCTCGGCCTCTCAAAGTGCTGGGATTACAGGCATGAACTACTGCACCCGGCCCTTTTCTTTTTTTCTTTGAGACAGAGTTTCACTCTTGTTGCCCAGGTTGGAGTGCAATGGCACAATCTCAGCTCACCGCAACCTCCACCTCTTGGGCTCAAGCGATTCTCCTGCCTCAGCCTCTTGAGTAGCTGGAATTACAGGCATGTGCCACCATGCCCTGCTAATTTTGTATTTTTGTAGTAGAGACGGGTTTCTCCATGTTTGTCAGGCTGGTCTCAAACTCCTGACCTCAGGTGATCTGCCCGCCTCAGCCTCCCAAAGTGCTTGGATTACAGGGGTGAGCCACCGTGCCTGGCCTACAAACTGGTCTATCAGCAAGGTCTTTATGACCTGTATCTTGTGCCAACCTCCTGTCTCATCCTGTGACTTAGAATGCCTTAACCTCCTGGGAATGCAGCCAAGCAGGTCTTAGCCTTATTTTACCCAGCCCCTATTCAAGATAGAGTCGCTCAGGTTCAAATGCCTCTGACACTCCTGCCTCAGCCTTTGAGACAGCTGGGACTATAGGCACACACCACCAGGCCTGGCTAATGTCTTCATTTCTATTTTGTAGGGACAGGGTCTTGCTATGTTGCCCAGACTAGTCTCAAACTCCTGGCCTCAAGCCATCCTCCCACTACAGCCTTGTAGAGTGCTGGGATTACAGGCATGAGCCACCACGCCAGGCCTTGGTTTTTCTTAGTATGTGGGCTAAAGTCATTCAATGTTGATGGTAAAGGAAAATGGGGCCGGGCACCGTGGCTCACACCTATAATCCTAGCACTTTGGGAGGCCCAGGGGGGCGGATCACCTGAGGTCAGGAATTCAAGACCAGCCTGGCCAACATGTCAAAACCCCATCTCTGCTAAAAATACAAAAATTAGCTGAACACGTTGGCTCATGCCTGTCATCCCAGCACTTTGGGAGGCCGAGCTGGGTGGATCACTTGAGGTCAGGGGTTTGAGACCAGCCTGGCTAACATGTACTAAAACTACAAACATTAGCCGGGCACAATGGTGGCTGCCTGTAATCCCAGCTACTCAGGAGGCTGAGACAGGAAAATCACTTGAACCCGGGAGGCGGAGGTTGTAGTGAGCCAAGATCGCACCACTGCACTCCAGCCTGGGCGACAATATAATAATAATAATTATTTTTTTTTGACAGAGACAAAAAATAATAATGATACTTTTTTTAAAAAAAGGAAAATGGGAGGTGATTGTAGAAGGTAGAGGATTTGGAGTGATAGTTCATTACAATTGTAATAAGGACCACAAGATGCTAAGAGTAATGAGATGTAGCGGACGTCTGCTATTTTTGCCTGTTCAGCATCCACTCGTTCTGCTTTGTGTGATAGCACCCCAAGCTTCCTTTGAACCAGTCCTTCCTTCAGCGGAGGCCGACCCCACCCCTTCACTCTGTGGGGTGGCCACATGACCCAGGTCTAGCCAATCAGCACATTCCATCCCGGAGCAGCAGCTGTGTGCCCCTAGCCCAAGCTAGGCTGCTCCTGGCTTTGTGTACCTATTAGGGGAAAATGTGTTCTCTTTTCACTGCAGTTGCTAAGCATGTGGGATGTAAGCCTGGACTTGCTGGTGGCTGCCTTTGCCACCGCTTAGGGAGATTCTGGCCAGGCATGAAGCCGGCACAGAGTAAATGAAGCAGGGCCAGGAGATGAGGAGAGATGGATTCTGATTGCATTATATGAGTACTAGGATCTGTGTCTGAAATCCAAATGGCTTTTTCTTTTCTTTTCTTTTCTTTCTTTTTCGAAACGGAGCACACTCTGTCACCCAGGCTGGAGTGCAATGGCACGATCTCAGCTCACTACAACCTCTGCCTCCCGGGTTCAAGTGATTCTACTGCCTCAGCCTCCCGTGTAGCTGGGATTACAGGCGCGCACCAACACACCCGACTAATTTTTGTATTTTTAGTAAAGACAGGGTTTCACCATGTTGGCCAGGCTGGTCTTGCACTCCTGACCTCACGTGATCTGCCCCACCTTGGCCTCCCAAAGTGCTGGGATTACAGGTGTGAACCACTGCGCCCAGCCCCAAGTGGCTTTTTCAATTACATGAGCCAACATATTCTCACAAGTCCATTCGAGTTTGGTGTCTGTTACTTGCAAATAAGGGAGTTCTGATTGGTTCCCAGTGAAACCTCATCTGTAAGACCTCTGAGCCACCAGTATCCACGGGGCTTGTCCTATAACAGCTCCTGTGCAATCCAGTAACCTTGAACACTGGAAGCCACTGAGCCCTTCTGTGAGTAGATGCACACCTCTGAGGCTAAGATTACTGGTGTACTCATTGGGACCAGTTTGGTCTCAGTGACTGAAAACTCAACCCAAACTTGTTCATTTGGAAAGGAAAAGTCAACCAGGCACAGTGGCTCATGCCTGTAGTTCCAGCGCTTTGGGAGGCTGAGGTGGACAGATCGCTTGAGCCCAGGGGTTCAAGACCAATCTGGGCAACATAGCAAAACCCTGCCTCTACAAAAAAAAAAAAAAATTCTTTTTTTTTCGAGACAGAGTCTCGCACTGTCGCCCAGGCTGGAGTGCAGTGGTGCAATCTTGGCTCACTGCAATCTCTGCCTCCCGGGCTCAAGCGATTCTCCTGCCTCAGCCTCCCGAGTAGCTGGACTACAGGCGTGCACCAACAGGGCCAGCCAATTTTTGTATTTTTAGTAGAGACAGGGTTTCACAATGTTGGCCAGGATGGTCTCGATTTCTTGACCTCGTGATCTGCCTGCCTCGGCTTCCCAAAGTGCCGGGATTACAGGCATGAGCCACCGGTGCCTGGCCTCTACAAAAAATATTTTAAATTAGCAGGCATGATGGTGCATGCCTGTAGTCCCAAATGGGCAAAGTTGTTCTCTGATTGGCTGAGGTCTTTGTCACCTGCTCCACCCCTGAGCTGGAGCCCCACCCAAAGTAATTGACTGAAAGGGGGTGTTCTCCAGTGGGAAATTAGGTAAGGTTTACATTATTTGGCCCTAACTCTTCACCCTTCCCCCTACCCATGCCCTTGGCCATGTAATTTTGCAGTGCCCTCCTGTCACAGGCAGGATGACCTGATGCCTCTTTTTTCTTTTTTGAGATGGAGTCTCACTCTGTCGCCCAGGCTGGAGTGCAATGGTGCAATCTCAGCTCTCTGCAACCTCCACTTCCTGGGTTCAAGAGATTCTCCTGCCTCAGCCTCCCAAGTAGCTGGGATTACAGGCGCCTGCCACCACACCCAGCTAATTTTTGCATTTTTAGTAGAGAAAGGGTTTCGCCATGTTGGCCAGGCTGGTCTTGAACTCCTGACTTCAGGTGATCCTCCTCGCCTGCCTTGCCTCCCAAAGTGCTGGGATTACAGGCATGAGCCACCACGCCCGGCCCTGCCTCTTGAGCTGGGGAGTTCAAGACCAGCCTGGGCAACATAATGAGATTTCAGCTCTATTAAAAATAATAATAATTAAAAAAAAAAAAGAATGGCCCTACCTTTCACTGGCAGGGAAGGGTGGAGGGCCCTCCTGTCATCTCCAAATCATAGTACTGTCCCCACCAGCCATAGCTGATCATTTTAGGAGTGGTTCCAAGGAGTCCCAAGCTGGGCCCATTACAGCCTCTCCTGGAGGGTTACAATTGGATGAGAAGCCAATCGATATCCTCTATAATTAAAAATATAAGAACTTAGGAGTCATGGGGCAGCTGTGTTTAGTTGAAAGCCTAGAGAAGCAGAGAGAGTCCATGTGTTTGTTACTTACGGTAATGCTGGCTGCTGGAACAGATAAGCCCCGAAATCTCTGTGGCTTAACATCACAGAAGTTTATTACCTGCTCAGATAACAGTCTAAGGCAGATGTGCCACATGGCGATTCAGGGACTGCTACCTTGTGGTTCTGCTGTCTCTCGGGGCCTCGGCTGGTAGATAGCAAACAATGCAGACAGGAGAAGACAGATCCATGATCTTAACCATCTCAGCCCCAGACAGGGGACCGCGTCATTTCCACCCACCTTCCATCAGCAAGAACCAGTCACATGAGCACATCTAACAGCAATGAAGGCTGGGAAATACGTGCCCAGGAAGGGAGGAATCAGTTTCTTTGCAGAGGAGAGAGGGAACAGAAGAGAGGGAAAGGGGGAAAATAGAGAGACGGAGGGAGAGAAAGAGAGAAGAACTAATGAGCACAGAACTAAGAAAGCCCAGGCACAGTGGCTCACATCAGTAATTCTAGGGCCTTGGGAGGCAAGACAAGAGAATCACTTGAGGCCATGAGTTCAAGGGCAGCCTAGGCAACATAGTGGGACCCTATCTCCACAAAAATAATAATATTATTATTATTAAATAAAATAAAAGGAAGAGACAGCCATGAAGATAACTAGCTGAGGCCAGGTACAGTGGCTCATGCCTATAATCCCAACACTTTGGGAGGTTGAGGTGGACAGATTGCTTGAGGTCAGAAGTTCCAGACCAGACTGAATAACATAGCAAAACCCCATCCCTACTAAAAATACAAAAATTAGCTGGGCGTGGTGGCAGGCACCTGTAGTCCCAGCTACTCGGGAGGCTGAGGCAGGAGAATCACCTGAACCTGGGAGGCGGAGGATGCAGTGCGCTGAGATCATGCCACTGCACTCCAGCCTGGGTGACAGAGCGAGACCCTGTCTCAAAAAAAAAAAAAAAAAAAATCACCTGGCTTGTTAAAACAGATTCCTGGACCCCACCCCAGAATTTGATTCAGGTTGGGAGTGAGGCCTGTGAAGTTGCATTTCTAGCAAATTCCCAGGTGATGCTCATGCCGCTGGTCCCAAACCACACTGTGAAGTGCCAGTTCCAGACTAGGAGACTCCAAAGAGACACTGGAGCCAACCACAATGTGCAAACCTGATTGGGTCCTGATTTGGAAATTAAACATCTTTAAAATGCATTCAGGGAATAATTGGGTTCATTTGAACGTGGACTCAATATTAGAAAATTTCTATTGATTTTCTTGGGTAGGGTGGTGACATGTGGCTGGCTATAAGGGAAGATGTCTTTATTTTTAGGAGATTCACATTGAAGTCATTATAGGGGTCAAGTGACATGATATCTACAGCTAACTTTTATTTCACTTATTTATTATTATTATTATTTTAGAGACAGGGTCTTGCTCTGTCACCCAGGCTGGAGTGCAGTGGCATGATCGTAGCTCACTGCAGCCTCAAACTCCTGAGATCAAGCGATCCTCCTGCCTCAGCCTCTCCAATAGCTGGGACTACAGGCCCACACCACCATGCCTGGCTTACAACTAACTTTTAAATGTTGGCCAGGCGCAGTGGCTCACGCCTGAAATCCAAGCACTTTGGGAGGCCGAGGCAGGCGGATCACTTGAGGTCAGGAGTTCAAGACCAGTCTCGCCAACATGATGAAACCTCGTCTCTACAAAAAATACAAAAAATTAGCTGGGCATGGTGGCAGGTGCCTATAATTCCAGCTACTCAAGAGGCTGAGGCAGGAGGATCACTTGAACCCAGGAGGCGGAGGTTGCAGTGGGCCAAGATCATGCCACTGCACTCCAGCCTGAGCATTAGAGCGAGACTCCATCTCAAATAAATAAATTAATTAACATTTCAGCAAAATACACACATGCACACAGACAAAGAAAATATGACAAAATGGTAATTATTGAATTTCAGGATAGGTGTATGAGTGACAATTATACCACTTTTTCAACTCTTCTATGTTTAGATGCTTTAAATATTTAAAGCTAGGGGCTGGGTGCAGTAGCTCATGCTTGTAATCATCATATTTTGAGGGGCTGAGGTGGGAGCATAGCTTGAGCCCAGCAGTTCGAGGCTGCAGTGAGCTATGATCACACCACTGCCCTCCGGGCTGGGCAGCAGAGCAAGACCCTGTCTCAAAAAAATATAAAATAAAATGAAATAAATCTGGGGAGCACGTGGGGGAGGGACTAGTGCATCACAGCCTAATTGAACGAGCAGGAGACTGCCATGGGATGAGGCCAGGCCCAACTGTGTCAGTCCCTCTGGGTCATTCTAAGGACTTCGGATTCTATCCTGAATGCATGAGGAAACCCTTGAAGGCCTTAAGCAGAGAGTGACATGGTCTGATTTTCTTTTAAGCTGTAGCTTTGTTTTTGAGATGGGGTCTTGCTAAATTGCCCAGGCTAGTCTCGAACTCCTGGGCTCAAGTGATTCTCCTGCCCCAGCCTCCCAAGTAGCTGAGATTACAGATAAGTGCCACCACGCCCAGCTAATTTTTGTATTTTTAGTAGAGACGGGGTTTCACCATGTTGGCCAGACTGGTCTCAAACTCCTGACCTCAAGTGATTCGCTTGCCTCAGCTTCCCAAAGTGCTGGGATGACAGGTGAGAGCCACTGTGCCCAGCCAATTGTACATTTTTAAATAACTCAAAGAGTGTAATTGAATTGTTTGTAACACAAAGGATAAATGCTTGATGTAATGGATCCCCATTTACCCTGATGTGATTATTATGCATTGCATGCCTGTATTAAAACATCTCATGCACCCCATACATATATATGCCTACTATCTACCCACAAAAATTAAAAAATGAAAACATTATCCTTTTGATGCTTGGCCACATGGAGGACACAGCAAACGGTTCATGGCCAAGCACAAGAGAGCCACTAATGTCTGCACCAGGAAGGGATAATTATCCAATTATAACCCAGAGGCAGCCTCTGGTGTCAATAGCTGATTGTTCTGAACAAGTCCAGATTCTATGCTTCCCCAAAGCTGTGTGAAATTTAAAAATTCATAATCATTGGCAAATGATAATCGTAATACACATGCCAAGGCACTACCCAGACCAAGGAAATCCAATTCCCTTGGCACCAGGATCAAATCCAAGATCCCCAGGGGATTCTTTCTTTCTTTATTTTGAGACGGATTCTGCTCTGTCACCCAGGCTAGAGTGCAGTGACGCAATCTCAGCTCACTGCAACCTCCACTTCCGGGTTCAAGCACTTCTCCTGCCTCAGCCTCCTGAGTAGCTGGGATTACAGGCACCCGCCACCACGCCTGGCTAATTCTGTATTTCTAGTAGAGACGGAGTTTTAGCACGTTGGCTAGGCTAGTCTCGAACTCCTGGTCTCAGGTGATCTGCCCACCTAAGCCTCCCGAAGTGCTGGGATCACAGGCGTGAGCCACCACACCTGGCCTCAGGGGATTCTTGATTGCAGCCAGGCAGAGCCTGCAGTCCCAGGGTGGGGAGTTCCAGCAGTCCTATGAAGGACTGGCTCCAGGGTCCCTGAGCACAAGGTTGCAAGGCCATGTTGTCACACTCTGGACCTCTTGTTTGTTTGTTTGTTTTTTGAGACGGAGTCTCGCTCTTTCGCCCAGGACGGACTGCAGTGGCACGATCTCGGCTCACTGCAAGCTCCGCCTCCTAGGTTCATGCCATTCTCATGCCTCAGCCTCCTGAGTAGCTGGGACTACAGGCGCCCGCCACCGCGCCCAGCTAAATTTTTTGTATTTTTAGTAGAGACGGGGTTTCACCATGTTAGCCAGGATGGTCTCGATCTCCTGACCTCGTGATCCACTTGTCTAAGCCTCCCGAAGTGCTGGGATTACAGACGTGAGCCACTGCGCCCAGCCAACAGATAGGTACAGTCTTTATCTGTTCGTGTGGCTATAAGAAAGTACCAGAGACTGGGTTATTTATAAAAAATGGAAATTTTGGCCAGGCACAGTGGCTCACGCCTTTAATCCCAGCATGCTGGGAGGCCAGGGCAGGTGGATCGTGTGACCTTAGGAGTTCGAGATCAGCCTGGGCAACATGACGAAACCCTATCTGTACAACGCTAAGAAAAAAAAAAAAAAGCAGGGTGTGGTGGTGCATACCTGTAATCCCAGCTACTCGGGAGGCTGAGGTGGGAGAATCACTTGAACCCAGGAGGCAGAGGTTGCAGTGAGCTGAGATCGTGCCACTGCACTCCAGCCGAGGTGACAGAGACCCTGTCTCATACATACAAACAAACAAAACCCAGAAATTTCTTTCTCACAGTTCTGGAGGCTAGGAAGGCCAAGATTAAGTTACCAGCAGGTTGGTATCTGGTGAGGGCATGGTGGCCATTTCCAATATGGCACCTTGCTGCTATGTCCTCCCGGGGGGACCAGTGCTGTGTCTTCAAGTGACAGAGGGATGTAAGGGCAATGAAAGGGCCTAGCTCGTTCCTGCCAACCTTTTTATGAGGTTACTAATCCCATGCCCTCATGACTTAATGATGCCCCACCTCTTAATACTACCAGACTGGTGGTTAAGTTTTAACATATGAATCTTGGGGAACACATTCAGACCACAGCAGATATATTGTAGAAAAGAATAGTCCGTAAATTCCCAGCAGTAACACTTCGCATATTTTGCCTCTTATTACTTGGAGTATACTGTGTTTCATATGGCTTTTTAAACTTTGTAAAAACTGCAGCAAGTGCCTGATTACTTAGGGCTTCTTTATCTAGTGACAGACTATTTAGTCCATTAATTTTGTGCTGTACAACAGGAAAGAGAGAGAAAATGACTTCTGCAGAGACTGAATCATCTTTATGTCCTCTATGGTAGTTGGCACTTAGTAGATATTGAATAAAAAACAGGCTGGGCAAGATGGCTCATGCCTGTAATCCCAGTACTTTGGGAGGCTGAAGCAGGTGGATCACTTGAGCTCAGGAGTTCAAGACCAGCCTGGGCAACATGGTAAAATCCTATCTCTACAAAAACTATAAAAAGTAGCGGGATGTGGTGGCATGTGCCCATAGACCCAGCTACTTGGAAGGCTGAAGTGGGAGGATTGCTTGAGCCCGGGGGGTGGAAGTTGGACTGAGCCAAGGTCCAGCTCCAGCCTGGGCCACAGAGGGAGACCCTGTCTCAAAACAAACAAATCTCTTTAACTCCCAAAATGGAAAGTTCTCCAAGATATATGTTAAGTGATTAAAAAAAAAAAAAAAAAAAAGGGCCAGCCTGGCATGCTGGCTCATGCCTGTAATCCCAGCACTTTGGGAGGCCGAGGAAGGCAGATCACCTGACGTCAGGAGTTCGAGACTAGCCTGACCAACATGGGGAAACCCCGTCTCTACTAAAAATACAAAATTAGCCAGGTGCGGTGGCGCATGCCTGTAATCCCAGCTACTCGGGAGGCTGAGGAGGAGAATCGCTTGAACCCAGGAGGCGGAGGCTGTGGTGAACCGAGATAGCACCACTGCACTCCAGCCTAGGCAACAAGAGCGAAACTCCATCTCAAAAAAAAAAAAAAAAACCGCATCTCTACTAACAATACAAAAATTAGCTGGGCAAGGAGCTAGGTGATTATAGTACCAGCTACTCAAGAGGCTGATGCAGGAGAATCACTAAACCGCATCTCTACTAAAAATACAAAACTTAGCCAGGCAAGGAGCCGGGTGACTATAGTACCAGCTACTCAAGAGGCTGATGCAGGAGAAACACTTGAACCCGGGAGGTGGAGTTTGCAGTGAGTTGAGATTGCACCACTGCATTCCAACCTGGGCAACAGTGCGAGACCCTGTCTCAAAAGAAAAAAATAATATAAAGTGACCAGGTGTGGTGACTCACACCTGTTATCCCACCACTTTGGGTGGAAGCAGGAGGATCACTGGAGCCCAGGAGTTTGAAACCAGCCTAGGCAACATAGTGAGACCCTGTCTCTATATTAAACACACACACACATGCACACACACACACACACACAAAGGCAGCCAGACTATGCACTAGGAACTGCCCTGGGAATCCCTTTGCGTTCTCACAACAATCCCATTTCACAGATGAAGAAACCAAGGCACAGAAATATTAAGTAATGTGTCCAGGTGCGGTGGCTCACGCCTATAATCCCAGTACTTTGGGAGGCTGAGGCAGGCAGATCACGAGGTCAGGAGTTCGAGACCATCCTGGCCAACATGGTGAAACCCTGTCTCTACTAAAAATACAAAAATTAGCTGGATGTGGTGGCAGGTTCCTGTAATTCCAGCTACTCAGGAAGCTGAGGCAGGAGAATTGCTTGAACCCGGGAGGTGGAGGTTGCAGTGAGCCGAGATCACACCACTGCACTCCAGCCTGGGTGACAGAGCAAAACTCCGTCTGAAAAAAAAAAAAAAAAAGAAGAAGAAGAAATACTAAGTAACTTGTCTGAGGCCACTTAGTTACCAAGACGTGGGAGCTGGGACTTGAACCCAGGCAGTCTGCAGTCTGACTGGATTCATGCCTGCAGCCTCTGCACTCCTGCTACTTACTGTGTGAGAAGCGCCTGTTCTGTGGAAGGTTGTGGGCTGAGATCTTTCCATGAGTTCCACTCATTTACCCCCAAGGCTGTTCTTAAAGACAGGCATGACAGTTATGCCCATTTTACAGATGCGGCCCTGAGGCTCACAAGGGCACGCCACTCGCCCATTTCCACAAAGCTATAGCTCGTTAGCGGAGGGCAGAATTCGGCCGCCTCTCCCCTAGCTCGAAGGCTGTGATTGACACAGAGGTTTTTGTTGTTGTTGCTGTTGTTTGTTCTTTTTTCTTTTTTTTTTTTTTTTTGAGACAGGGTCTTGCTCTGTCATCCCGGCTGGAGTGCAGTGGTGCGATCTCAGCTCACTGCAAACTCTGCCTCCAAGATGCAAATGATTCTCGTGCCTCAGCCTCCCAAGTAGCTGGAATTACAGGTGTGCACTACCACGCCCAGCCGTTTTTTGTAGAGATGGGGTTAGTAGAGATTTGTTTAATAGAGATGGGGTTTCACCATGGTCTCTACTAAACCCTGTCTCTACTAAAAATACAAAAATTACCCAGACGTGGTGGCACATGCCTGTAGTCCCAGCTACTCAAGAGGCTGAGGCAGGAGAATCACTTGAACCTGGGAGGTGGAGGTTGCAGTGACCCAAAATCATGCACTCTAGCCTGGGGTCTCGCTTTTGCCCAGGTTAGAGTGCAGTGGCACAATCACAGTGGCTCACTGCAGCCTCAAACTCCTGGGCTGAAGGGAATCCTCCCACCTCAGCCTCCCAAGTAGTTAGGACTATAGGCATGTGCCATCCTGGCGAGTTAATTTTTTGTGTGTTTTTATTCTCTCGAGACAGAGTCTTGCTCTGTTGCTCAGGCTGGACTGCAATGGCGTGATCTTGGCTCACCGCAACCTCCACCTCCGGGGTTCAAGCAATTCTCCTACCTCAGCCTCCCGAGTAGCTGGGATTACAGGTGCGTGCCACCATGCCTGGCTAATTTTGTATGTTTAGTAGAGACAGGTTTCGCCGTGTTGGTCAGGCTGCTCTCGAACTCCTGACCTCGTGATCCACCTGCCTCGGCCTCTCAAAGTGTTGGGATTACAGGCATGAGCCACTGAGCCTGGCCTGGTGAGCTAATTTTTAAATTTGTTATAGAGACAAGAGAGACAAGAGTCTCTCTTATGTTGCCCAGGCTGGTCTCGACCCCCTGGCCTCAAGTGATCCTCCCACCTCAGCCTCCCAAAGTGCTGGGATTACAGATGGGTGTCACCGCACCTGGCCTCTGAGGAGGATTTCATTATAAACCTGCCCTGAAGGGAGGGAATCCAATTTTACGAGAGGGTGTAGCCTGGTGAGGCCTGGATGACCTCCGGAGGCAGGGGCTTGTGCCTGGGCTGAGGCCTAAGGGACAATGGGCAGACATGAAGTTGCCCCAGGCAGAGGGTACAGTGTGGGCAAAGTCAGGAAGTGGCAGGGCTTGGATCACTCCAGGAAGAGAGAGGAGTCATGTGTCACAGGAGCTCGAGACCCAGAGAGGGAGGCAGGCAGGCAGGCAGGGACCAAGCTTGGGCACAGCCAGGAAGGCAGGACAGGGCATGGTGGGGCCAATGGAATCATTACCCAAGACGGGGATTTTCAGGGAAACAGCTTAGATAAGGCCAGGCGTACAGTAGCTCCCACCTGTAATCCCAGCATTTGGGGAGGCTGAGGTAGGAGGACTGCTGAGCCTGGGAGCTCGAGACCAGCCTAGGCAACATAGTGAGACCCCATATCCATAAAAAATTTAAAAAAGGAGTTTGTGTTCCTGTAGTAGCAGACTTGGGAGGTTGAGGTGGCAGTATCACTTGAGCCCGGGAGTTCAAGGCTAAAGTGAGCTGATTGAGCCATTGCACTCCAGCCTGAGCAACAGAGAGATACGCTGTCTCAAAGGAAATACAAATTAAAAAACCAGCCGGGCATGCTGGCGTGTGCCTGTAGTCTCAGCTACTTGGGACACTGAAGTGGGAGGATCGCTTGAGCCCAGGAGTTCAAGGCTGCCGTGAGCTATGATTGTGCCTCTGCAGTCCAGCCTGGGCGACAGAGAAAGACCCTGTCTCTTAAAAAAAAAAAAATCTTAGATAAGAGGATGCTGTGCCTCCCTGGGGGTCTTCAGTCACCCATAGTCCTGGCAAGAGAGGAGGGCCAGGAGAGAGCTTCACCCACCTGCTGTCCTGCCCATATGACATCCGCAGGTGCTGCCATGGCCACGACTGATGTTACACTCGAGCTGAGGAGGCCGGCTGCAGCCCCAAGACAGAGCGCTACTCCTGGCAGTGCGTCAATCAGAGCGTCCTGTGCGGTGAGTCCCCAGCACCACCATGCCACCCACCCCGAGTATCTCCTGGGCATCCTGGCATAGCCAGATGACTTCCGTGCCCCTGTTGCAATAACCACTGCTTCCAAGTCTCTATAGACCACCCCTTGGGTATATCTAATGTAAGTGATATTTATTTTATTTATTTTTTGAGTCAGTCTCGCTCTGTCACCCAGGCTAGAGTGTGCTGATGTGATCTCGGCTCACTACAACCTCTGCCTCCTGGGTTCAAGCGATTCTCGTGCCTCAGCCTCCCAAGTGGCTGGGACTACAGGCATGCACCATGACGCGCAGCTAATTTTTGTATTTTTTTCAGTAGAGGTGGGGTTTCCCCAAGTTGGCTGGGCTGGTCTCAAACTCCCCACCTCAAGTGCTTTGCCCGCCTCGGGCTCCCAAAGTGCTGGGATTACAGGCATGAGCCGTGGTGTGTGGCCCTAATGTGAGTGATCTTTAACACTGAGCACTTGAAAAAGAAAACCCTGAAGAAACCTAATTCTTTGATGTCTGGACGACAAGGAAGAAGATAGAAATGGCATCAGATAATAAACAGTGTAAATGTTTATCAGAAAGAGGCTGGTGGTCGGGACAAGTAGGAGGATCGCTTGAGTCCAGGAGTGCATCTCTACAAAAAAGTTAAAGGATTTTTTAACATTGGCCAGGCGTGGTGGCACACATCTGTGATCCCAGCTACTTGGGAGGCTGGGGCAGGAGGATTGCTTGAAGCCCAGGAGGTTGAGGCTGCAGTGAGCTGTGATCGAGCCACTGCACTCCAGCCTGGATGACACAGCAAAATCCAGTCTCAAAAAAAATAATAATAATATTTTACATAACCAACCACTTCTAAAGATTAAAAAAAAACCCCTATGATTAAAAACCTCAGGTCCCTCAGGCAATCATACCAGATATCGAAACAAAGCAATAACATAAGGACTGCAGTATTTATTTTATTTTTATATTATTTATTTATTCTTTGTTAGTTTTTGGAGTGTGGGTTTTGTTTTGTTTTTTGAATTTTTTATTTTGTTCTACTCGGTTTTATTCTTATTGCTCAGGCTTGAGTGCACTGGCCTCTTCTCAGCTCAACCTCCGCCTCTTGGGTTCGGGTAATGATGGTTCCACGTCAGCGGCCCTCCGCCTCTTGGGTTTGCGTGACGGTTCCACGTCACCGACCCTCCGCCTCTTGGGTTCGGGTGATGATGGTTCCACGTCAGCGGCCCTCCGCCTCTTGGGTTTGCGTGACGGTTCCACATCACCGACCCTCCGCCTCTTGGGTTCGGGTGATGATGGTTCCACGTCAGCGGCCCTCCGCCTCTTGGGTTTGCGTGACGGTTCCACGTCACCGACCCTCCGCCTCTTGGGTTCGGGAGGTGGTTCCATCTCAGCCGCCCTCTGCCTCTTGGGTTTGCGTGGTTTTTCTGCCTCAGCCTCCTGAGTAGCTAAGGGAGGTGTCTTGAGATTATCATCGGCTGAGGGTGGAAGCGGCCCCCGCAGACGCTCGGCAGGTGTCTTGATATTATCATCTGCTGAGGGTGGAGCTGAGGGTGGAAGGGGAGTGAGCTGACGCTCGGAAGGTGTCTTGAGATTATCATCCGCTGAGGGTGGAAGCGGCCCCCGCAGACGCTCAGCAGGTGTCTTGATATTATCATCTGCTGAGGGTGGAGCTGAGGGTGGAAGGGGAGTGAGCTGACGCTCGGAAGGTGTCTTGAGATTATCATCCGCTGAGGGTGGAAGCGGCCCCCGCAGACGCTCGGCAGGTGTCTTGATATTATCATCTGCTGAGGGTGGAGCTGAGGGTGGAAGGGGAGTGAGCTGACGCTCGGAAGGTGTCTTGAGATTATCATCCGCTGAGGGTGGAAGCGGCCCCCGCAGACGCTCGGCAGGTGTCTTGATATTATCATCTGCTGAGGGTGGAGCTGAGGGTGGAAGGGGAGTGAGCTGACGCTCGGAAGGTGTCTTGAGATTATCATCCGCTGAGGGTGGAAGCGGCCCCCGCAGACGCTCGGCAGGTGTCTTGATATTATCATCTGCTGAGGGTGGAGCTGAGGGTGGAAGGGGAGTGAGCTGACGCTCGGAAGGTGTCTTGAGATTATCATCCGCTGAGGGTGGAAGCGGCCCCCGCAGACGCTCCCCGCAGACGCTCGGCAGGTGTCTTGATATTATCATCTGCTGAGGGTGGAGCTGAGGGTGGAAAGGGAGTGAGCTGACGCTCGGAAGGTGTCTTGAGATTATCATCCGCTGAGGGTGGAAGCGGCCCCCGCAGACGCTCGGCAGGTGTCTTGATATTATCATCTGCTGAGGGTGGAGCTGAGGGTGGAAGGGGAGTGAGCTGACGCTCGGAAGGTGTCTTGAGATTATCATCTGCTGAGGGTGGAAGCGGCCCCCGCAGACGCTCGGCAGGTGTCTTGATATTATCATCTGCTGAGGGTGGAGCTGAGGGTGGAAGGGGAGTGAGCTGACGCTCGGAAGGTGTCTTGAGATTATCATCCGCTGAGGGTGGAAGCGGCCCCCGCAGACGCTCGGCAGGTGTCTTGATATTATCATCTGCTGAGGGTGGAGCTGAGGGTGGAAGGGGAGTGAGCTGACGCTCGGAAGGTGTCTTGAGATTATCATCCGCTCAGGGTGGAAGCGGCCCCCGCAGACGCTCAGCAGGTGTCTTGATATTATCATCTGCTGAGGGTGGAGCTGAGGGTGGAAGGGGAGTGAGCTGACGCTCGGAAGGTGTCTTGAGATTATCATCGGCTGATGGTGGAAGCGGAATCCGCAGACGCTCAGCAGGTATCTTGATATTATCATCTGCTGAGGGTGGAGCTGAGGGTGGAAGGGGAGTGAGCTGACGCTCGGAAGGTGTCTTGAGATCATCCGCTGAGGGTGGAAGGCAGGTGTCTTGATATTATCATCTGCTGAGGGTGGAGCTGAGGGTGGAAGGGGAGTGAGCTGACGCTCGGAAGGTGTCTTGAGATTATCATCCGCTGAGGGTGGAAGCGGCCCCCGCAGACGCTCGGCAGGTGTCTTGATA
Source organism: Homo sapiens (assembly GCF_000001405.40). Lineage (NCBI taxonomy): Eukaryota > Metazoa > Chordata > Mammalia > Primates > Hominidae > Homo > Homo sapiens. Next base: position 21,404,226 of record NC_000016.10, read on the forward strand.
TTATCATCTGCCTGAGGGTGGAGCTGAGGGTGGAAGGGGAGTGAGCTGACGCTCGGAAGGTGTCTTGAGATTATCATCCGCTGAGGGTGGAAGCGGCCCCCGCAGACGCTCGGCAGGTGTATTGATATTATCATCTGCTGAGGGTGGAAGGGCATGATATGACGCTCGGAAGGTGTCTTGAGATTATCATCCGCTGAGGGTGGAAGCGGCCCCCGCAGACGCTCGGCAGGTGTCTTGATATTATCATCTGCTGAGGGTGGAGCTGAGGGTGGAAGGGGAGTACGGACGCTCGGAAGGTGTCTTGAGATTATCATCCGCTGAGGGTGGAAGCGGCCCCCGCAGACGCTCGGCAGGTGTCTTGATATTATCATCTGCTGAGGGTGGAGCTGAGGGTGGAAGGGGAGTGAGCTGACGCTCGGAAGGTGTCTTGAGATTATCATCCGCTGAGGGTGGAAGCGGCCCCCGCAGACGCTCGGCAGGTGTCTTGATATTATCATCTGCTGAGGGTGGAGCTGAGGGTGGAAGGGGAGTGAGCTGACGCTCGGAAGGTGTCTTGAGATTATCATCCGCTGAGGGTGGAAGGGGATGGAGCAGACACTCGGCACGTGTCTTGAGATTATCATCCGCTGAGGGTGGAGCTGAGGGTAGAGCTGAGGGTGGAAGGGGAGTGAGTAGACACTCGGGAGGTGTCTTGAGATTATCATCCGCTGAGGGTGGAAGGGGAGTGAGCAGACACTCAGGAGGTGTCTTGAGATTATCATCCGCTGAGGGTGGAAGGGGAGTGAGCACACACTCGGGAGGTGTCTTGAGATTATCATCCGCTGAGGGTGGAAGGGGAGTGAGCACACACTCGGGAGGTGTCTTGAGATTATCATCCGCTGAGGGTGGAAGGGGAGTGAGCAGACACTCGGGAGGTGTCTTGAGGCTCAGGGAGTTATCAGTTATAGAATGTTGTTGAGTTGGAGGAGGTGGCTGGTGGCCCATCCTGTTTTTTAAAGTTTCAGCTGTGAGGTAGGGCCAGTAGGGCAATCCTGAAGAATGACGATGCTCCGCTGCCGCCATTCTGACCTGTAGGGCCAAAGGAGGGAATGTTTTCACACATATTCATTTGATGGACAAAATTACCGCCACCAACACAGTCTGCACCTTCTGTTGCTGGTGATAGATTTTTGCACCTTTCCATCCTCCAGGTTTCAAAATAGCAGTATCAGTGTCATAATATCACCCTTCCACTGAGTACTGCCGACAGCTGGAGGGTAAAGGAAAGTCATTGGGACACACTGTTGTCTCCACATGCCACTGTGTCTGTCTGCAAATGTAGGCAGGCTGGGGTCCTGCCCCAGGGAAGACAGAGTCATAACAGAGTAATAAAGAAGCATGTTTGAGACACAGGAGTGTCTATGTCTATCCTCATTCCTCCCTCACAGCCATCACCAGAGCATGTTTCTTGCACCAGGTCAACAGACAGTAAGAGACAGTAAGAGAGGCATGAAAAGCCCACTGTCCACACATGTTGCAGCTTCTTTTTGGAGAATGTTTTCCAGGCCTTTTATGTTCTGTCTCTGATTCTCAGAACTCTGCAAGGTCAGTGTGACCACCCTGCTCCAAATCTAAGAAAACAGAGGTTTCCAGAGGAAGGAGAAATTGTGCCCAGGGTCACACAGCTTGCAAGAGGCAGAGTGGAAGTTGATTCCAGCTCTGCCTGCAGGACCCTCTCATTTCCCCTCTGTTTCCCTTCTTGACAAAGGATCTTCTTCACTCTGGAGGTGCCACCCATGAGAACAAAGAGCTCTGGAGAGATGTGGATTCCTGAAGAGCTGCAGGGGAACTGGGAGAGGGTTTTCTGACAGAACAATCTCACCTCAAGAAGTCACTTAGGCATGGCTGTAATATTTCTTTTCACTCCCAGGTAATACCAAATTGTAAGTGCACTAGGACATAAAGAATACTTTTGTCCATGGAAAAATGAGGTGGGAATTCTAAACAAAGCAAGTTTTAAAACTGTGTTTCACTTCAAGTGTACAAGTCCCATCACGTGTAATCATAGGACTCGGCAGCTTTTGAAGGTACAGAGGCCACACAAGAACCAGCTTAGCTGAGCATCATTTAAGGCCTTCATTTGGAATTGTCCCTGTGGGTAATAAGTTACATTCACTCTTCACTAGTTTACAGTCAGGGCCCATCTGCTATTACAAATACGGAACCTCTGACACTTAGAATATTAGATCAGGGGCCCCACTGGGTGGGGATGAAGGTGTTTTTGCGCAACACGGTTACCAACAGGGATGGGACTGTGATGCTTGTAGGCAGCCTTTCTCTCTGCCATCTCCCTCTGCAGGGCTTGAGCACAGAGCTGTAGGGAGAAAAATGTATCCATGTCCTGACCTGGCAGACTATGTCCAAAAGCAAGGAAAACAAGCAAACTTACCCAGTTGCAAAGAGCCTTTCTTGCAGAAGGGGGGATCTGAAAAAGCCAACACATGAGAAATTGAATGTTGAGAGAGTCTAAGGGCCGTGGCATCATCTGCATCAGCACTGAACTATCCTGCAACTGCAGGGAGGAAGCTCCTTACTTTGCATTTGTGGTAGTCCTCTGCTCGCCGCCGCAACTCTTGCGCACGTTGAAACATTTTCCTATGGATTACAATCACTTTCATCAGATAAAGCACCACTTTCAGGATGATTTTAAATAATCTGCCATGTTTCTGTTATCCTCACAACTGTACCCTTACACAATCTATCTCTACCTAGAAAACGTATTTCAGATGGCTAGAAGAGTACAGTCTGAGCCGGTCACGGTGGCTGACGCCTGTAATCCCAGCACTCTGGGAGGGCGGGGCGGATGGATCACGAGGTCAGGAGATTGAGACCATTGTGGCTAATATGGTGAAACCCCTTCTCTACTAAAAATACAAAAAATTAGCCAGGCGTGGTGGCAGGCACCTGTAATCCCAGCTACTCGGGAGGCTGAGGCAGGGGAATCACTTGAACCTGGGAGGCGGAGGTTGCAGTGAGCCAAGATCACGTCATTGCACTCCAGCCTGGGTGACACAGCGAGACTCCATCTCAGAAAAACAAAAACAAAAACAAAAAAACTGTACAGTCTGATCCAAACTGTTGCTGTATTGATTCCTCCTCTTGCTTACTGCCTGCTGACTTCTGAGATGATAGTTTCCTTCCCCATTCTCAGTACATCCCTAATTCATCCTTCATTGAGCATCTTTTATCATAAAGCTGTATTCTCTTTGTATTAATATCCTTACCGTGTTTCACAGGGCAGAAACAGCTGGGCTTATAAACAGGCATAGTCCTTTTGAAGGATGTGGTTGATCCTACAACAACACACTTTCCTAAGGATGACAACAACTCACCCCACCCCTAGAATGGCTGGTATGAACCGAGTTTCCACACAGTCTAGCTGGCAATGGGGTCAGGAGACGTTTTGCTACTTCACATCTTTTGGTCACTGGTAAATATTAAGGTACTTTGTTTTCTGTTTTGTGAACTCTCTCTCGCTCTCTCTCACGATATGTCTTCTGACCGTTTGTTTCTATTTCTGCATTTACTGGGTCTAAATACTGTACAAAGGTTAAAAACAACACTCCAATGGGCGTTTCCCAAGAGGGTGGGGTACAGTTTCTGAACTCACTTGTAGGTGTGTATTTCTTTCATATCCAATTTCCCATTTTCCTCTGCCTCTGATACCTGCCTCTCCTTTTCTGCATGCTCACATTCTTTCACGCTTAGTTTCCTCAGATTAGAAGGGAGAGAAATGCACACACATGATCCACCAGCCCGTGTGGGATTCCCTCTGCCCTTCTGGCATCTGAAGGCTGTGATTCAAAGATCCCCCCTGCAACCTTCCCACAAATGAACCAACTGATTCTCACAACCGAAGGGAGAATTGACACCTCCCATTGAGGGACAAAAAAAAGTCACACTCTGGCCTGCTGGCAAGTCACCTGTCATTTCCAGCTCATCTTCATAGTTCCATAGTTAGTCCTATTCTTTAGTAAATATAAAGACTATTAAAAGCTTCTATGAGGTGCACTATGTGTGTCTCTGGGGTCAGTCTTGTGCTTGACACAGCGAAAGCTCATTTTAGTTCAGTGTGAAAAACCAGACCTCACCAATTCATCACAACTAACTCCATCGGAAGCAGAGGATTGCTCCTCATCTGACTCCTCCTGTGTGAGACCTGATTCTCAGTCAGAGGCTGATGCCGGAACTGAGACCATCAGCCATAGAGAGATCCTTCCAGAATAACCCCGCAGTTCACTACTGCACTTTGCCATGATTCAGGACTGGAACTCTTGTCATCGACTTTAAAGATCCTGGTTGAGAGAAAAGGCAATCTGAATGCTGGGCGCATCTATTGAATTAGAAATGATCGGAATGGCTCCTAAGTCAGGGTGTTATGTCCTGAAAATAGGTGACAACGGCAAACCATCCACCCTGGTGTTGACTGACTTTAACAAGGTTCAGTTCACAGAGATTGAGGGCAGAAAAAGGAAACGGCCTCAAAAGGGTAAGTTTGCTGTGTTGCCCTCACACCACTTGATTCATGGTCCTGATCCTAAGGATCTCACCTGATACTTGGCTTTATAGGAAGGATGTGTAAAATTCCCAGAACGCTAGGAAACAGGGGCGAAAACACTTCAAAGAGAAAGTTAATGAACTTGTTTCTGACCACAAGGCATCCTTCAGCACATGCTGTCTGGAGTGGCCTCAAACAAGGAGTGTGTGGTGTGGTGCTGAGAATGCAATGGGAGCAGGGTCCTGTCCCCACGCTAAAGAAGCTCACAGCTTAATGCAAATGAGAAGCCAGTGAGGACATCACTACTCCTGCTGTGCACTTGGGAACTAGAAACACAAAACCTGACTCTGGAGGGAAGCTAAGGAAGCATTCTACTCTTGAGTTGACATAAGTGCATCTGAAGCTTCTGATCTCCGATGAGAACAATGGGGGACACCAAACAGAATATAAAACCCATGATTGAATACATCAAATTGCTAACATGGCAGTAAACAGACATGAGGTGAAGATGGAGAAGAAGGAAACCCAGGACGAAAGTCAGCCTCGCATTTGGAACCCATTTCCCTGAGTTTCATTGCTGAATTCCAGAAGGAACTACTGAGATGCAAAGAAGCACAGCAGCTTTTGCACACATGCGTGGGATTAGATGGAAAACAAGTGGATTGAGGGTCTGCCAATGAAAGCGACCCATACTGAAGTCCACTGGCTCTGGTTGAGACCCAGAAGAGTCATGCATCAGAATAAAGGTGGACAGGAAATACCCTGGCCTTTGTAGGGACTGAGCCTGCACCGATGACTTCAATTGCAGCCTGTATGGAGGACCCCTGACCATCCCCCAGAAGTAGACTCCCATCTCTTCTGCAGCAAGATAACATGCTACTAGGCCTCAATTCATTGCTAAACATTTTTTAACAAGTATCTCACATTTAACAAAAAAAGATCAGTCATATGGCAGCAAAATACAATGTCATATGACCAAAACATGAAAGACTGTGAAAATGAATCTGGAGGTGACCCAAGCATTGAATTCAACAATCCAGGCTGGGTGCGGTGGCTCACACTGGGAGGCTGAGGTAGGCAGATCACCTGAGGTCAGGAGTTCAAGACTAGCCTGGCCAACATGGTGAACCCCTGTCTCTACTAAAAATACAAAAATTGGGCCGGGCACGGTGGCTCACGCCTGTAATCCCAGCACATTGGGAGGCCGAGGTGTGCGGATCATGTCAGGAGTTCTAGACCAGCTTGGCCAATATGGTGAAACCCCGCCTCTACTAAAAATACAAAAATTATCCGGGCATGGTGGCATATGCCTGTAGTCCCAGCTACTCAAGAGGCTGAGGGATAAGAATCGCTTGAACCTGGGAGGTGGAGGTTGCAGTGAGCCAAGATCATGCCACTGCACTCTAGCCTGGGTGACAGAGTGAGACTCTGTCTCAAAAAAAAAAAAAAAAAAAAAATTGGTCAAATGTGGTGGCACACACCTGTAATCCAAGCTACTCGGGAAGCTGAGGCAGAATTGCTTCAAACTGGGAGGCAGAGGTTGCAGTGAGCCAAGATTGCACCATAGCACTCCAGCCTGGGCGACAGAGCGAGACTCTATCGCAAAATTAAAAAAAAAAAAAAAAAAAAAAAGGCTGGCTGTGGTGGCTCACGCCTCTAATCCCAGCACTTTGGGAGGCTGAGGCAGGTGGATTACCTGAGGTCAGAAGTTCGAGACCAGCCTGGACAACATGGTGAAACCCCATCTCTAGTAAAAATACAAAAATTAGCTGGGCGTGGTGGTGGGCACCTGTAATCCCAGCTACTTGGGAGGCTGAGGCAGGAGAATTGCTTGAACCCAAAAGGCAGTGAGCTGAGATTGTGCCATTGCACTACAGCCTGGGCAACAACAGCAAAGCTCCATCTCAGGAAAAAAAAAAAAAAAAAAAAAGAGAAAGGAAAACCAATGCCAGTACTAGCAACTCCTCTTCCTCCGAAAAAATGAAAACAAGAATGTAGGAAGGGAAAGGAATTATACAGCTTAAACTAATGAAGCAGAAAGGACAAACTCAATTTTGAACCCACTGAATTTGCCACAAATATTGTAGAAAATATTCTCAAGGACTTTACAGTTGTCTACTTTGATTGGCACATGGTTCATACAACAGTATTTGTGTCAAGGCACATCTTACTGTTTTCTGGCGGTCTTCCTCTTTCCATTGATTTTGTCATGATGGTTGATTTTCGTTGTCACCTTCCTCTTACGGATTTTAGCTCTAACTTTTGTTTCCACATGTCTCCGTAGAGTAATGACGTCTTTCAGGCCAATTTTATTTCCTCGAAAGGAAGAAACTCTTTTCTTTGTGTGCATACAAATGGACCTCAGCCCTTGGTGAGAGTGAGGAGAGGAGAAGGTGAGAAACCTGAGGGCAAGAAGCTGTTCTTTCCCTTTCCAGGGCAAACTCATTTCCACACTATGCGGATTCCAACAGAGCCATACCTTCCTGTCTACGGCGGTTGGACCTCCAGGCTCTCTGCTGTACATCCGTGGATCCATCATGTCCATTTCGAGACCAGAAGATAGTCTTCAGGAGAGACACCTAGGAAATAATAATATAAGAATGACGGCTGGGCACGGTGGCTCATGCGTATAATCCCAGTACTTCGGGAGGCCGAGGCAGGTGGATCACGGGGTCAGGAGTTCAAGACCAGCCTGGCCAAGATGGTGAAACCCCGTCTCTACTAAAAATACAAAAATTAGCCGGGCATGGCAGCGGGCGCCTGTAATCCAAGCTACTCGGGAGGCTGAGGCAGAGAACCGTTTGAAGCTGGGAGGCGGAGGTTGCAGTGAGCCGAGATCACACCACTGCACTCCAGCCTGAGCGACAGAATGAGACTCTGTCACATACACACACACACACACAAGAATGACATGAGGCTGGCACGGTGGCTCACTCCTGTAATCCCAGCACTTTGGGAGGCCGAGGCAGGCGGATCACCTGAGGTCGGGAGTTTGAGACCAGCCTCACCAACATGGAGAAACGCTGTCTCTGCTAAAAATACAAAATTAGCCAGGCATGGTGGTGCATGCCTGTAATCCCAGCTAGTCGGGAGGCTGAGGCAGGAGAATCACTTGAACCCAGCAGGAAAAGCTTGTGGTGAGCTGAGATTGTGCCATTGCACTCCAACCTGGGCAACAAAATTGAAACTCTGTCTCAAAAAAAAAAAAAAAAAAAAAAAAAAAATAGGCCAGATGCGGTAGCTCACGCCTGTAATCCCAGCACTTTGGGAGGCCGAGGCGGGTGAATCACAAGGTCAAGAGATGGAGACCATCCTGGGCAACATGGTGAAACCCCGTCTCTACTAAAAATACAAAAATTAGCTGAGCATGGTGATGCACGCCTGTAGTCCCAGCTACTCGGGAGGCTGAGGCAGGAGAACTGCTTGAACCCAGGAGGCAGAGGTTGCAGTGAGCCAAGATCCCACCACTGCACTCCAGCCTGGTGACAGAGTGAGACTTCGTCTCAAAAAAAAAAAAAAAAAAAAAATGACATGAATATACTTCACACAACTGAACTGTACACTTCAACACGGTTAGATGGTAATTATCATCTTATAAGTATTTTACCACAGGTTAACATGTTTCACAACTTGAAAAGGAAGTAATTACCTTCAGCTCTCTGAGTTCTAGAATTTGTAACATTTCATCCCCTGCTCCTTCCTGATCTGCACTGGAGCATCTTCCTTCTGTCCCTGCTCTACTCAGAGTTCACTTTCCCTTCCCTCACATCAGCTTCATTGAGGCTGGTTTGAACTTAACGCAAAACATTCTCACTAATGACTGAATTCCCACCAAGATTTCCATATTATCACAGTATGCTTTTAATCTTCTAAGATATTAAATATTTCTTCTCATCATAGCTAAAATGCAATGCAAATCCCATCTCAGATGTGGGTCAGATACCTATGAATCTCCTGAGGTGGTCATTGAAATGACTTTTTTCTTGAGACAGAGTGTCACTCTCAACCGTGCTGAAGTGCAGTGGCGCTACCTTGGCTCACGGCAACCTCCACCTCCCAGATTCAAGCGATTCTTGTGCCTCAGCCTCCCAAGTAGCTGGGATTACAGGTGCCTGCTACCATGCCTGGCTAATTTTTGTCTTTTTAGTAGAGATGGGGTGTCACCATGTTGGCCCATCTGGTCTTGAACTCCTGACCTCAAATGATCCATCTGCTTCAGCCTCCCAAAGTGCTGGGATTACAGGCATGAGCCACCACACCTGGCCTGAAATAATATCTTTCAAATTCTTTGTAGAATTTGTTTTTTCCTGATTTCTGCACATAGGATAAAAAAAAAATCATGTACTAGGATTTCGAGAGAAGCAATGGGTAATCTAAAAAGATGAAAAGAGCAACCACGTCAATCCCACAGCTACTGCTAGATTTCATAGGAAAGGTAGCTGGCCCAGTTTGGAGCTAGGGGAAATGTCAAACACATGAAGAAATGAGAAGCCAAGAAATGCCATCACGCATGAATGCTTCATGGCACCCATGATGTCCCTGCTAAGGAGGTAATGGTATAGATGACTAGATGACAAGGACAAAGATGAGAGGTGCGAAGTTGTCCAAGTCCAACAGCTCAACTGAACTTTCCTAAGTGGAATTGTTAAAAAGTGGTAAATTTAAAAACTTCCCCTGGCTCACGTGGTGGCTCACGCTTGTAATCCCAGCACTTTGGGAGGCTGAGGTGGGTGGATCATTTGAGGTCGGGTTTTGAGACTAGCCTGGCCAACATGGTAAAACCCCGACTCTACTAAAAATACAAAAATTAGCTGGGCATGGTGGTGGGCACCTGTAATCCCAGCTACTTGAGAGGCTGAGGCAGGGGAATCACTTGAAGCCAGGAGGTGGAGGTTGCAGTGAGCCGAGGTCACACCATTATACTCCAGCCTGGGCAACAGAAGGAGACTCGTCTTCGGGGTGAGAAAAGAAAAAAAAAAAAGAAAAAAGCTTCCTCCAATTTATACCGAAAATTCTCTGTTCAGGACTAAGTGGCATAGAGAATGTTAAATGTGCCTAGATATCTTCATAACTCATATATTTTCTGTTTTCTACATATCTTGAAAGGCAGTGCCAAATGACGTGTAATTATCTAGGTGGTAAAACTGAAACATACTTCCTCTTCCCTTGAATATAAAAAAGCATTGTGGTATTAGTACTTTTATCTTGGATCATTGTTCAGAAGGAGGTTCAGCCCCCAGACAACCACATTTTTACTGTCATGAATGGCAAGACAAAATGTAGAGCTCAACTTACCCAAAGGAAAAAAGGCTCAAAAGACAAATTATGGCACAACTTAGCAGCCAAATTCTTACCAAGTACAGACTTTTGACATACTGATCTCTCTCCAGTTCCAAGTCGGAACATGCACTTTGAATGATGTCATTCAAAATTACCCTGCCCAGACACACTTTTCATTGATTCTCTTGGAGGGCAGTTCTAAGAGTCTCTGGGGCTTTCTCTGCATCATGAGACGCAGTGCAGTTCTGCCCTTCACCTTCCGGCAGTTTGTCACCTCGTCCCTATGACCTCACAGGAACTTTGTCTCAGGCCAATTGTTTGTTCCTTGGCCTCTTTCATTTCCCCTAAAAATCATTTGCTGCCCCTCTAAATGGCCTACATCTCCATCTATCTCCCTCTCCCCTCAGAAGAGGGTGCTCTTTAAGCATCAGCCATCCGGCCCTTCTAGCAGTCTCATTTTTCAGCTGGTTCCCATGTTTATGCCTGTTCTATGTTTTTCTTTTCCTGTTAAGCTGTCTGTTGTCAGCTCATTTCTGCAGTGAATCTTCAGAGAGGAGATTGGAAGCTTTCCTTCCACCCATACGATAGAACTATAAAGCAGAAGAGTTTAGAAAGAATTTCCTATTTAAGTGACGAAACCTCATACTCCATTTGTGATAAATAGCACAAAGGTTAAAAAAACTTATTTTTGACCAAAAGCTCTGTTGACATTCTATTAAACAAACACCGACCTATTTAATTTTCATAATGCAAATGGCAGATGTTTTCATAATTCTTATACTAATAAATCATTTCCCTGATTTTTTGGGTAAAACCACATATTCATAATGAAGTCCAGAAATGTGAATTGTTTTATATAATTTATTCTTATTTGTGATTACAAGTATACCTCTACAGAAAGTTAGTATACTCACCCAAAGGTAAACTATCCAGAGGGTAATGACAACTTTATAACTTGTCGGAAACGCAATAATGACATGTAACCAAGGACTTCCACCAAAGTCAGTCCCACGATGATGATGGTCAGCCAGAGTATTGATAACCTGGAATAATAATAGTTGAAATAATGAAAAGGTCAATGACACTGACAATATTTCACTCAGAAAGAATCATCCTTAGAAACCGTCAACCTCCTCCAAAAGGTAACCACATCCCTCAGATATCACCGTGGGATTCCACTGCTACAAAAAAGAACAGAAGTTAGAAGTCACATGTTTTTCAGATGGCTGGTAGTGTTTTCAGGCATTGCAAATGTGGGGTGTTGTCTTTCTTGGTATAAAGCAGGGATATCCAATCTTTTGACTTCCCTGCCTATATTAAAAGAAGCAAAGTTGTCTTGAGCCACACATAACATACACTAACACTAACAATAGCTGATGATCTAAAAAAAACCTCTTTTTTTTTTTTGAGACAGAGTTCCGCTCCACTCAGTCGCCCAGGCTGGAGTGCAGTGGTGCAATCTCGGCTCACTGCAACCTCCAGCTCCTGGGCTCAAGCCATTCTCCTGCCTCAGCCTCCCGAGTAGCTGAGATTACAGGTCTCTGCCACCATGCCCGACTCATTTTTGTATTTTTAGTAGAGATGAGGTTTCACCACGTTGGCCAGTCTGGCCTTGAACTCCTGACAGGCGATCTGCCTACCTCGGCCTCCCAAAGTGCTGGGATTACAGGTGTGAGCCACCGTGCCCAGCCATTTTTTTGTTTTTGTTTTTGTTTGTTGTTTTTGAGATGGGGTCTCACTCTGTCACCCAGGCTGGAGTGCAGTGGTGTGCTCCCGGCTCACTGCAACCTCTGCCTCTCAGGTTCAAGTGATTCTCCTGCCTCAGCCTCCTGAGTAGCTGGGAGTACAGGTGCCTGACAGTGCACTCAGCAAATTTTTGTATTTTTTGTGGAGATGGGGTTTTGCCATGTTGGTCAGGGTGGTCTCGAACTCCTGACCTCAGGTAATCTGCCCGCCTCAGCCTCCCAAAGTGCTGGGATTACACGCATGAGCCACTGTACCTGGCCAAAATCTCCTAATGTTTTAAGAAAGTTTACAAATTTGTGTTGAACTGCATTCAAAACTGTCCTGGGCCACATGCAGCCCGTCACTCATGGGTAAGACAAGCTAAGTATAAAGTAATTATCTTATCTTTTCTTTTCTTTTTGTTTTGAGACAAAGTTTTGCTCTGTCACCCAGGCTAGATTGCAGTGGCATGATCTCAACTCACTGCAACCTCCGCCTCCCGGGTTCAAGCGATTCTCCTGCCTCAGCTACTGAGTAACTGGGATTACAGGCGCCTGCCACCACGCTCGGCTAATTTTTGTATTTTTAGTAGAAACAGGGTTTCACCATCTTGGCCAGGCTGGTCTCCAACTCCTGACCTCATGATCCACCTGCCTTGGCCTCCCAAAGTGCTGGGAATACAGGTGTGAGCCACTGCACCTGGCCAGTAGTTATCTTTTCTTTAAAGTTATTTACTTGTTTTTTAAATTGATGTATAACATTGGATGCATTTATTATATATCACATGGTAAAAGAATCCCTCTAAATAATACTTCTCTCTTGGATTATATGAATCTTTGTCATTTAAATCTCAGCATAAGTAAAAAAAAAAAAAATACAATGAAGAGATTACTTCATTCACAAATAAGTATCAAATTTTAGTGCTTAAAAATTAACAAGGTGGGCTGGGCGTGGTGGCTCACGCCTGCAATCCCAGCACTTTGGGAAGCCGAGGTGGGTGGACCACGAGATCAGGAGATTGAGACCATCCTAGCTAACACGGTGAAACCCGTCTCTACTAAAAATACAAAAAATTAGCAGGGCATGGTGGCACGTGCCTATAGTTCCAGCTACTTGGGAGGCTGAGGCAGAAGAATCACTTGAACCCGGGAGGCAGAGGTTGCAGTGAGCCGAGATCGCACCACTGCACTTCAGCCTGGGTGACAGAGCGAGACTCTGTCTCAAAAAAAAAAAAAAAAAAAAAAAAAAAAAAAAAAAAAAATTATCAAGGTGGAGATCATGAAAATGGCATGAATAGTGTGGGATTTCTCTAAGATTGTTGATATTAATTCCATTAGACTCTTATGTGAGTGAAGACGAAGACTTCCCCTGAGTAAGTTCAGACAGCTTGTGATAACATTTCTACGTCGATTCCTCAGGATTTAACTATATATTCTTGAAAACATCTCAATTTTAAATGTTTCTTTCAAGATGGTGAATTAAACAGAGATAGCCCTTCAACAGGTTGAACTCAGCATATGCTGAGTCTGAAATGGAAATGATGAAGTTAGAGAACCATACAACAATGGTAATGATTTCAGAAACATGGTGTTGAGCAGAACAAAGCAGACACAAAAGAGTACCTATGGCATGGCATGCATCTGTATACGCGAAATTCCAGAATAAGCAAGCTAACCTATGATAAGAAAGAGACTGGCTGGGAAGACTGAGAGTTCACTTTCTGGGGTGACATAATAGTGTAGATCTTGGCTGGGCATGGTGGTTCACGCCTGTAATCCCAACGCTTTGGGAGGCCGAGGCGGGCGGATCACCTGAGGTCGGGAGTTCAAAACCAGCCTGACCAACATGGAGAAACCCTATCTCTACTAAAAATACAAAATTAGCTGGGAGTGGTGCCACATGTCTGTAATCCCAGCCACTCGGGAGGCTGAGGCAGGAGAATCGCTCGAACCTGGGAAGCAGAGGTTGCGGTGAGCTGATATTGCCCCATTGCACTCCAGCCTGGGCAACAAGGGAGAAACTGTCTCAAAATAAATAAATAAATAAATAAATAAATAAATAAAATAATGTAGATCTTGAAAGGGGGTTGGTTTATGCTGGTGTATGTACTTTCCAAAGTTAGTAAACTTACACTTAAGGTTATATATTTTGGCCAGGCGCGGTGGCTCACGCCTGTAATCCCAGCACTGGGAGGCTGAGGCAGGCAGATCACGAGGTCAAGAGATGGAGACTATCCTGGCGAACATGGTGAAACCCCGTCTCTACTAAAAATACAAAAAATTAGCCGGGCGTAGTGGCGGGCGCCTATAGTCCCAGCTACTTGGGAGGCTGAGGCAGGAGAATGGCGTGAACCCGGGAGGCGGAGCTTGCAGTGAGCCGAGGTCCCGCCACTGCACTCCAGCCTGGGCGACAGAGCGAGACTCCGTCTCAAAAAAAAAAAAAAAAAAAAAAAAAAAAAAAATTAGCCAGGCGTGGTGGTCTACTAAAAATACAAAAATTAGCCAGGCGTTGTAATCTGAGCTACTCAGGAGGCTGAGGCAGGACAATTGCTTGAACCCCAGAAGCGGAGGTTGCAGTGAGCCGAGATCTTGCCACTGCACTCCAGCCTGGGCGACAGAGTGAGACTCTGTCTAAAAAAAAAAAAAAAAAAAAAAAAAGTCATCAAACCAGATGACACAAATCAAATGACATTTCACTTTGTTTTGGTCCATTTTCTTTGTTAAAAACAAGAGTGCAGCGGGGCCATCTCGGCTCACTGCAACGTCCAGCTCCTGGGCCCAAGCGATCCTCCCACCTCAGCCTCTCCAGTAACTGGGATAACAGGTACGCACCACCAGGCCCGACTAATCTTTATTGGAATTTTTTGTAGAGATGGGGTTTCGCTATGATGCCCTGGCTAGTCTTCAACTCCTGGACTCAAGTGATCTGCCCACCTCGGCCCCCTAAAGTGCTGGGATTACAGGCCTGAGCTGTGTAATTTCATGCCACGTGATACAGCCCAGTAAAAAGGAAGAAACCCCACGGGTCCAGCGTCTACTCACAGAGATGCACTGATGGCTGATAAATTCCAGTAGGAGCCCAAAGAGGAGCCAAAAGAGCATCCACCGCACCCGCATGTCCTGGTCCTTTCAGGGCGCCCTGAGGCGGCCAGGACAGAGGTGGAGGTGGCTTAGGGCAGGGGGGAGGGAAGGGGACGGGGACCGGGGCCGGATCTGAGTTGGGGAGGGGGAGGGGGAGGGGAGGGGGAGGGGAAGGGGAGGGGAAGGGGGGAAGTAAGGGAAGGGAAAGGAGGAGAAGGGGGCTGTTGGGCACCTGGAGGAGGTGGAGGAGGAGGAGGAGAAGAAGAAAGGGGTCTGGGAAAGGATCCGGTTCAAATTAAGTTCTCAAGCGCTGGTGGAAGGTTTAGCTACAGGTCACGGAGAAGATCAGGGAAGCAACAGGACACGCGGGGCAAGGGAGCGTGAGGCTTAGGAGCAATCAGAGGGAGACAAAAAGGTTCTGCTATCCACCAAACCTTCTTCGGTCTGGGCCCTCCCTTACCAACCCTGGGGCTTTATACTCCCTCTCCACCAATCCCTGATGACCCCGGTGGTGCCTCACAATGGACAGTGCCTCACAATGGACAATGCCAAGTAGCGCCCGCATCATTCCAATGACCCCTCCCCCATCTCAGTCTCCCACACTCCTCCCAAAGACAGGTCCTCTCTGGAACCTTCACAAACCTGATTTCTGGTCCTCCCCAACCAGCTCCCTGTCCCTGCTTCTGGGCGCTCCTTCCTTCCTGAGCTCCCAGGGTTCCTCAAGGTCACTTATGGCGACAAAACATAAAAAACAAATGATGGCAGGATGGCAGGAAGAACCTCATACCCAAGCAGAGTGCCAGGTTTTACAGCCTCCGCTCAGCCATTCATATCCTAAGCAACAAAACATCAGCAGGGTGCGGAAGGTCCCGATAGTAAACCATCTCCATCACATCCATGTAGCCATCCGTCCATCAACCTGTATCTCAGGAACAAATGTAGATACATTCATTTTAAGCATGCCTGGTACATTTACAAAAATTAACCTGACTTATTTTGTTCCAGCAAATCTCAATATATTTGAGAGCAATCAAATCACACAGCATGTTTCTGATCATATAACTGTGCTAGAAGTCAATGATTAAAAGCTAATTCAAAATTATTATTTGCTTGGAAATTCAAAGTGCCCTTATAAGACATAAACATAAGAAAGAATCCAAAATGAAACAAGATTGCCTTTCAACTCAATAATGAGATCATAACATGGCAATAAAATGTCTCCCTCTGGCCTGGGAATTCCTCTTTGTGGCACAAGGTTGTGTGATCTCAAATCACCGCTAACCCACCTAGACATTTTAACATCCGAAACCGAGTGATGACGTCCTTATCTATATCATCTTACTGCCTGTGTGTGTGGACTTTAAATTCTGAACCCAAATGAGGGGGAGAAAACCAAGTTGACTTTCATGACTGAGCTCTCAGGGACGTCCAAGGAATCTGTGCATTTCAAGAAACAAAGTTCATCAGCTTCTCTCCTAAGGTATTTGCCCACAATACCCAGAGGGCTTGGCAGCATCATGTGTGATGGGTGGGGAGCTCCAAGCAGGTGGGCAGGACCCAGGGGCCTGGTGACCAGGACAGACCCCCACTGTCCATCACCTTTCCTGGCCCTGTCCTCTGCTAAACTTCCCACAGGCCTTCTGCCCGATCACACAGAGTATGCCCAAACTCTCTCAGGCCTCTGGCAGCTGAAAACCACTGCTTTAAATCCCTTTACCATTTACTATGACATAAGGTTATTGTAAACAGGAAATATTCTATTGATGCTACAAATGGAAAGCCAATGCCTTTACCATAAATAGAAAAACAACCCTAAGAAGCAAGCAAAACAAAAACAAAACAGGGGCTGGGTGTGGTGGCTCACGCCTGTAATCCCAGCACTTTGGGAGGCCGAGGTGGGCGGATCACAAGGTCAGGAGTTCCAGACCAGCCTGGCCAATATGGTGAAACCCTGTCTCTAATAAAATACAAAAATTAGCCGGGTGTGGTGGTGGGCGCCTGTAGTCCCACCTACTTGGGAGGCTGAGGCAGGAGAATAGTTTGAACCCGGGAGGCAGAGTCTGCAGTGAGCCGAGATTGCACCACTGCACTCCAGCCTAGGCGACAGAGCGAGACTCTGTCTCAAAAACAGCAACAACTACAAACAAACAAAAAACAGGGTTAACAAAAGTATGGAATTCAATTCTTTTTATATGCTGCAGCCATGTTCCTGCCCTAGATTTGGCTGGGCATGGTGGCTCACGCCTGTAATCCCAGCACTTTGGGAGGCTGAGGCAGGCGGATCACGAGGTTAGGAGTTCGAGACCAGCCTGACCAACATGGTGAAACCCCGTCTCTACTAAAAATACAAAAATTAGCCAGGCATGGTGGCACACGCCTGTAATCCCAGCTACTCAGGAGGCTGAGGCAGGACAATCCCTTGGACCCGGGAGGCGGAGGTTGCAGTGAGCCGAGATCGTACCATTGCACTCCAGCCTGGGTGACAGAATGGAATGAGACTCTGTCTCAAAAAAAAAAAAAAAAAAAAAAGCAGCCCTAGATTTCGGTTGTGGTGGTTGTAAAAGGAGAGACCAAGTAAGTGGGGGTTGAAGTCAGATTAGAGCAAAAGTGAATGGCAGAGAGTACTATAATGTCCATGAAGGGCTGCTAGAGTCACCGTGATCATAGCCCAAGCAGAGATAGGGAAAGGAAGATGTGAGCAGAGTTTGGGGTCTCGAACAATGGAGGTTATTCGTGCAGCCCAGGAAAGGCTCCCCAAAGCCAGGATCAACCTCCCTTGGAGGCGGTCCCTCATGGAGGCATGGTCAGGCACCTTAGATTTGAGACCAGCTATGTTGCTGCTGACCAGCTGTGTGACCCTGGGCTGGTTTCCTTCCACACAATGGGAGTGCCAATGGCTGCATGCATGCAAAGACCGTCTGAGGATAGGAGGAAGCAATCTGCTGAGCACCCGTGTACCTGAGTGTCATCACCTCCCAAGGGCATCCTTCGTTCCAGAGCTGGCACCTTGGAAGGCCCTTGGTCACTGAAGGCAGTGATGATGGTAACAGCAGTAAATCATCATTTACGGCTGATGAGGGAAGGCCAGGGGTAGGGCTCCTAGGTCCTGGATAAGAATGAGGGTCTGGGCACTCCTGGGGACAGCTGAGTGGTAGGACTCCTGGGTCCCCAGGGGGCAGGTCCATCTTCAGTGGCATTGGGCCTAGGCTGGGATGCTGAGTTATCCACTGGAGCATCAGCAGTACAGGCAGGCACAGAGGCAGTGGATCCATCGGAGGTGGCAGGTGTAGGATCGTCTGGTGAGCAAGTAGAGTCACCAAATCTGGCTGACCACTACCCCCACTACCCCCACTATCCCCACAGACGATGCCCTGTCCCTTGCCTCATGCTCCGGCAGGGTACAGGCTCGCACCTGGGGCCTCAAGGAGCATCTCTCTAAGACCTCTGTGTCCTGGTCATTGAATGGGCACTTGAGTCACCCAGGGCCATTGGAACAAAGAGGAAGAATCAGGCCCCACGATGTTTTGGGAGAGTGTTTAGCACAGGAAAATGCGCAGAATACACGCACGACACGGGGGCACTGTCAGTGTGGGAGCAATGGTTTACAACCTCCAGCCCTAATCTGAGCACTCTCACCTGTGCAATCTGAAAGGAACAGGAGACTTGCAGGAAAGACAGTGCCTGGATTTAACTTAAAGGAACTAAAAATGTTGGAATTTTTACTCTTGATATCCTTCCAAATCAACTCTCTCAATGTTCCCATCCTCAAAACTATCATATGGGGTAACTGAGGCAGTCAGAGATTTACTGACTCAATGTCACTCAATTGATTCTGAGTTCACTGCTGATTACATCCGACCAAACTGCTTTTTCTGAAGTCTACTCCGTTTAATCATGCTGGTGATGATTTTGTGCGGCTCTGGGACAAACTCCACCTGGCTGAAGATAAAGCAAATCTGCGGTGACTTAGTCCTCCTGTCATTTCCCATCAGTTCCCCACTCTCCTCCTCTGCCCCTCCACAGTCTCCCATGCAGGCTGACACCATATGACGGCCTTAATGGAGTCCACCGAGTATTTCAGGTTCTCTCCTGGGCCACTTGAAAGTGGATGTACCCATGGGATTTGCTTTGACCCAGGAGATGTGCGTGGAAGTGAAGCGTGTCACCTCGAGGCAGAAGAGTTGGGAGCCATTGAGACGGGCCACTCTCTCCTTCATCTCTTAGAGCAGCTGACAGCTCCCATATGGAGGCTGCTCCTTTATTCTCGTGGCAGGATGAGGGCATGTGGGGCACAGGGCACAGGAGAGCCATGGAGGATGTGCAGCATGGGCAGGAAAAGAGCCTTCAGTGGTGTACATTTCCATAGTTTGGGGCTGTTTCTTACCTACAGTGATACCTAGCCCATCCTAGCAGGCATGCACCATCTACTCCACACTCTGTGATGCAGACTAGCCTGCCGTCAGAACACGAACTGGTGGTCAGACACAGGTAGGTTTCAGTTCCAGCTCTGCCTCTTATTGACTGCAACCTCAGGCTTAACTTTCAGTCTCTGAGCCTCAGTTTCAACTCTGTAAAATGAGGTGGCTATACCATCTCAGGTTGCAGAGAGAATTAAATGAAATATAAGTGCATGTAGAGCATTGAACCCAGGGCCTGGCACACACAGTGAGTACACAATGTTAGCCAGGTAGCTTCATAATGCATACTGATTGTCAATATTCAGACAATGCAGTAAAGTGTTACCAAAAATAAAAGTAAACTTATTTGCATATGTATTCTTTCAATCTTTATTTTTAAACAGGGTAAAACTATGCATATTCTTTCATAGCCAGTGTTTTTCTCTTCATAGTATATTGTTAAAATAATTTTACTTGGACCGGGTGCAGCGGCTCACACCTATAGTCCCAGCACTTTGGGAGGCCGCGGTGGGCAGATCACGAGGTCAGGAGTTGACACGAGCCTGGCCAATATGGTGAAACCCCATCTCTACTAAGAATACAAAAATTAGCTGGGCATGGTGGCACACACCTGTAGTCCCAGCTACTCAGAGGCTGAGGCAGAGGAATTGCTTGAACCCGGGAGACAGAGGTTGCAGTGAGCCAAGATTGTGCCATTGCACTCCAGCCTGGGGGACAGAGTGAAACTCTGTCTCAAAAAATATGTGTGTGTGTGTGTGTGTGTGTGTGTGTGTGTGTGTGTGTGTGTGTGTGTGTGTGTATCTATATAAATCTCAAAAATAAAAGATCATTTTTGAGATTATCATTTTAAAAGACAAGATAATGTTCAACTTAATGACTAATTTAATTATTACTATTGGACTTTTTGTAGACTGCACAGAGCATTCAAAACAAATGAAGGAGAATAAAAAATATGTATTACATGTTATAAAATAAATGTGATGTGGTTAACTCTTTTATTCAAAGTTATAGAACATACATATGTACTATAGAATGTATTATTATGAGTCATGTTAAAAAGTAGTTTAGAAGCTGTTGATTTGAATTTCCTTTTCAAATTTTGCAGGATAATTTTTTTTTTTTTTTTTTGACAGAGTCTCGCTCTGTCGCACAGTCTGGAGTGCAATGGCGTGATCTCGGCCCACTAAAACCCCCACCTCCTGAATCTAAGCAATTCTCCTGTCTCAGCCTCCTGAGTAGCTGGGACTACAGGCTCACACCACCATGCCCGGCTAATTTTTGTATTTTTAGTAGGGACGAGGTTTTGCCATATTGGTCAGGCTGGTCTCAAAGTCCTGGCCTCCGGTGATCCACCAGCCTCAGCCTCCCAAAATGCTGGGATTAGAGGCATGAGTCACCATGCCCAGCCTAAACTTGGCAAGCTAATAAATCACCTTTTTAAGTGTCGTTGGGCACTTGTCTGGTTGTTTTTCTTTAGGTTACCATGCCAGCAATGATTCCTTTTGAGTTTCTGACAGAAGATAGTGGTTTTCATCCAAATAAGTCAACTACTCTACCCCATCCCTAAGCCACTTGTATGGAAAGAAAAAGAGGAAGAAGCCAGTACTGTGACTGCGTAAGCTTCCCCCAGCATCACCGGCTATGAGATGTGTGGCAGCTGAGACCCGGGAACTGCTCAAGGGCACCAGGCCCCATCTGTCTGCACTCACTCACCTTCCTCAGGTACTCGCATGGGCATGTCACTGACTTTACATGCTGCTGCAGCTCCTTGGTGAGCTGGCCCTGGTCATGGGACAGGAACTGTGGGGTCAGGACAATAGAGAGCTTCACCATTTGCAGAATGAGAACAGGGGCTCATGATGAGTGCCAACCTATTAGATAATTTAAAAAAAAAAGTGTTGAATGAGTGGAAAAACAAGGTGATGTTTGAGTCTATAGTGGTCAAGGGCTTCAGAAAAGGACAGAACCAAGTTCAAATTCCTGTACTTTGAATTTCTACTTCATGCCATGCAAAATTACTTTACCCCTTTTAACCTCAGTTTTCTTCTGTGTGAAACAGGAACAATAGTTTCATTCGTCATTCAGTTTCTCTCAAGATTTCACGAGATCATACCTATAAAACATCCAAGTCATTTAAATGTATCATCATTTCTGTCATAATTAGTGGGATCCATTTCACTATTATTGGATATACAGTTCTGTGCCTGAAACCTACAAAAAAACAAAATGTTAAGTCTAAAAAGCATTAGTGATTTCTCATTTTTATATTACTAATTATAACCCTATTTAATCACACAAGGCCTTGTCCGCGGCAGGTGCTCAATAAACACTTGTCGAATCAATGCATGTGGGCTCCGGAGCCACACTGTTTAGATTCTATTCTGCCTCCACCACTTATCAGCTGTGTGATCTGGGTAAGATAATTCACCTCTTTATGTCTGCACTTCCCTCTCCATAAACTATATATAATGAGAATCCTTAGCTCATTCGGTTGTGGTGAGGGGTGAATGATTTGGCACACAGGAGGGGCTTGTTAAACATTAGCTGTGATGATCTCCTTCCAAATCTTCATTTTCAGAGCCACAGATGAGGCCATAGTGCAACCAGGTGACCTTAGAGTGTAAGTACACATGATCGCCAGCTATGCTCTATCTCCACCATAGGTCCAAGACTGGGTAGTTCTGGCCTGGAGGTTTCTGCTGCATCTGCCTTCTCAGTGTTCACCTAAGGACTTTTGTATTTTCCTCCTCGCATCCCCACAGATGGGGTTCAGGCTGCCGGACACAGCTGGGTGATGCCAGGGCAGTGGTCACCTGTGCCAGCCCCGTGAGGTAGCTGGAGGATCATTGTTCCTTCCTTCTCGGGCTCTGGGCAGATGCCAGGGCTGGGGTGACCCATGCCCTCAAGTTTCTTGCTTTGGTGGGCCACATTTTCCCTTGGCAAAGAGGGTAAAGGTCACAGGATGCCGGAGAGCTGTGACTTCTCTGTGCCCTGGGCCCAAACTATGAAGACCTGACACACTATGCTAAAAGTCCAACGCTGGGTGCTCCCCAGAGCTTCTTGCCTCACCGCTTCTGCTGAGGGAGGAATGAATACTATGTCCTCCCAGAGCTTTGGGAGCTTGTAGCAAGCAGCCTCCCCAGCGCAAAATCTCTTGGAAACCTCTAACTGTGTCTGAAACATTAGTGCAAATGTTGCATCCTATTTCCCATATGTCCGCATGTTTTAGAAAAAAACCCTCAATTTCCTAAATATGCAAGAAAAATCGGTATTGTAGGACAATGTGACTTTTTAAAAAATGTTATTTAAAAATCTTCCCCACCTCCTTTTCTGCCCTCCAAGACTGCCAAATACTTGTTGAACATATATTATTAAATGCCTACTACATGCCAGCCATGATTCATGGTCTTGGGGACACAGCAGAGAACGAACTGACAGGACTCCTCTCTTATGTAACTCACATTCTTATATGATAATGATAAGGGTTAACATTAATTAAGCTGTCACTGCATGTTAGTCACGGTGCAGTCATTCCCACACATTATTACACTTAAACCTGCTAGCAAGCTTGCAAGGTAGTTAGTTGTTTTTCCTTTAAAAACTGAGTCTCGGAATGATGAAGCACTCTGTCCAATGTCACACAGCTAGTAAGTGTGGAGACCTTGCATCCAATCAATGCCCGTCTCATTCTAAAGGCCATGTTATGTGTTCTCCAGCCCATGGAGAATAATTTTAACACAGTCAATGAAATTTCTACACAACAATGTTCTTGTCTCAAGTCCAAGAATGCCTCCTACACCTCCTATAATACTGGCTTTCTGGTGAGTAAAGATGCCATTCTCATGTGTAATCAGGTGGCAAATGGAGATATGACCAAAGTAACCACCTGCCTACACTCATAACCCTGTACACACTCTTCCTGTGTCGATTCAATTCAAGTACCCCTTTTGATCACTTAGCAAATCTGACCTTTAAAAGGGTTAGGGTTTTTATATCCATGTAAGTTTCTGTATTGCTTTGGAAGTCTCTGGTTAAATTAATACTCTTTTAATAGTGACCTGTGATTCTGTTTTGATCAAGTGTTTTCAAACTTGACATCTTTGATGGGTTTCTCCAGTGTCAAAATCCTAAATCAAGTCTTTTTGGCTTAAAACTAACTTTGGGATTTTTTTCAGCTGCATCCCTTGGGGAGTCTAAAGAATGTATCTCTCATCTTGTAGAGGTATTAAGTGATTCGATTTATTTGGTAGATTAAATGGGCAGGCATTGTCAAATGTGGCGATACTGCATGGGAGGGCACTGTCAAGTGAGGTGACATTAGATCTCATCTCAGTTATATTTATGGGTATGTTGTTGATATGCGTGTTCCAAAAATTGCATACATTTATACAAATTTAATATGATTTGTAATTTTGATAGTTATGCTAAATATTTGCTAAAGTTATATTTGTATAAACATGTCACGAATGGCTGGGCACCGTCACTCATGCCTGTAATCCCAGCACTTTGGGAGACAAAGGCACGTGGATCACCTGAGGTCGGGAGTTCCAGACCAGCCTAATAGAGTGAAACCCTGTCTCCACTAAAAATACAAAAATTAGCCATGCCTGGTGGCACATGCCTGTAATCTCAGCTACTCGGGAGGCTGAGACAGGAGAACTGCTTGAACCCAGGATGCGGAGGTTGTAGTGAGCCGAGATCATGCCACTGCACTCCCGCCTGGGTGACAAAGGTAGAATCTATCCAAAAAAAAAAAAAAAAGTTATTATTTCTGAAGATTGTATGAAATTTATAAAAGTCTGCTGGCCCTGATATGATGCTGTCAGTCATGATTCTGATTACTGTCTTAAAATGCTGCACATAAGTAATTAAATTTCCTTGTGAACTGGGAAGTTTCATCAGACTTTTATCATAACTATTGTTTCCATCATCCACAGTTACTGTTTTGAATTCTTCTCTAAAAATATTTGTAATTGGCAATAGTCCAAATTTTCTTTTGTTTTCTTTCCTGTTTTTGAGACACAGTCTGGCTCTGTCGCCTAAGCTGGAGTGCAGTGGTGGGATCTCGGCTCACTGCAAACTCTGCCTCCCGGGTTCACGCCATTCTCCTGCCTCAGCCACCCAAGTAGCTGGGACTACAAGTGCTGCCACCACATCCAGCTAATTTTTTGTATTTTTAGTAGAGACAGGGTTTCACTGTGTTAGCCAGGATGGTCTCAATCTCCTGATCTCGTGATCTCCGCGCCTCGGCC
Source organism: Homo sapiens (assembly GCF_000001405.40). Classification (NCBI taxonomy): domain Eukaryota; kingdom Metazoa; phylum Chordata; class Mammalia; order Primates; family Hominidae; genus Homo; species Homo sapiens. The sequence goes on from NC_000016.10 coordinate 21,428,518, forward strand.
TCCCAAAGTGCTGGGATTACAGGTGTGAGCCACCGTGCCCAGCCTAATTTTTGCATTTTTAGTAGAGAGGAGGTTTCACCATGTTGGCCAGGGTGGTCTCGATCTCCTGACCTTGTAATCCGCCTGCCTCAGCCTCCCAAAGTGCTGGGATTACAGGCGTGAGCCACTGCAACTGACTTTTTTTCTTTTTCTTTTTTTTTTTTTTTTGAGACAGAGACTCACTCTGTCACCCAGGCTGGAGTGCAGTGGCATGATTTTGGCTCACTGCAACCTCCACCTCCTGAGTTCAAACAATTATCCTGCCTCATCCTTCGGAGTACCTGGGATTACAGGTGCGTGCCACCGTGCCCGGCTCATTTTTGTATTCTTAGTAGAGACGGCATTTCACCATGTTGGCCAGGCTGGTCTCAAACTCCTGGCCTCAACTGATCCACTCTCATTGGCCTTCCAAGGTGCTGGGATTATAGGCGTGAGCCACCACAACTGGCTCAGTAAATACATTTTTTATTATCAAAAAAGAGTAGTGTATGGTTGGCGTATTCTGTGTAGAATGTATTTTATTGATGTCTGCTATTTTTATAATTTCTGAGTTAAGTACTTTTTAATTAATGCTTTTTAGTTTTGGGCAGATTCAGTTGACTAAAGCACCTCATTTCCCAGATACATGAAATAAAATATTTGGCTTCTTTTCCAATTTCACACTGATGTTATTTTGTGAAAATCAGTGCTTTAAGATAAATCGTTATACGTTAAGATAAACATGAGAAACTTGATCTAATATTTAATATTTATTCAGTTCTACACTTTATTAACTTCTACACCAGCAGATTTAGACATTATGTAACCATCTCAAGAAGTTTCACTTGGATGTAATGCTTCACGCTTGTAATCCCAGCACTTTAGGAGGCTGAGGTGGGAGGACTGCTTAAGGCAAGGAGTCTGAGACCAGCCTGGGCAATACAGCAAGATCCCATCTCTATTTTAAAGAAAAGTTTCACTTTGGGAGGCCAAGGCGGGTGGATCACAAGGTCAGGAGATCGAGACCATCCTGGCTAACATAGTAAAACCCCATCTCTACTAAAAATATAAAAAATTAGCCGGGCGTGGCGGTGGGCGCCTGTAGTCCCAGCTACTCGGGAGGCTGAGGCAGAAGAATGGCGTGAACCCGGGAGGCAGAGCTTGCAGTGAGCTGAGATTGCGCCACTGCACTCCAGCCTGGGCGACAGAGCGACACTCCATCTCAAAAAAAAAAAAAAAAAAAGTTTCGGCAAATTCCATCTAAGAATTCCACCAGAGTTCTGTTGTCTCCAATGTCATCTTCCACAGATTTCAAGTTGTGAAGCCCTGAACTGTTAATTTATCTTGAGAATGTATATTTAAGCTTAATTTAAGACTATATACCTAAAAATTGAGCATATAATTTCTATAATTTGTTTATGTAAGTTTCTGTAAGTCATAAGTATGTGGTTTCCAAGTGTATAATTTATCTGAATGTAATAGGCATTAATATATTTTTACATTACTGGGACCATAGTACAGAAATTTCTAAATGGTTTGTAAAATAACTTGTTATTTGTGTTGTTGTAAAAGCAGTTAATACAATGGAAAAACTCGTAATAAGAAGATACAGTTTAACATCAAAAAGTTTACCCAAGGTAATTATGAGTACTACCTGGCAAAACTTCACGGAAGCTGTGGTATCACTTTTATGATGGAAGAATGGTGTTTGCATTTTGTGTAAAAGTACTTGCGGCTGGGCGTGGTGGCTCATGTCCCAGTGCTTTGGGAGGCGAAGGCAGGTGGATCATCTGAGCCCAGGAGTTTGAGACCAGCCTAGGCAACGTGGCAAGAGCCTGTCTCTCCAAAACCTACAAAATTTAGCCAAGCTTGGTGGTGTGAGCCTGTAGTCCCAGCTACTTGGGAGACTCACGCTGGAGGATCTCTCGAGCCCAGGAGGCAGAAGATGAATAAATAAATGGAAGCAACTGAATGGGATGAGGTCTCTCTTGAAGGAGAGAGCAAAAGAGATTTAAATAGTAACAATTATAATAAGGCTGGGCGCTGTGGCTCACGCTTGTAATCCCAGAACTTTGGGAGGCCAAGGCAGGCGGATCGGTTGAGGTCAGGAGTTCAAGACCAGCATGGCCAACACGGTGAAACCCTGTCTCTATTAAAAATACAAAATTAGCCGGACATGGTAGTGCGTGCCTGTGGTCTCGGCTACTCAGGTGGCTGAGACAGGAGAATCGCTTGAACCTGGTAGGCACAGGTTGTAGTGAGCCGATAAATATAAAAAGTATTAGAGTACTAACAGAGGAAAGTTTCCACTGATCACCTTTTAGCTTTAAATAATGCAGAAGCATTTGCCCAGTTTACTTGTAATTAAAAATCATGCATCATTCACAATTTATATCTTTTTTGTTTGTACAAAAATGAACACAAGTTATTCTCTTTTATCTGTATTGTGATTGGTTTGGTGAGAGGGAATTAGGCCACTTGAGAGTTTGTGTGTGTTTACAATTTTCTGGCCAGGCACGGTGGCTCATGCCTGTAATCCCAGCACTTTGGGAGGCCAAGGCGGGCGGATCACTTGAGCTCAGGAGTTCGAGACCAAATTGGGCAACATGGTGAAACCCTATCTCTACGAAAAATACAAAAATTAGCTGAGTGCCGTGGCTTGCGCCTGTCCTCCCAGCTACTTGGGGGGCTGAGGCAGTAGGATCGCTCAAGCCCAGGAGGTGGAGGTTGCAGTGAGCCAAGATCACGTCACTGCACTCCAGGAAGGGCAACAGAGCAAGACTCCTTCTAAAAAAAAAAAAAAAGAAAGAAAGAAAAGAAAATTAACTTTGGTATTTCAGGTTGTATTTAAATGGAGACTTAACATGAACTATGTTCATAACACTTGACCAAATTAAGTGTAGATCGTCTCTTTAATAAAGAGATCATCTGGAACTGCAATTTCTAACTCATACATCATTGCTACAAACCTTATTTGTTTACTGTTTCTCTTCCAAGGACCATCAGTCATCCTTTAAAATTCATTTCAAGCTCTGAAAAGATATTTTTTGTTACATGGGCAATTTACTTTTAGTACAGTAAAATGTTATGTGAATTTCTACAGTATGTTTGCCAAAATGAATTATATCTAGAATACGCTTAACAATATATTCTGGAGGCAGCTTTCATTTGAAATTAGGTTCACCTTCTGAGAGTATGAAAAAGTTAATGGGTTTTTGTGCCTGAAGATTTTGATGTTGCATTTGGCTACATTTAATCCACTTTCACCCATAAGTTTTAGCATCTAAAAAAATTAAATCACTGCTAATGCAATTAAAATGCATTATGAAATGCATTTCTGTCCAGGCTGGAGTGCAGTGGCACAATCTCGGCTCACTGCAAGCTCCGCCTCCCTGGTTCACACCATTCTCCTGCCTCAGCCTCCCTAGTAGCTGGGACTACATGTGCCCGCCACCACGCCCGGCTAATTTTTTTTTTTTTTTTTTTTTTTAATGAGGCGGAGTCTCGCTCTGTTGACCAGGCTGGAGTGCAATGGCATGATCCTGGCTCACTGCAACCTCTGCTTCCTGGGTTCAAGTGATTCGCCTGCCTTGCTGGGATGACAGACGTGCACCACAATGTCCGGCTAATTTTGTATTTTTAGTAGAGACATGGCTTCACCATACTGGCCAGGCTGGTCTTGAACTTCTGACCTCAGGTGATCCCACCTTGGCCTCCCAAAGTGCTGGGATTATAGGCATGAGCCACTGTGCCCAGCTTAAGATCTCTGTTTTAATGTTAATGCTGGTCAGTTGTGTCTGGATTCCAGAGGGAGGAAGGTAGAATGAGGCATGTTGACACCTCCCCTTCCCATCATGGCCTAAGCTGGTCTTTTCAGTTTACTTTGGAATGTCCTTGCTCAACAGGAAGGGTCCATTCAGTCGGACTGGGTGGCTTAGAATTTTATTTTTGGTTTACATCTCAACTATCACAGCAGCCGGGCGCGGTGGCTTCACAGCTGTAATCCCAGCACATTGGGAGGCTGAGGCAGGGGTATCACCTGAGGTCTGGAGTTCTAGACCAGCCTGACCAACATGGAGAAACCCCCCGTCTCTACTAAAAATACAAAATTACCCGGGCGTGGTGGTACATGCCTGTAATCCCAGCTACTCGGGAGGCTGAGGCAGGAGAATCGCTTGAACCTGGGAGGCGGAGGTTGTGGTGAGCTGAGATCGTGCCACTGCACTCCAGCCTGGGCAACAAGAGCGAAACTCTGTCTTAAATAAATAAATAAATAAACAAACAAACAAACAAACAAACTATCACAGCATAAAGTAGGAATATTTCGTTACTGTCTAGTTAAACTGGTTAATGCAGAAAGGAAGTCTGGTAATTCCAGTTTTAAAGTAAAATTTTGGACATTGTAGGATTGATTATTTGGCATAGTTGTGATGTTTGTTCCTGCGTTATGGTTTTGTTGGCAGGGCAGCCTTTAAGGACCTGTATATTTTCTTCTAGACTCTATATATTCCCTGTGAGTATTAGTTGTATGGTCAAACTGGCAAATTTTACCATAGGTATAAATAATAGAGAATGTGGAAGAATAGTGAATAGTGTCAGAGATAGTTAAAAGTCCATACAATAGTAGAGAAGGTAGTAAGTAATAGTGGCTTGGACTAAATATTTGTTGAATAAATGTTTTAAAAAACAGGCTACCTACAATTTGTGTTGAAGATATGAATGAATGAAGTTTCCACACCTTTATGTGGAGACCTGATAAGTAAGCAACAATAAGGAAGGGTCCCCAGGTTGGGGAGAGCCCCAAGTTGAGAACAATAATGAACAATTATTGTATGAACAATTGTTAGAGACAGCTAATCACAAACAACCTGCGGGCACAATGACCTCATTCCACACGTAGCACCCTTCAGCAGGACCCTATAAAACTTTCCTCCAGCCCTTGCCTCTTTGCAGGTAGCCCCTTCTCTGCTGAGCTGCCCACTGCAACATATTTTCACAATTTCTCTAATAAATCTGCCCTTCTTTACCTACAACTATCTTGGTAAATGGCTTTACCACCTGCAAAACTGACCCTAGGTTGTTGCTACCCGATATGGTTTGGCTGCGTCCCCACCCAAATTTCATCTTGAATTGTAGTTCCCATAATCCCCATGTGTCGTGGGAGGGACCCGGTAGGAGGTAATCGAATCATGGGGGCAGGTTTTTCCCATACTGTTCTCGTGATAGTGAATACATCTCACTAAATCTGATGGTTTTATAAAGGGCAGTTTCCCTGCACGTGCTCTCTTGCCTGCTGCCATGGAAGACATACCTTTTTGCTCCTTCTTTGCCTTCCACCATGATTCTGAGGCCTCTCCAGCCTTGTGGAACTGTGAGTACATTAAACCTCTTTTTCTTTATAAATTACCCAGTTTCCAGTATTTCTTCATAGCAGTATGAAAAGTAACTAATACACTACCCGAGACATCTTAGGAGATTTGTAATAGCTGTAATGCCAGGTCCACCATATTTTTAGCATAAAGCAAATGTTTACGCGTGATATGACTGCACGGGCTTTCTTTCAGCTGGAGCCATAGCAACTCAAGTAGTAACCCTATCTTAGTCTGATTAAAAGTAAATATTAGTCTGGGCATGGTGGGACATGCCTGTAATCCCAGTACTTTGGGAGGCTGAGACAGAAGGATTGCTTGAGCCCAGGAGTTTGAGACCAGCCTGGGCAACATGGAAAAACACCATCTCTACAAAAAATACAAAAATTAGCTGAGCTGGTGGCACACACCTGTAGTCCCAGCACCTTGGGAGGGTGAGGCAGGAGGATCTCTTGAACCCGGGAGGTGGAAGCCGCAGTGGGCAATGATCATGTCAGAGGTGTGTGAACCAGAGCAACTCCATCTTAAATAGGAGCCGGGAAAAATGAGGCTGAAACTACTGGGCTGCATTCCCTGATGGTTAAGGCATTCTAAGTCACAGGATGACATAGAAGGTCAGCACAAAATACCAGTCATAAAGACCTTGCTGATAAAACAGGTTGCAGTGAAGGAGCTGGCCAAAACCCACCAAAACCAAAATAGAGACAAGACTGACCTCCCATCATCCTCCCTGCTACACTCCTACCAGCACCATGACAGTTTACAAATGCCACGGCAACATCAAGAAGTTACCCTATATGGTCTAAAAAGAGGAGGCATGAAAAATCCACTCCTTGTTTAGCATATCATCAACAAATAACCATAAAAATGGGCAACCAGCAGCCCTCACGGCTGCTCCGTCTATGGGGTAGCCATTCTTTTATTCCTTTACTTTCTCTCTTTTTTTTTTGAGATGGAGTCTCCCTCTGTCACCCAGGCTGGAGTGCAGTGGCGCGATCTCGGCTTACTGCAAGCTTCGCCTCCCGGGTTCATCCCATTCTCCTGCCTCAGCCTCCAGAGTAGGTGGGACTACAGGCACCCGCCACCACACTTGGCTAATTTTTTTGTATTTTTAGTAGAGATGAGGTTTCACCGTGTTAACCAGGATGGTCTTGATCTCCTGACCTCGTGATCCACCTGTCTCGGCCTCCCAAAGTGCTGCGATTACAGGAGTGAGCCACCGTGCCCCTCCTCCTTTACTTTCTTAATAAACTTGCTTTCACTTCACACTGTGGCATCACCCTGAATTCTTTCTTGCACAAGATCCAAGAACCCTCTCTTGGGGTCTAGATTGGGACCCCTTTCCTGTAACTATCATGCTACTGCACTCCAGCCTGGGCAACAGAGCAAGGCCCTGTCTCAAAAAAAAAAAAAAAAAAAAAAAAGGAACATGACTTAATACATTCATTTTGGAGGGTAAGTCTCTCAAAATAGGCCTTTCACTGGGGGAAAATGGTAAAAATACTCCCTGGTAATTCAAGAATTGGAGACTCCTGAGATGCTGCTCATATTAGCTGAGCACTTATCAATACTTCACTTTTTTCCATATATACTCAAGGAACAAGTGCTATTTAAAGTGTTTCACTCCACTGTGCTAGGTGCAAGACTATAAAGAGGTGTGAGGATCAACACTTTTATGAAAACCAGTGTCATTCTGGATATAGTTTCAGATGCTAGTGCAAAGGAAGCTCTTGGTATACGGAAAAAGTATTCAACAATAAATTAGGCATGGTTGCTTCCATTTTCTGCCTCACATACTTTTTTTTTCGTGGTTGAAGTGATATAATGTCTATGATATTTTAGATTGGCAGTTGCAAACTAGTGGTCCTCAGCGTGCTTTTTATGACACCTACAAGGTCTGAAGACTTTGATTTCATATTAAAAATCTGGGTTTCAGGCTGGGTGTGGTGTTGCATGCCTGTAATCCCAGCACTTTGGGAGGCTGAGGCAGGAGAATCGCTTGAACCAGGGAGGTGGAGGTTGCAGTGAGCCAAGATCGCGCCACTGCACTCAAGCTTAGGCAATAGAGCAAGACTCCATCTCAAAAAATGAATAAATAAATAAATAAAATCTGGGTTTCAGGCCAGGTGTGGTGGTGCACTCCTGCAATCCCAGCACTTTGGGAGGCTGAGATGGGCAGACAGCTTGACCTCAGGAATTCCAGACTAGCCTGGGCAACATGGCGAAACCCCATGTCTACAAATAATACAAAAAAATTAGCTGGGTGTAGTGGAGTGTGCCTGTAATCCCAGCAACGTGGGAGGCTGAAGTGAGAGGATTGCTTGAGCCTGGGAGGTTGATGTTACAGTGAGCTGAGATCGCCCTCCTACACTCCAACCTGGGCAACAGAGCCAGACCTTGTCTTAAAAAAAAAAAAAAAAAAAAAAAAAAAAAAAAATTCTGGGTTTCTGGCATCTCAAAAAAAAAAAAAAAAAAAAAAAAAAGGAAAGGTCAGGGCACATGGCTGCTACAGTCCTCTATTAAGCAATGTGCCACAGCAGGGGTGCCTGACCCCTGGGCCATGGACATGTACTGGTCTGTGGCCTGTTAGGAACTGGGCCACAGAGCAGGAGGTGAATGGTGGGTAACAATTGAAGCTTCGTCTGTATTTCTGGCTGCTCCCCATTGCTTGCATTGCTGCCTGAGCTCTGCCTCCTGTCAGATCAGCAGCATCATTAGATTCTTACAGGAGCATGAACCCTGTTGTGAATTGCACACACGAGGGATCCAGGTTGCATATTCCTTATGAGAATCTAATTCCTGATGATTTGTGGTGGAACAGTTTCATCCCAAGACCATTACCATCCTGCGCCCCATCCCTTGCCGCCTGTGGAAAAATTGTCTTCCACAAAGCCGGTCCCTGGTGCCAAAAATGTTGGGGACTGCTGTGCTTTAGAATCTGCCATGAATCTGCAGCCTCTATTATATAGCTCCCTATAGACTTTGCTTCCTACCGTCTTACGTTCTGCCTTATAGGCATTTGACTTTGCAACCCTTGTTTTTGTTAGTATGCTACGCTGGTGACATTGACCAAATTGACCACACATTAATTATAAGCTTAGTTGGTGATGACCTCAACGGAATAACGTGACATAAGTATTGTGACAATACTTCTTGCATGTATCTGCAGGTGGAATTGTAAACCTGGTGGTCCGAGATGGTCTAATTCCATCTTCCTATGTATCTCCTTATATTAATAGTGGTAACATTTGTGGTGGTGATTCAGCATTTCAATGCCTCTTCTCATGGCAACAACAAACGTTTTCCTTCTGAATCAACATTAACCTAGATGTTACTGCGGATCAAAATTAGACTCTACATTTTCAACCACAGAAATACCGGGCAGTAAAAATTTTTCTTAATATTGATTGCCTACATAGGTTGTGTAATTAGCATATGTTTACAGTTCTATGATTTCTGCGTGGCTGCTACAGAGCTGGAGGGGGTAAAGCAACAGTATTTTCTCAGTTGTGCGAGCAGCATTACATTATAATAAATAGGTAATATTAAACTGGGCTGATGAGAGTTGCAAAAGACTACTTTAATGTTCATATGGAACCAAAAAAGAGCCCGCATTGCCAAGACAATCCTAAGCCCAATGAACAAAGCTGGAGGCATCATGCTACCTGACTTCAAACTATACTACAAGGCTACAGTAACCAAAACAGCCTGGTACTGGTACCAAAACAGACATATAGACCAATGGAACAGAACAGAGCCCTCAGAAATAATACCACACATCTACAACCATCTGATCTTTGACAAACCTGACAAAAACAAGAAATGCGGAAAGGATTCCCTACTTAATAAATAGTGCTGGGAAAACTGGCTAGCCCTATGTAGAAAGCTGAAACTGGATCCCTTCCTTACACCTTATACAAAAATTAATTCAAGATGGATTAAAGACTTAAATGTTAGACCTAAAGCCGTGAAAACCCTAGAAGAAAACCTAGGCAATACCATTCAGGACATAGGGATGGGCAAGGACTTCATGTCTAAAACACCAAAAGCAATGGCAACAGAAGCCAAAACTGACAAATGGGATCTAATTAAACTAAAGAGCTTCTGCACAGCAAAAGAAACTAGGATCAGTGTGAACAGGCAACCTAGAGAATGGGAGAAAATTTTTGCCATCTACTTATCTGACAAAAGGCTAATATCCAGAATCTACAAAGAACACCAACAAATTTACAAGAAAAAAAACAAACCCCATCAAAAAGTGGGCAAAGCATATGAACAGACACTTCTCAAAAGAAGACATTTATGCAGCCAACAGACACATGAAAAAATGCTCATCATCACTGGCCATCAGAGAAATGCAAATCAAAACCGCAATGAGATATCATCTCACACCAGTTAGAATGGCGATCATTAAAAAGTCAGGAAACAACAGGTGCTGGAGAGGATGTGGAGAAATAGGAACACTTTTACACTGTTGGTGGGACTGTAAACTGGTTCAACCATTGTGGAAGACAGTGTGGCGATTCCTCAGGGATCTAGAACTAGAAATACCATTTGACCCAGCCATCCCATTACTGGATACATACCCAAAGGATTATAAATCATGCTGCTATAAAGACACATGCACACATATGTTTATCGCGGCAATATTCACGATAGTGAAGACTTGGAACCAACACAAATGTCCATCAATGATAGACTGGATTAAGAAAATGTGGCACAGATACACCATGGAGTACTATGCAGCCATAAAAAAGGATGAGTTCATGTCCTTTGTAGAGACATGGATGAAGCTGGAAACGATCACTCTCAGCAAACTATCACAAGGACAAAAAACCAAACACCGCATGTTCTCACTCACAGATGGGAATTGAACAATGAGAACACTTGGACACAGGAAGGGGAACATCACACACTGGGGCCTCTTGTGTGGTGGGGGAGGGGGAAGGGATAGCAGTAGGAGATACACCTAATGTAAATGACGAGTTAATGGGTGCAGTACACCAACATGGCACATGTATACATATGTAACAAACCTGCACATTGTGTACATGTACCCTATAACTTAAAGTATAATTTAAAAAAATAAGTAAATAAATAAATAAAAAAAGAAACAATTGCTGGCTTTGCAATTCTCTTTCCTCCAAAATCGCCAAGGCCTCAATTTACTCATTGCTGAAAAAGGACGACTCTGTATATTTTTAAATGAAGAGTGTTGTTTTTACCTAAATCAATCTGGCCTGGTATATGACAACATAAAAAAACTCAAGGATAGAGTCCAAAAACTTGCCAACCAAGCAAATAATTATGCTGAACCCCCTTGGGCACTCTCTTAATTGGATGTCCTGGGTCCTCCCAATTCTTAGTCCTTTAATACCTGTTTTTCTCCTTCTCTTATTCGGACCGTGTGTCTTCTGTTTAGTTTCTCAATTCATACAAAACCATATTCAGGCCATCACCAATAATTCTATATGACAAATGCTCCTTCTAACAACCCCACAGTATCAGCCCTTACCCCAAAATCTTTCTTCAGTTGAATCTCTCCCACTGTAGGTTCCCATGCCGCCCCTAATCCCACTCGAAGCAGCCCTGAGAAACATCGCCCATTATCTCTCCATATCACCCCCAAAAATTTTCGCCACCCCAACACTTTACCACTATTTTGTTTTATTTTTCTTATTAACATAAGAAGACAGGAATGTCAGGCCTCTGAGTCCAAGCTAAGCCATCATATCCCAGTGACCTGCACGTATACATCCAGATGGCCTGAAGCAACTGAAGATCCACAGAAGTGAAAACAGCCTTAACTGAAGACATTCCACCATTGTCATTTGTTTCTGCCCCACCCTAACTGATCAATGTACTTTGTAATCTGCCCCACTCTTAAGAAGGTTCTTTATCATCTCCCCCACCCTTAAGAAGTTTCTTTGTAATTCTCCTCACCTTTGACAATGTACTTTATGAGATCCACCTCCTGCCCCCAAAACACTGCTCTTAACTCCACCGCCTATCCCCAAATCTATAAGAACCAGTGATAATCACACCACCCTTTGTTGACTCCTTTTTCGGACTCAGCCCGCCTGCACCCAGGTGAAATAAACAGCCATGTTGCTCACACAAAGCATGTTTGGTGGTCTCTTCACACAGACACGTGAGACAGGAGTTCGAGACCAGCCTGGCCAATCTGGTGAAACTCTATGTCTCTACTAAAAATACAAAAATTAGCTGGGCATGGTGGCGGGCACCTGTAATCCCAGCTACTCGGGAAGCTGAGGCACAAAAATTGCTTGAACCCAGGAGGCAGAGTTTGCAGTGAGCCAAGATCACACTGTCAGGCCTCTGAGCCCAAGCCAAGCCATTGCATCCCCTGTGACTTGCACGTATACATCCAGATGGCCTGAAGTAACTGAAGATCCACACAAGAAGTAAAAATAGCCTTAACTGATGACATTCCACCATTGTGATTTGTTTCTGCCCCACCCTAACTCTTCAATGTACTTTGTAATCTCCCCCACCCTTAAGAAGGTACTTTGTAATCTCCCCAACCCTTAAGAAGGTTCTTTGTAATTCTCCCCACCCTTGAGAATGTACTTTGTGAGATCCACCCCTGCCTGCAAAACATGGCTCTTCACCCCCTATCCCAAAACCTGTAAGAACTAATGATAATCCACCACCCTTTGCTGACTCTCTTTTCGGACTCAGCCCGCCTGCACCCAGGTGAAATAAACAGCCATGTTGCTCACACAAAGCCTGTTTGGTGGTCTCTTCACACGGACGCGCATGAAACACACGACTGCACTTCAGGCTGGGCGACAGAGCTAGATTCCATCTCAAAAAAAATAAAATAAAAAGGAGTCACCTCCCCCGAGAGGCCTCTGGACCACCCCATCTGAGCAGGCCACTCTTCCTTCTCTATCTTACCATCTTGTTTCTGTCCCAGTAGTTAGGGCTACCTCCAGTAATCCTATTTGTCCCTTTACTGTTTAGTGCGTCTCGCTTGACTAGAAGCTCCATGAAAGCAAGAGACCCTACCTGCCTCCTTCGCCACTAGACCCCCAGGGCCTGGTATGTGGTGATCGCTCAGGGCCCATTTTCTTCCTTTCCTCCTCCTCCAAGGGTGGGGAAAGAGCATCAGAAGGTCTAGGTGGCCCCAGGCCCAAACAATGCTCCTTTAAAAGGAAACTAGATTGTTACAAAGGTCAGAGGCTGAAAAGTTATTTCCGCCTTTTATCCCTCTAAATTCTTCACTTCCTGAAAAAACAAACAAACAAAAAAGCCACTGAGGGCCCTTGGACTAAATCCAGGCCTGAGTTGCTGGGCAGAGGTCAGTCTTGTCCAGACATGGGAAAAAAATAACTCGAGTCAGACAGGTGGGTCACCACAGAACTAATCCAGCCTGCAAATGGCCTGTGCAATCTTCAGCTCTGTCCAGACCTGCCTCCCTCTGGGGATGCCTTTAAAGGTGATGAATGATCTGGATGAATGGGCTTAGAAGATAAGAGGGAAAAACAAATATCACAGGTCAAATCGTTATTTGTCTTCAAGTTTAACACCGTCTACTGGACTAAAAGATGTCCAAAGAATAGTTGTTCAACTATGTAAATTCCTTTTTTTTTTTTTTTTGAGACAGAGTCTCGCTCTGTTGCCCAGGCTGCAGTGCAATGGTATGATCTTGGCTCACTGCAAGCAACCTCTGATTTTAGTATTATTAGTAGAGACAGGGTTTCACCATGTTGACCAGGCTGGTCTCGAACTCCTGACCTCAGGTGATCCACCTGCCTCGGCATCCCAGAGTGCTGGGATTACAGGCGTGAGCCACCGTGCCCGGCCAACTACATAAATTCCTAACAACGTATCTCCAGAAAGTATAGGCACAACAGCACATGCAGTCATTCCTGTAATTAAGTGCTCCGGGAGGCCAAGGCAAGAAGATCCCTTGAGCCCAGGAGTTTGAGACCAGCCTGGACAACATAGCAAGACTGTGTCTCTACAAAATATACAAAAATTGGGCTGGGGATGGTGGCTCACGCCTGTAGGCCCAGCACTTTGGGAGACCAAGGCAGGAAGATCGATTGAACTCAGGAGCTCGGGACCAGCCTGGACAACATAACGAGACCCAGTCTCTACTAAAACTCAAGAAAATTAGCCAGACGTGGTTGCATGTGCCTGTAGTCCCAGCACTTTGGGAGGCCAAGGTGGGTGGATCACCTGAGGTCAGGAGGTCGAGACCAGCCTGGCCAACATGGTGAAGTCTCATCCCTACTAAAAATACAAAAATTAGCCAGGCACGGTGGCACACACCTGTAGTCCCAGCTACTTGGGAGGCTGAGGCAGGAGAATGGATTGAACCCGGGAGGCAGAGGTTGCAGTGAGCCGAGATGGCACCATTGCACTCCAGCCTGGGCAACAGAACAAGACTCCATCAAAAAAAAAAAAAAGAAAAGAAAGAAGAGAAGAAAATTAGCCAGGTGTGGTTGCATGCACCTGTAGTCCCAGCACTTTGGGAGGCCAAGGCAGGAGGATCAATCAAGGCTAGGAGATTGAGACTGCAGAAGGAAACCCTGTCTCTAAAAACAAGGTCCAGCTAAAATCAGGGTCCAGCTCCACCACAAGCGCAGCTCCAGGGGCTGTTGAGTTTTGCCTCTACCATTCCAAGTAGTCTCTGCTCCAGACCAAGTCCCACCATCTGGCAGTCATGTCAGTCCAACCACAGTCATATCAGGGCACTTCCAGTCATTGAGTGCCCCTTGAGGAGGCTGGAGGAGAGGCCAATGACATTTGCACTTGAGACTCCAGAGTCTAGATTTATAACCACTATGTTACGGCTGCCAGTGTGGCTGCAAGGACACTTCTTTCATTCATTCATTTACAATAGATGTAGCATCTGCTGTGTGCCAGATGCCATTCTAGGTTCTAGGGAAACAAGGCAGAGCCCCTGTTTTCCAAGGCATCCACATTCTAGGAAAGACTGCTACCAGCCTGGCGTGGTGGCTCATGCCTGTAATCCCAGTACTTTGGGAGGCCGAGGTGGGCGGATCACTTGATGTCAGGAGTTCAAGACCAGCCAACATAGTGAAACCCCGTTTCTACTAAAAGTACAAAAATCAGCTGGGCATGGTGGCACGTGCCTGTAGTCCCAGCTACTCAGGAAGCTAAGGCAGGAGAATCGCTTGAACCTGGGAGGCAGAGGTTCTGGTGAGCCGAGATCATGCTACTGCACTCCAGCCTGGGCAACAGAGTGAGACTCCATCAAAAAATAATAATGATAATAAAATAAAGACTGCTACTAAACAATAAAATAACCAAACCAGATAGATGACTTCAGGTGGTGGTAAGAGCTTTGAAAGAATAAGCAAGGTAACTAACTGGTCAGAGGAAGGGAGATGGGTGCATTCCCTCAGATAGACCGCCCCAGAGGTCTGCCTCTCTGACATGACATTTGAGCAGAGACCCAACAGGAAAAGGAAGAGGCTGCTCTATGGCCGGGTACGGTGGCTCACACCTGTAATCCCAGCACTTTGGGAGGCCCAGGCGGGCGGATCACGAGGTCAGGAGATCGAGACCATCCTGGCTAAGACGGTGAAACCGTCTCTACTAAAAATACAAAAAAATTAGCCGGGCGTGGTGGCGGATGCCTGTAGTCCCAGCTACTCGGAAGGCTGAGGCAGGAGAATGGCATGAACCTGGGAGACGGAGCTTGCAGTGAGCCGAGATCGCGCCACTGCACTTCAGCCTGGGCGACAGAGTGAGACTCCATCTCAAAGAACAAAAAAAAAAAGAACCAAGAGGTGTCCAGGCGAAGAGAACAGCAGATGCAAAGGCCCTGTGGCAGAAACAATCTTGGTATGCTGGAGGAATAGGAAGGCAGCCAGTGCAGCTGGAGCAGGATAGGTTAAGGGAGGATCAAGGTGATGAGGGCCTGGAAAGAGGGGCTGGGGTCGAATCACCAGATCCTGTTGGTTGCAATGGAAGAGCCTGGAGTTTATTCTCAGAGCAGTGAGAAGCCACTGGAAAGTTGTTTTTTTGTTTTTCTGTTTTTGAGACAGAGTCTAGCTCTGTCACCCAGGCAGACTGCAGTGGTGCAATCTTGGCTCACTGTAACCTCTGCCTCCCAGGTTCAAGCGATTCTCCTGCCTCAGGCTCCCCAGTAGCTGGGATTACAGGCACATGCCACCACACCCATCTAATTTTTCTTTTTCTTTTTTTTTTTTTTTTTGAGACAGAGTCTCTGTCACCCAGGCTGGAGTGCAGTGGCGCAATCTCAGCTCACTGCAACCTCCACCTCCCTGGTTCAAGCGATTCTCCTGCCTCAGCCTCCCGAGTAGCTGGGACTACAGGTGCATGCCACCATACCTGGGTTAATTTTTTGTGTTTTTAGTAGAGACAAGATTTCACCACGTTAGCCAGGATGGTCTCGATTTCCTGACCTCGTGATCTGCCCACCACGGCCTCCCAAAGTGCTGGGATTACAGGCGTGAGCCACCGTGCCTGGCCAGCCACCGGAAAGTTTTATGTAAGCAGGGGAGTGATCTGTTTTATCATTTAGAAGGATACACACCTCTTCTTCTTTTTTTAGAGACAGGGTCTAGTTCTGTCACCCAGGCTGGAGCCCAGTGGCACAATCATAGCTTACTGTAACCTCAAACTCCTGGGCTCAAGTGATCCTCCTGCCTCAGCATCCCAAAGTGCTGGATTACAGGCATGAGTCACCATGCCTGGTCACACTTCTCATTCTTTAAACCAGACCTCATTTGTCCATCTCCCCCATCCCCCGCCCCACCCCACGGACTGTCCTATAATGCCCATACAACAGGTCACTGTTTAGAAAGTGCTACAAAGTTACAAACACAGTCCCTTCTGAGCCTCCCACCAATGTTGGTGGGTACAAGGTCAAAAAAAAAAATCTCATCTATCTAAGGGGCATAGGAGACTTTTTAGTTAGAGGGCCCAATTATAGTCCTCCTGAAAAGATGCCAAAAGTCCCCTTCAACACTTAGCAAAGATTCAAGAAAGATGAATCTCACATTCTTTGTATGGGAAATGAGGAACTTGACATCTTCAATATAATGGATTCCACTAAAATAAGATGACGATCAATAGGAACCAACTAAAAAAATACTTGACTAGCTGTTATTGAAAGGCTGAAATTCAGCTGACATAAGCAGTATTAATATTGAGCTAGAAAATAATTCGCATTGAATTCAGCCCAACTTTTGTTTTCTGATTTGGGTCTCTTCTAAATTTTTTTTTTCTTCTGGACATTGAGAACAATCCAATTTGAAGGCCTCAATGCCCAAATCTACACTCTTGTTTTATTCTATATCCTTGGTTTCTTCTTTTTTTTTGAGATGGAGTCTCATTCTGTCGCCCAGGCTGGAGTGCAGTGGCGTGATCTTGGCTCAATGCAAGATCCGCCTCCCGGGTTCATGCCATTCTCCTGCTGCAGCCTCCCGAGTAATTGGGACTACAGATGCCCGCCCCCACGCCCGGCTAATTTTTTTGTATTTTTAGTAGAGACGGGGTTTCTCCGTGTTATCCAGGATGGTCTCGATCTCCTGACCTCGTGATCCACCTGCCTCAGCATCTCAAAGTGCTGGGATTACAGGCGTTAGCCACCGTGCCCGGCCCACACCTAGGTGATTTTTAAAGTTCTTCTAGTAGAGACAGGGTCTCACTATGTCGGGTCGCCGTGTTTGATGTCAGTTTTCCCTGCCAGAATCTACAATCTCCTTGATCACCATTATATCCCAACGAAGAGCTCAGTACCTGGTACAAAGCACATTTGATCAATACTTGCTGAATAAAGAAATAAAAATGAAGAGGCACTCCAGCCTGGGCAACAGAGTGAGATGGTCTCAAAAAAACAAAAACAAAAACAAAAAACGACTGGAAAGGAGATGAGGGTACTTGTGAAGCCATATTATATGACACGCTCTGTGCTAGGACTTTTATATACCTTGTCTCATCTCTTCATCTCATATAATCCTTACAAGGATCTCAAAAGTGGGGAAATCCCCATATAACTGAAGACGAAGGCAGTTCAGAAGTTCACTGATTTGCCCTAAGGTTCCTCAATTTGCAAACGTCAGGCCAATGATCCAACCCCAGGTATGTTTGGCAGTGAAGGACCAGTTGAGTCACAGCTGCAAGTAACCACCCTGCAGTGGTCCCTATCTTGGCCGTTAGCTTACATTGACATTTAACACTCAAATTTACTCAGTAACACCAGCTATCATGTTTTCCACTAAAACTCCACAGCATTCTGGCAACTTTTCTATTTTAGAGCAATAAAGTAAATTGTTAGCATCCCTTTGACATATAAATATTTCTACAAATAGTAATTCTCTAGCCATTCATTTGGAGTATTTAAAACTCAACATTCATAGCACATTTTATGTGACAAAGAACTTATGTTCAGAACACAAAAATAAGTCGTACGTCTTCATTAAAAACAGGTGAAGAATTTGAACAAACATTTGCAAACTAAAATACAAATGAAATACACTCAACATCATTAAACAAGAAAATAAAATTATGAGATAATCACTAATAATCACTACATATGCACCACAGTGATTAAAATTTTTTTAAGTTAAGCCACGTGACCCAACAAGGTGCATTCACTCAAGAGAAACGCAAATATATGTCCACTCAAAGACTTGCACATGAATGTTGAGAGCAGGTTTATACTGAATAGCGCAATGTGAAAAAACCCCAAAATCTAGCAAAGGATGAAGGGAGAAATAAACTGTGGTATATACATACAATAGAACACTACTCAATAATAAAAAGGATTATATTCCTGATACATGCAATATGGGTGAACCGTAAAAATATCATGCTGAGCAAGAGAAGCCAAACACAAGAGAACATGTTGTTATGATTTCACGTACATGAAACTTTAGTAAAGACAAGTCTAATCCATAGTGACAGAAAGCAAATCAGTAACTGCTGACAGGGGCAAATGAGGAGATGATCCCAAGGGAACCTTCTGGGGTAAGACGCTGTTCTCTATCTCGATCGTATTGGTGGTCACACAAGTGAAGACATGTTAGAACTCATCAAACCATACACTTAGAATGTGTAATATAAACCTCAATAAAGCAAAATTTAAAAAAAAAAAACCACCTTTAATTTTCTCTTACAAAAAAAAAAAAAGGAAAACCACTTAACTTTAATTTTCTCCAACAACTGATTCTGGTACACAGTATACCTTAATGCCTGCATCCACGGCCTCACGTCATGCTGTTTACATGAACGTAAAGCTTCGCCGAAGAGTGGAATAAGACAGTCCTGCCAGAGAAAAACCAAAATTACTCAACGTAAAACAGGCTGTTGATATGTTTGCAGATATATAGCAAGTCTTAAGTCCAAGACTGCAATATAGTTTGGCTACTTCAGATTGATTGCAGTAGTTTTATCTATTACACTATACCCTTACATCATTTATCTTCTACTCACAAGAGGCAAGCACACAGTAAGAGAAAGCCTTTTGTTTTGAAGGGAAATCTTCTTCAGAATATTAAGTCTAATTTATCAATATACTTAATAAAGCACATTACAAAAAAAAAAGTCACAGCACATTTACTATAAAGCAGACTGCAGAAAAACATTACAACTAATGCTTTATTATGAAGTTCTCGAAGATCACCATTCATTCAGAAGCCCCCATCTCTGGTCGAACTTTACCCCATTTAGGATGAAGAGGAGAGATCTTTGTTTGCAGCAAATCTAAAATTTACGTGATCTGCCTAAAGGAACTGTCTTTACATACACCACCTCCCACCCCAAAAATAGAAGAAAAAACTGAGCAATTTGCCATCCTTGCGATTATCTCAGGTTCTTCCATCTGCCCCATGTACTTCCCAAATGAAAGACTGCCTGAAAACAGCATGTTAGATTTCTGGATTTACCAGCTTGCCCAACTACAAATCCTATTCCAAAAAACTCAAAAAATAAGGTCTTTGTTCTACAGTAATGACCATTAATAGTCATAAGAGTGTGCTTGTAAAAATATACAGACCTCTGTTGAAAGTCTGTTAGAAACTGTGGTCTCCAAAGCAGACGAGCAATACAGCTGCAAGGTACTTAGAACTGGCAAAGACTGTGAAACTGTTAAAGTAGAAAGTCTCAGAGGTCCAATAGCGATGCGGGATGTTTGCTTCAAGTACTTTACCACATTTCTGAAACAAAATATTTACTGTCAATTAATAAAAATTACAATTCATAACCACTCAAAGAATAAAGCAATTGATAAGATGCTATCAAATTGACATCCAAAGTTAGGGGGCAGTAAGAGGAGCAGCCTGCTCTATAATAAAATGGTATCAGCAAGTCAAGACATTTGCTTTTGGGGATTTTTACATTTTATTTCATTTCAACCTCAGTTTTTGTTGGCAAGCAGCATTCATATATCATATGACTTCTACAACTAAAATGAAGCTATTAGCACTAGTATTTAGTAATCTAGTAACTCTCCTTCCAGCCCTCTTCACCCCATGTATGTTTATCACATGATATACACAATGTACATTTACCTCCGTAAGAGTAAACTTACTCAGTTATAGACTGCCACTTCTGATCTTGTTCTATCGGGTTTAAAGCAGTTGCCAAACAAACAGAACTTCTTAACAATGGAACTTCAATGGATTTCTGAGGTTCCCTTGGATCTGGACTTCACATGTTACGAAGCAGTTTTTTCATGTCTACAGAAGTTAAATGAAATGTCATTAAGTTAATGTGCTTTTATTATAAATTTTGATTTATGTTTGGCATTATTAAAAACTAATCACCAATGAACAGCTCCTTTAATATTTCAGGCAGTTAAACACTATAAGCATTACTGAGAGCTATATAAAAATCATACTTCATACAAAATTACTGTACCTCAGACCCCTAAAAAGCAGTTGCCTTCAAAGGCTCAAAAATCAGTAAGTCGAGGTCAGGCGTGGTGGCTCACGCCTGTAATCCCGGCACTTTGGGAGGCCAAGGTGGGTGGATCACGAAGTCAGGAGTTCAAGACCAGCCTGGCCACGATGATGAAACCCCGTCTCTACTAAAAATACAAAAAATTAGCTGGGCACGGTGGCAGACACCTGTAATCCCAGCTACTCAGGAGGCTGAGGCAGGAGAATCGCTTGAACTCAGAGGGCGGCGGAGGTTGCAGTGAGCCGAAATCGCGCCACTGCACTCCAGCCTGGGCAACAGAGTGAGACTCTGTCTCAACAAAAAAGAAAATCGGTAAGTCAATCTACTATTTAAGGGGACAAATCTAGACCTGCATTAGCAAATCTTGCTCAATCCAGAATACTCATTAAACTTTTTAATAACATCTTATCAAGTGTTCCATTTGTGATAAAGAACTTAATTAACGAGCCACATCAAGATGAAAATCAAGAAAAATATTTAGCTGAAACACTACTTTGTCCTTTATCAAACAAAATGGCTAGATAAATCTCAAAGTATTAAGGTGGTCATTTTTTTTATTTGACTTAATTTTAAGTGCTTTTCATTTCCCAAATCAAACATAAATAGGGCAGCCCTAAATTTGTTGCTTCACATGGGATTCTGCCCCCACAAAAATGTAAAATAACTTCCAGATTTTCCAGTAAAATATACTAAGCCAAACATTTTGAGCAACTTGTCCACTAAAATAACTTTAAAACTATTTTCTCAAATACCTACCTATTTTTTCTTTTGATCCTCCAGCAAGTAGATTGATATTTTCTCCTGGTAACAATTCTAATTGCTCGGTACATTCGACAAATTTTCCAGACTCAAAGCTGCTTAATGATCTGTAATTAAAATATTGGTTAGCTTGTATTCCTATGCAGCCTGTGGAACCATTAAAAAAAACAAACAAACAAAAACAGAACAAATCCTAGGAAGACAGCAAAGTACACAGCACTTTTCTGACAAAATTCCTTCCACGAGGATGCCATTATTTTGGTTTTTATGTTGAAGATGTGACTACCACTTAATTAGTACTCAAATTGGAGTGGCAAACCAGAAAGTCACAGCTACAGACTTTCAGTGGAGCTGACTCGCCCCTGTGTCTCCTTCCTGTTTTCATGTGTTGCAGCCTGTTCTCTTCAGAGCCTGACACACTGACAGTAGACCTCTGCAGGACAACTTTGACACCCAGTTCTCTCCAAGCTGCCAGTGAGCTCCCTGTGCAGCCTCACTCCTCACCTACAGCATGAGCCCTTGCACAGCTCTCCCAGCATCACAATCTTGTATCTCAGTCCTGGCTTCTTTCACTGCTGGCATCCCTCCGTCTCTCCCTTTTTCACCTACTTTTCTTTTTTCAAAGAATTCTTCTCTTTCATCTGCTTATATGAAAAATAATGACACCTCTGAAATTCTTTCCTGTAGTTCTGCAGCATCAATGCCAGGAAGACAGGCCTCATCCTCCCAGCTTCTATGCTGCTCCTTTCAGATCCCTTACCCTGTCCCCATTTTCATGACACGGGCTCTCCAGCCAGGAAGAAGACACTGTTTCTCACTCTCTCTCTTTTCCATCTTTGCCTGTCCCTCTCGCTGTGTAACTTCCCTTATAACTCAGCCTGAGGCCAGTGCTAGAAAGGCACATCACCTGACTTATTCTGTGCCTGATTCTACCTAGATCAGTGCAACCACTGGCTTCTCAGGGGGACCCTTGAGTACTGGGCACTGATGAACTGCTGCCAACACAGTCATCATTTCTGCCATTAAAAGGTCCTAAGTCCTCTCCAGTGGCAGGTTCCCCAAGTCCCCACTATGCTCTATAATGCCCTATGCTTTCAGCTAATGACTCAGTCCTCAGAAAAAACAAACAAATAAACAAAAAAACACAGGCTTTAATTTCCTCTACCCCTACCCCCAATCCACCATACACTGCCGAAATTCTGTCTATACCAACTTTGACTGCTTTCCTTGAGGCAGAGAAAAGGTGAGGGCCAGTTAATCTATCAATGTTCTTTCTCCTGTTTCTTCAACCTCTGCTTTCTAGTGGCTCCTTCCCCTTGGCCAAAAGAACATAATCTCTCCAACATTTAAAATAAACATCTCATATTTCCCTCCAGCAACAGCTTCCTATCCTCGACTTCAAGAAAAACTCACTGACCAAATAACTTACCTCAAGCTTTTCATTTTCAAATGTCTCTACCACTCAATACTATTCAATCTAGCTTCTTCTGTCTCTCTACAAAACTCTTTTTCCTTATAATCCCTAGAGCATCTGACAAGGCTGACTACTCCCATCTGGATGTCCTATATCTAGGGCACTTCCCTTCTCAATGTCCCTGTATTTTTTTGAATGGCTTCCTCTTCTATCCTTTCACAAAAATGCTAAACTAGGATTCTGACCCAGGCCTTCCTTCCTCTTCACTCACTATTCTCCAGAGGCTTCTCTCTGGTTTGGTTGCTTACAAAGGCTCTAGAGTATAGAGACTGAAAAGGAAAGAGGGCCTTTTCTGTGTACTAATCATCTGCAAATCTCTCAAGCTTAGACTGTCTCCTTAGTTCAAAATCCAATTCTTAACAGCTTACCCAACAATCTCATCTGCACATTTCATTAGAAATCTTAAAACATGGCTTGTTCTCTGTGTGCTCCTACTCCAGTTAATAGCATTGTTTCTCTTCCCTCTACCATTGCCCCCATAAATTAATGGTCTCCATGCTTCCATACTTGCCCCGCACCTCCAGTCTCTTCACCACAGCAGAATGAACCAAGTCAGATCACAACACAACTCTGTTCAAATCCCACCTGAAATTTTCAGTCTTACTAGAATAACAGCCAAAGTTCTTTTCTCAGTTCCCAGCTACTTCTCTGCCCTTATATCCTACTGTTTAAGGCGCTCCTAAACACACAGGCCTCCCAGCTATTTCCAGAACACTCCAAGCCCATCATTCTCACATCAGGTCTAGGCCCAAAGGGCATCCTGATGGGCATGTCTTGACCTTGTGTCTTCCCTCCAAAGAAGGTCAGCTTTACCTAACTGCTTTCCTTATGGCACAGAAAAGGTGAGTGAGGTCCAATTAGTCCTTCTATCAATAATCTTTATCTAATCTTTGCTTTAAAAGGTTGGAATTTGTGTCTGTTTTATGTGCTGCCTGGGTCACAGCACATGCTCAGTGAAGCAATTACACATTAACCCATTTAGCAGTAGAAGGCAAGGGTATCAGACAAAGTCTAATGACCTTTATCTTCCCAGCCAAGTGTCTGCAACAGAGTGAGTGCTCAGTTTTGAATTACAGAATTAATAAAAGCACAGAGGAATGAGAAGAAAGTTTAATTTACAGATGTTCACAAACTCTGTCCTCATTAGAATAAATGTTTTTGATATATTCAGACCTCATTTCGAAACAAAGCCATCAAATGTGATTCTTTCTAAAGCAGTACAAATTTTTCTTTATATTCACTCTGGCATAATCTTCAAACTGTATTAAGGTTTTAGAACGACAGGTTCTGAAAATTAATACCAAATGACTATCTCAGCAGTGTTTTCCCATTATACAAATACCTTCCCTCATCTCTGATGTCAGTTTCCTGTTGTCATTTTCATAATGGCAGTAAGTTAGAAATATAACCATTTTGAGTATTACTGCATATGACCAATTTTAATATTTTTTTTGCCATAGGAAAAACATCATAGTTATTGGAAATTTGTTTTATAACTGGAAACAGAAAGCCTTACTTTATATAGTTGAAGTCAGCTTTCAGGTTGAGGGAAGTGCTACTGGTACTCTTTTTCAAGTCATGGATAGCGTTCTGCCATTCCTGCACAGCAGCCCAATCGGCAGTTGAGATGTAGCACTCACATGCTTTGTTTCCTAAATAATTTATAACCTCAGGGGAAGAGTCAGTCGGTTTGGACAGCACACTTTTTCTGGATTCACCTGAAAGTATTTTATAAAATAAGAAGAGAGAGATTCAGATCAATTAGAAATATTTCAAAGAGCACAGAAACCTAAAAACATGATAAGATCATCAGTACGAAATATATTACTATAACTTTTGCTTTATTTAAAAATGCTGAACGCTCACCATTCAGACAATGTTTCAGGCTGGCACTCTTACACCCAGCACTGGCTAAGGTGAGCACCGATTTGTCAAAGCTGGAGATGCAGCAATCAACACCTGTCATGGCACACAGGTGTTCCTGGTACTCCACAGAGGCCTTTTCAAACCTGAAAAGCAAATTGAAGCAGTCTTATTTCTTTATTTATCTAACTACTTACTTTTTTTTTTGAGATGAAGTTTTGCTCTTCTTGCCCAGGCTGGAGTGCAATGGCACTGTCTCAGCTCAGTGCAACCTCTGCCTCCCGTGTACAAGCGATTCTCCTGCCTCAGCCTCCTGAGTAGCTGGGATTACAGGCACTCGCCACCATGCCCGGCTAATTTTCTTGTATTTTTAGTAGAGACGGGGTTTCACCATGTTGGCCAGGCTGGTCTTGAACTCCTGACCTCAGGTGATCCGCCTGCCTCGGCCTCCCAAAGTGCTGGGAATACAGATGTAAGCCACCGAACCCAGCCTACCTAACATGGCAAATTTTGTTTTTTTAAATATTGAGTGGGAAAAACAGATCATAAAACCATGTGCCTATGTACGCTGATGTTTTGGTGAAGAATGGAGAAAACGACATGAAAGAAAAAAGAATTACAAAGCGTATGGATATGGAAATATGGGACTACAAAAGGACACACAACAGAAGTTACTACAAAGATATGGAAGTATGAGCAGTTCTTTTATTTTCCTAAGTTCGCAAGATTTCATTAAACTAACATAAATGGACACAGAATATTATGGTACAAGCTCCTCTACCCGGAGGAAGCAATGAGTCTGAATGTAGAGTTCACAGGACTAACGAGCAAATACTCTGACAATAAAGGGTAATTTGTATCAGACTCTGAGGGGGAAGGAGCTCAACTAGGGATCAAGTTCAAAAGCATTTATAAAACAACTGACAGGTCTTGTTTTACAGTGTGATTTGCCACTAATTCTTAAATAAGAAAGGCACTCCAGTATTGCTGCTAACTGAAGAACAAACTGAAGATGCCTCCTGGTGAAGGGATTTATAGCAAGCTTCAATGCTGAAAGCAAACAAAGCTGTTTTAAGATTTGGCTACAATGTCAGTGAGTAATACAAAGAACTTAAACATAAAGTAATTCTATCACCCATTTCCTTCCCTCCAACCTACCTCCCTTCAGCCTGTTGAGCCACTGAGTTAATCCACAGAAGATGTTTTCCAACAATAGATGATGACCAGACAGCAATTCCCTGTATAGCTTCAGGACAATGAAGTTCACATAGTGCTTCTACCACCATCATAATGCTTACTTCCAATTCATTCCCCTGAAAACGCATTCAGAAAAGTTAGTCACCCAATACCATTAAAACATAAATCCCTATAAAATTTACAACTGATCACAGTCTGTGCCTGCTTAAAGCCAAATGTATTTAACAATTATTGTCACAATTTTCACATTATTTAGCTCAGAATTCTTTAAAATGTTACATATAAAATAGCCACAAAGGGTGACTAACAGAACCTTAGCAGCACATGGATGTTTGTACCCCCACCCCAAAGTTACCCAAAAACATTTAACCTGTGACCTCTGTAGGAATAACACATGGAGTAAAAAGAAAGCAAAAATGAAATATAAATAAACAGGAATTAAGGAATGATTAACTTCATGTGTTTGAATACTGCTTGACATTACCTGAATTGCTAAACATTTTGTTATTTTTGGATTCCAGTTATTTATTGTGAGCCCACTTTCAATCCAGGAATTACTCAAGCATTTGTCATACGTTATAAAAACAATTTCTCCTGGCCAGGTGCAATGGCTCATGCCTGTAATCCCAGCACTTTGGAAGGCCGAGGTGGGCGGATCACTTGTGGTCAGGAGTTCGAGACCAGCCTGGCCAACATGGTGAAACCCTGTCTCTACTAAAAATACAAAACTTAGCCGGGTATGGTGGTGGGTGCCTGTAATCCCAGGGACTGAGGCAAGAAGAGGCTTGAACCCGAGAGGCGGAGCTTACAGTGAGCCGAGATCGCACAACTGCACTCCAGCCTGGGCGACAGAGTGAAACTGTGTCTCAAAAAAATAAATAAATAAATAAAAATTTTCCCCCATAAACAAATTTTCAGAATTACCTTTAAAGTTCTAAACTTTGCACGGAAGAAATAGAGTTTTAACGTGTTCTAACATGAATATTGTTTTAACATGAACAAAAACATGAACATTATTTTGACTTCTAACACTGTTTTAACACGAATAAAATAGGTAACTCTGGCAGTTGTTGCTTTTACAAAATACAGGATCAAAACCTTTGAAAATGAATCCAAGCTTTAACTTATTTTATCCATAGATTAAATCATACCAAAGGAATTAAACCATGTTTTTCTTATTAACAGACTTAAAATGAATTTCAAACACACCACTTTACCTGAGATAGGCTGGTTGTTTTCATCTCTGTAAGCAAGTCAAAGCCATGTCTCACTGTCACTGCAGGCTGGCCTGCCAACAATCCTACCCTCATGATGGAGAGTCGAATCCGCGTTAGCCAGTCCTGACAAGTTTGGCGATTGGTATACAAAAAAGTTCTAATGACCTTTACGATAAGAGAAAGAAAAGCTCAGGACTGGTTCAATTTGTAGGTAAGGATGTCTCACCTATATATAAACCAAATACACAAGTCTATTGTGATTTCAGCTCTGCACATACTGCCAGCTGTGACCATTAAACTGCTATAAAACAACACTATCTCCCGGAAACCAACCTTGGGAGGTGAAGTTAAGGCATTAGCACATCCCTCGTATGCATTATACATTAATTTCTCCAGATTTTCCAGATACTGCAGAAGAAGAACAAGTCTAAGTTGGTTGTTACCATGGCCTTCATCACTGTCTGCAGTTGTCCACTGACTAACATCCTGATCAGGGTTTAATGTGTGACCTGCGAGACTTCGAATGATACCTGAAAGCAAAGACAACATTCTGAATTTTTAAAAATCTTAAAAGTTCCTAGAATAAGTGTGAGTTTTTTATGACCAATTCACATTTATCAAGTATCCTCTGTCTACCCATCATTTAAAAATAAAAAATCCCAACATGAAAGATCTTTCATTTTAGGGGAAAAAAATATATATTTTTTCCACACAACTCCCATAAGTTTTGGAAAAAAAACAAACATATTTCCAATGCAATTATTCAATGAAAGCTTATTCTAACAAACAAACCTGAAAATTATTGACTTTTTTCAAAAAAAATCATATACCCTCAAATCTTTAACAAAGATTTAAAAATCCATTATTTCTCAATAAGGCTTTGAAAGTATTCACATCATAAAGCTTGAGCGAGTTACCTTCAATTGTCTGGAAGGTGTCTTGAGCTCTGCCCAGTGGGGTTCTCAGCTTAGAAAGAACAGTGAATTGTGCAGCTTCCCATATGGCCCACTGCCAAAGGATAGCATCTGTCTTCAGGAGATTGCGTGGAATTGTTGACTGGTCACGCTTATCCAGTCTCTGGCAGCTATAGAACAGTCTTTCCAACCAATTGTCCTTCCTGGGAAAAGTAGTTTCATATTTAAAAGACAATGACAACTTCATTTTAATAATGAAAAAAAAATGCAAGGGGAATGGGAATAAGGAACTGTAATTTTCCCTACTCCAAAAAAAGGCAAAACCTATGAAATTGAGAAGCATTATGTCCCCCCCTCTCATTTTGAGGTCTTGTATAGTTAACAGGATGAGGTACAGTGTGGAAGGATGATTAGGGTAAACGGCTCATGCCAGTCAGGAATGAAACTCATTCAATGCAACTAAGCATCTCTAGAATATCTCCACCCCCACCCCACTCCCCAAAGTGTTAATGACATCACATCAGTTAACTGTTAACCACATTTCATTACTCAATTTCAAAGCCCATTTTTGTTTCTACAGATGCTATCTTCAAAGCAATTTTCCTATTGATGAAAACTGAAATAACCCATATGAGAAGAATGTTACTTGATACTCTGCCACCCCCAAACATATTTTCTCTTCAAAACTGCATGTAAAGTCAAGGGAATCTTAAAATTTTCTTTCCCAGATAAAATAGTCAAAGAAATGTCTTACCCTGTTCTATGAGAGTTCCCATACAAAATAAAACTAATAACATCAGAGAAATCTTGGGGGTGGAATGTATTACTTGGTGCTTTACTCATGTGACTTCTTAATGCTAAAGAAATTTCTTGAATTTCTGTGTGATTGTTATCGCTGTAGACAGAAAATAAAGTTGTTGTTATGCAAAATATTTTAGCTTAAAAGGTTAGCACATACTGTAAGTGGATTATTTACTTATTAACTCACTGGAGGTAAAAATATAGTAAAATTGAGACTTTCAAATGGATACAGAGATGTGATTACAACTTTAGATCCTTTTTTTATTCACCTCAGATGGGTCATGTGCCGACATCATAAGAGGATTTGAGGGAGGCATATCAAACATGTGAACATAAAAACCCAATCATTATGCTTATCTATTACAAAAGGATCAAGTTTAGGCTCTTAAAAGCTCCCAAATCAACTTGATCAAAAACAATAAAAGATTACTGTTTAGTTTTTCAAATATCTGAGCTACTAAGAAACATATTTTGGCACTACATGAGTTATTCTATACTAATTATTGTGAGCCTATAAAGCTCATTAAAAATTTTTAATTTTCTTGCAGACCTGCAAAATTTGGTTATTTGACATCACTTCAATCACTGACAAGCAGGGCCATAAAAGATGTGTCATTAATGCTCTAATAGGTGATCTGTCTTCTCCTAAAGTAGACAACCAGTAGAGGCTGTAAATATCACAGAACGTCTTTGCTTCAAAACAACTGTTATACCTTAGGAAAACACCTAAAGGAATTGATTTCAACAGTTTTCCAAATGCTTGTCGAATACAAGTTCCACGGTGCACTAGTTGGACACGGCAAACATCAACACATCTATGAAAGAACGAAATAGACAAAGCAGGTGTGTTAACAGTTCCAGGTTATTAGGGTTAATGTCAAAAGACATGATCTTAATTTCATACCTCTGTAAAAGATCATCTGGCAAGGAAGAGGATAGAGCATGTAGACTGCTGCATGCCTGCAGACAGATATTCACATCTTCAACGAGAGCTATTAAACATTAAAAGACAGTTACTTTCAGCTGGCCAAAAGAAATTATATCCCAGTTTGTCATAATTATCTGAATCCATTCATTCATTCAACAAAGAGTGAGTGCCTACTATAGACTAGGCACTGTTCTTGTCCAGAATCCTCATTGACTGTCACATTTGGAAAAATGACACATTCAACAAAACCCACGTAATGTAACTGATGGGTCATCACACAAAACTTTTTCTGAGAGAAAATGTAAAAGTATATGTAAACTATAAACATTCACGTTAGCTTAAAAATGTGACAATCACTTCAAAACATTTTTCTAATACTAAGAATGAAAAAAAATCAAGACTGTGTATCTGTCATTAAAATGAGGATTACACATCTTCAGGTCAGGAAAAGAGCTCGATTCATGACCATCTCCCATTACCAAAGACCCTTTTAAGGACTGATAAACAAAATAGAAAAAAAAAACCAGAGTCTTACTGTCGGCTAAAAGGCCTTTGCAAAATTTATGGAAAGACGGAAGACAGAATAAAGGTGCATATGTTTCGGACTTCTTCATTACAACAGCTACTTCCAAAGCCCAAGTCATTAACAGTTTCCTGAAACACAAAATATACAGTTGACTGTACATTAAAAAAAAAAAACAACAAAAACAAAAAAAAGTTAAAAGCCTAGTCTTCTTACATTGGTTTTCTCTTGGTTTTTCAAACATCTCAAACAATAAAAAATAAAAATAAAAAATGAAACTATAGAAATTACTGTCAAAATTGTTGTGTGCCTTTTAAGAAAACCTCCCAACGCAGCATGATAATAGCAAAGAGGCCGGGCGTGGTGGCTTACCTGAGGTCAGGAGTTCAAGACCAGCCTGGCCAACAACATGGTGAAACACCATCTCTACTAAAAATACAAAAATTATTGAGGAACTGCCAAACTGTTTTCCACATCAGCTGCACCATTTCACATTCCTATTGCTAACTTATAAAGATTTCAATTTCCCCATATCCTCAACAACACTTGTTATTTTCCATTTTTTAATAATAGTCATCATAGTAAGTGTGAAGTGATAGCTTGGAGTTTTAATTTGTATGTCTCCATTGACTAATGATGTTGACATCTTTTCAAGTGCTTATTGGCCATTTGTTTATCTTCTTTGGAGAAATGTTTATTCAAGCCTTTTGTCCATTGTAAGATGGACAAAAATGGTTGTCTTTTTGTTGTTTGTTTACAACCATTTTGTTTTAAAATGTTTTGTCTTTTTGTTGTTGAATTGTAGAAGTTTTTTATATACTTTGGGTATTAAACCTTAACATATATACAAAAAAAAAAAAAAAAAAAATACAAAAATTAGCCAGGTGTGGTGGCGGGCACCTGTAATCGCGGCTACTTGGGAGGCTGAGGCAGGAGAATTGCTTGAACCTGGGAGGCAGAGGTTACAGTGAGCAAAACTCCGTCTTAAAAAAAAAAAAGCAAAGAATATTAAAAATCTATATATATTCTTCTATGAAACACTGGGCGTGGGGGATTGAGGTTTTTCATGTATTTCTTTTCAGAAAGAATAAGAAAGCCTAGATTAAATAATAAAACCAAATTATAAGGTGTTTGACAATAAAGAAGCTGCTCTACCTCACCTCTATAATCCACATTTTTTTAAATTTTTTGTAATCCACATTTCTTCTTCTCAAATTATAAAGGCAAATTAACAAAGTTAGGAATGGTTAATACTATATAATATCTGTTACCTCGTGTCCTGGTTATCTTTCTTAAGTAACATTCCCAGAAGATTTAATATAATTGAGAAATGTTTCTTTGTGGCCATAGTTACAGTGCCAATCACAGCTCCATCAAACAAAGAAGGAGAGGAAGAACTGAGGCTACTAAAGATAAAGTGATCATGCCTGAAAGACAAAGCATAGATTATCTTTTCATCTTTAATCAAAGAAAGCAAGCAAGTCCAAAGTTAAATCAACATACATCTTCAAAATCTATCCATTAAAAAAATAAAATGTTTTGTGGGGTTCTTTTCTTAAGAAAAATTTGTGAATACAGTACCTGGTACAATGAGGATACAATGTGTAGAGCACAGCATACTGAATGGCAGGGAAGTGAACAGCCAGGTCACTGTGCACAATCATCAGATTCTTACTCAGAAGTGCAAAGACAGTTGGAGATAGCGCCCACATCTGATCATGTACAAAACAAAGTAAGTTTATGGCTTCTCCAAAATAAGCACAAGCATACAGAGTTTATCCTTCAAAACAGGGGTATTTGGACATTTTTAAATTAAAATTACAGATTGGAAGGGATCTAGTACACTACACCTGGGACAAATACTTTTTTGTGAAGTCAGTAAAGCCTTTGCGTGCAATATAGCATCTCTATGCAATGCAGCAACTCCTCGTCTATCGCTACAGTAAGAAAACAGCCACAGGTCAGGTGTTGTGGCTCACACCTGTAATCCTAGCACTTTGGGAGGCTAAGGTGGGCAGATCACTTGAGCCCAGGAGTTTGAAACCAGCCTGGGCAACACAGCGGGACCCCATCTCTACTAAAATTACAAAAAGTAGCTGGGCATGGTGGCGCACACTTGTAATCCCAGCTACTCGGGAGGCTGAGGCAGGAGAATCGCTTGAACCTGGGAGGCAGAGGTTGCAGTGACCCGAGATCATACCAATGCACTCCAGCCTAGATGACAAAGTTAAGACTCTCTCTCTCAAAACAAAACACCAGCCACACACAAAACACAGGAATGAGAGT
This sequence comes from Homo sapiens, assembly GCF_000001405.40. Lineage (NCBI taxonomy): Eukaryota > Metazoa > Chordata > Mammalia > Primates > Hominidae > Homo > Homo sapiens. Next base: position 21,460,795 of record NC_000016.10, read on the forward strand.
ACCTGTGTTCCAAGAAAACTTTCTTGAGTCGGAGTCTCTCGCTCTGTCGCCCAGGCTGGAGTGCAATGGGGCGATCTCAGCTCACTGCAACCTCTACCTCCGGGGTTCAAGCAATTCTCCCTGCCTCAGTCTCCCAAGTAGCTGAGATTACAGGTGCCCATCACCACGCCCTGCTAACTTTTGTATTTTTTTAGTAGAGATAGGGTTTCACCATGTTGGCCAGGCTGGTCTTGAACTCCTGAGCTTGGGTGATCTGCCTGTCTCAGTCTCCCGAGGGATTACAGGCGTGAACCACTGCGCCCAGCCCAACAAGAACTTTCTTTACAAAAACAGGCACTAGTGTTGTGATGGTTGTACACTTCTGTGAATATAGTAAAAATCAGTGAATTATACACTTAAAATAACAGACAAAAAACAGGTGCTGGGCTGTATTTGGCCCACAGACCATAGTTTGCTGATCTCTGGTCTAAACAGAGCCCTTTGTATGTGCCTTTTGCGGAAGTAGACTGTATTTCCTCAATTTTCCATATACTGCAAATGGCAAGGTGCCCTGTTCAATAAGGAAACAGAGGCACACCCTGCCACCCTACACCTTTTCCATCCATCTTTTTCCTTTACACTGCCAAGACACTCCACTCCACCTGACTGCCCCATCCCCACCCACTTTCTCCTTATTTCTAGAGTACAGGACATAAACATCTTTGAATCTGTAAATAATGTGAATAATTTTCCTCAAAAATCAAGCTTTCATGTTTGAAGAAGAGTTTATTGTGACTTCAAACATAAACTGTAACTGGTAATAAGCGAAGCAGCTATGGAATTATACAAGGCAATCCAATCAAACAACACGGAGCACATTGAAGCGCAAACATCAAATTTTACCTTCTTCCTCCTAAAAACTTTATTCCCTAATTACATCCATTTCTTTCTTTGTTTCTTTCTTTTTTTTTTTTTTTCTTTTGAGACAGAGTCTGGCTCTGTAGCCCAGGCTGGAGTGCGGTGGTGTGATCTCAGCTCACTGCAACCTCCACTTCCTGGGTTCAAGCAATTCTCCTACCTCACCCTCCAAAGTAGCTAGGATTACAGGTGTGCACCACCACCCCTGGCTAATTTTTCTATTTTTAGTAGAGGCGAGCTTTCACCATGTTGGCCAGGCTGGTCTCAAACTCCTGACCACAGGTGATCAGCCTGACTTGGCCTCCCAGAGTGCTGGGTTTACAGGTGTCAGCAACCGTGCCCAGCCTACACCTATTATTTTCTATTAAAAATGATGTTTTTCAACTCTGTGTGGTCCAATAGGAAGAAGAAATACACAAACCATAAACAATAAATACAAATCAAGAGCAGGGCCATGTCGAATTACTTAAAAAAAAAAAAACCACACGGGCTGGGCGCGGTGGCTCATGCCTGTAATTCCAGCACTTTGGGAGGCTGAGGCAGGTGGATCACCTGAGGTCAGGAGTTTGAGACCAGCCTGACCAACATGGTGAAACCAAGTCTCTACTAAAAATACAAAAATTAGCCCGTCGTAGTGGCAAGTGTCTGTAATCTTAGCTACTCGGGAGGCTGAGGCAGGAGAATTGCTGGAACCCGGGAGGCAGAGGTGGCAGTGAGCCGAGATTGCACCACTGCACTCCAGCCCAGTTGACAACAGCATGACTCTGTCTCCCCCCCAAAAAAAAAAAAAAAAAAAAAAAAAAAAAAAAAAAGTCCCCCCACCACCACCAAAAGGAAGACTACAGGTTCAGTATCCCTTATTCAAAATGCTTGGGACCAGAAGTGTTTCAGACTTTGTATATGTTTGGATTTGAGAATACTTGCATATATATAAAATGAGATATGTGGGGGATGGGACCCAAGTCTAAAGACGAAATTCACTTATGTTTCATAGACACCTTCTATTCATAGCCTGAAGGTCATTTTATGCAATATTTTAAATAATTTTGGGCATACAACAGTTTGGACTCATCACATGAGGTCGGGTGTGGGATTTTCCACTTGGGGCATCATACTGGTGCTCAAAAAGTTTCAAATTTTGGAGCATTTTAGATTTAGGATTTTCAGATTAGGGATGCTCACCAGTAAGTGTTATGAAAATATTCCAAACTCCGGCTGGGCATGGTGGTGCCCACCTGTAATCCCAGCATTTTGGGAGGCCAAGGCAGGTGGATCACCTGAGGTCAGGAGTTCACAACCAGCCTGGCTAACATGGTGAAAACCCATCTCTACTAAATACAAAAAAATTAGCCAGGGGTGGTGGTGCATGCCTGTAATCCGAGCTACCTGGGAGGCTGAAACAGGAGAATCGCTTGTACCCGGGAGGCGGAGGTTGCAGCGAGCCAAGATCGCGCCATTGCACTCCAGCCTGGGCAACAAGAGTAAAAACACTATCTCCAAAAAAAAAAAAAAAGTATTCCAAAATCCAAAATCGAAAACACTTCCAGTCCCAAGTATTTCAGATAAGGAATATTCAACCTGTATGAATGTTCCTAGGGAAAAACAGACAGCCAAAATATAAGACCATGTATAAGAACTAACTTCAGTACACAGAAAGAAAAAAGTACCAGGGGAAGAAGAAAGAGACCGCATTTTAAAACAACTATACAAATTTGAGCTGTAAGAAACACTGACATTTTCTGTAAGCATGCTAGAGCAAATAGGAGAAATTCATAAGACATTTTCTAGAAAATAAAACTAATATAAAAAAACTTATCAAGATTTGTCAAGGAAAAAGAAGAAAAGTTAAATATAATGGCAAGAAAACATTCCTACCAATTTTATTTATCCAGGCATGTCTTAAATATGGCTGTTTGTTACATACAGTGATTCTGCAGACATGTTGACATAACAGTGAAATACATAAATATGTAATGTGGATAAAACAAAGTCATTACAATTAAAGACTCACCCCTATTAGTGAGTTTTTGGCATTTCCAATTGTAGTCAAATTTAACTACAAATTTTGTAGTCAATTGAGGTCAAATTTAACTACAAATTTTGCATTGTCTACATTGAACACATGATTCTTAAAAGCCTCATGTTTTATTTCAGAACAGGACTCAGGAAGCTGCAGACTGTGCAGGAGGTTGTTTAGGGCACAAGTCATTTCTCCCAATATTAACTTATAGGCAGTCTCCAAAACAGGAATATTCTTCAAGCTGAGCACTGCTTGATAAACAGCACGGGCTACAGCAACAACCTGAAAAACAAAAAATTCAAGGAAGTGATAAATGGAAAATAAATCTTCTAAAATTATATGGAAAATAAATCACTATCTGTATTAGTGCTGATGATACAAATAAATTTAAGATCGATCAATTCACTGTCTGTAGCATTTAATATTTTAATTTTTTAAAAACCAATCAGAAAACTGACACAGATCAGTATGCTATTTCAAATCTATTAAGTTTTATCACAAATAAAGAGTACTATAAATGAAAACTGTCAATAGGAAATTTCCAAAATGGCCGTTTTTGTTTTTTTTTTTTAATAATCAACATCAAAAGACATATGCAAACAGCAGTTTAAGACTGGGTTTCTTAAATCTACCAGGAAAGTCTGTGGTGGATTTGACTAGGGGGTGGTTGAAAAGCCAGTCATTTTTGTTTACCAAATATACAGTACTTCTTAATTTATAACTTTATAAATGTGTCAACTTGTTTTACCCTTATGAAAATTTAATAAATTTAATAACAGCAAAAGATGCATAGTCTGAAAAGAGTATCTGGCACACCATTCATGAAAGTATTCAGTATGATTATCAAGAAATATAAATTTAAAAGAACAAATACAATCACTATATTCTAAATCAAACATTTCACATTTCACTCAATTTCACTTATATAGCCTGGGGTAAGCAACATTAGGTCCAACTCTTCAGTGACTCAAGTTGTCAAAATTCATTATCAGTGTATTACTTACCTCTTTTTCTTTATGATAACGCAAGAATAGTAGTTTAGATGATGGTATAAACAGTTTTTCTACAAATGATGATGGCAGTTTCGTATTTATCTGTTCAACAATCTAAAAGAATAAAATTTTTAAAAAATGAGCTTCTCAAATTACAAAAAGACATGGAGAAACCTTAAAGGCACACTGGTAAGTGAAAGAAGCCAACTGAAAAGGCTACATACTATATGACTCCAACTACATGGCATTCTGGAAAAGGCAAAACGATGGAGACAGTAAAAAGATCAGGGGTTGCCATGGGCTTAAGATGGGGGGAGGGAGGAGTGGGGAGAGGGAACGAGGAAGGAGTGGGTAGAACATAAAAGATTTTTAGGGAAGTGAAACTATCCTGTATGATACTGGTAATAGGGGAAACATGTCATTACACATGTTAAAGTCCATAGAATACATAACACAAAGTAAACTATAAAATTAGTTAATAATAATATATCAATATTCACTCCTTTGTAATAAATGTACCACACTAACACAATATGTTAATGAGGGGGAAACTGTTGGGATGAAGAAGGTATATGGGAACTCACTGTTTTCTGCTCAATTTTCTGTATATCTAAAAAATGAAGTCTTTTAATTTAGAAAAATATATCTAAGCTATATTTTAAGGCCTTAATACTGTGACATTAAAGTGTTTAGACACCTAAATAGGACACACGTATTTTACAGTTATCATGGGCATTTTTTCACATTAGCAAAGAGAGGTGTAATTCTGGCAGAAATGCTCAGCAGAATGTCATCTAGAATTTGCTTTAAAATAATCCAGTTGGAGATGAAAGGATAGCAAAGAGGCCTAGATGAAACCAGATGGGCCATTTGTTTCTAATTATAGAAGCTGAGTGTTAAATATGTACAAATTTATTATACTATGCTCCCTATTTTTATGTGCTTCAGAACGTCCATAATAAAAGTGGGGGGAGGATATTTATGGTTAAGAAATTAAAGGAGGCCGGCCGGGCGCGGTGGCTCACGCCTGTAATCCCAGCACTTTGGGAGGCCAAGGCAGGCAGATCACGAGGTCAGGAGATCGAGACCATCCTGGCTAACATGGTGAAACCCCGTCTCTACTAAAAATACAATTGTGCCACTGCACTCCAGCCTGGGCAAAAGAGCGAGACTCCGTCTCAAAAAAAAAAAAAAAAAAAAAAAAAAAAAATTAAAGGAGGCCAGGCATGATTGCTCACACCTGTAATCCCAGCACTTTGGGAGGGCAAGGCAGGAGGATTACTTGAGACCAAGAATTTAAGGCCAGCCTAGACAATGTAGCGAGACCCCTTCTCTCCAAAAAATATAAAGGTTAGCCAGGCATGGTGGCATGCATCTGTAGTCCCAGATAGTCGGGAGGCTGAGTGGGAGGATCACTTGAGCCCAGGAGTTTGAGGCTGCAGTGAGCTCTGATTGTACCGCTGCACTCCAGCCAGGGGAATACAGCAAGATCCTGTGACCAAAAAAAAAAGAAAGAAAAGAAAAGAAAAAAAGAAAGAATCTGGTGCGTAGAGCAATGTTTCCTCAGAAAAAACGAGTAAAGCTACAATGAGACTAGCTATCAACCACTAAAAATAGAGGCCTGGCAGAGTGGCTCATGCCTATAATCCCAGTACTTTGGGAGGCCAAGGCAGGTGGATTGCTTGAGCCCAAGAATTCAAGACCAGCCTGGGCAACATGGCAAAACTCCATCTCTACAAAATAATATAAAAAATTAGCCAGGTGTGGTGGTGCACGCCTGTAGTCCTAGCTACCTGGGGGGCTGAGGTGGGAGGATCACCTGAACCCAAGAGGTCAAGGCTACAGTGAGCCAAAATCATGCCACTGCACTTCATCCTGTGCAACGGAGTGAGACCCTGTCTCAAAAAAAAAATTGCATTAAAAATAAAAGTAAATAGACACTAAAATGAAAGCACAGATTATAAGACTGATGAATGTACTCTAAAAAAATTATATAATAAAGCAAAGCCCTTATTTTTTTTCTTTTTTGGAGACAGGTCCTTTTTTGTCACCTTGGCTGAGTGCAGTGGCACAATCAGAGCTCACTTCAACCTCAAGTTCCTGGGCTTAATCGATCCTCCTCCATCAGCCTCCCGAGTAGCTAGGACTGCAGGTGCACACCACTACACCAAGCTAATTTTTGACTTTTTGTACAGATGGGGTCTCACTACATTGCCCAAGCTGTGCCAGAATTCCTGGATGCAAGCAACCCTTCTGCTTTGGCCTCCCAAAGCGCTGGGATTACAAGCATGAGCCACCATACCCAGACAAAGCCCTTAATTTCTTACATATCCATTTAAGGGCCTGAATAAACCAACACATTAAAAAGGAAAAGAATAATTCACATACCAGCGTGAGTAAATTCAAGACTGAGATGATATAATCGGTACCACAAGTCTGGCAATTCTCCAGTTGGTCTAATCCATATGTAATGACCATGTCACAATGTATAGTCATGCTAGGATCCAAGCTGCCGAGCAAAACACCAACACGCTCATTAGCAGCTGTCAACACAGCCTCAGAAAAAAACACCTGGTTTGCAGCCGTCACACATCTCATTACTCTGTACAGAACCTGTAAATGGGGAAAACCAGCAGCTTTTTAAAAAAATTCACGTGCTTCCACAAAGCAAGAAAATACTTTCTATTTAATGCAATTTCAACTGAAAATTAACTGCTTGCCTTGCCAGCAGTCTCTTAATATTCTAGTTCTCAGTAGCTGAATAATAATGATGCCTTTACTACAATATGTAAACATGATCTTGGCTAAAAAATCCTAAAGTGCTACTATGACAGGAAATGGAAGCTGCCATCCTCTATTTCCCACATACCCAACTTCGTTTCTCCCAATGTCACTAAATGGCTGAAGCTCAGAATCTTTATCATGAAATACACCACGACAGTAATGGTATTGACAGCATGGGAATAGCCTGCCCACACATACTACAAGCTAGCTCTTGGGCTTTTGGGAATCAATCTTTCAAAACTGAACATACAAGTCACTTTAAGCTTATTAAAGTTTCTATCTACTGATGGTCTCTTTTGAAAGATAAGCACTCTCATGCTTGCCACATAATATCTTCAAAAATCATATTATTTCCAATACACACACACACAAAATCCCCCACTTAACTATAATGGCCAATAATTGTGTACTAAATTTCTAATAAAATAGGGGAGAAAACAGAGCAAATGTTAAAAAATATTTCTATAATATTTAACAACCAATACATACAGGATTTTATTTAGTCTACCCATAGTTTTCATTAAAAGTATCCTTAGAGGTTGGGCATAGTGACTCACATCTATCATCCTAGCACTTTGAGAGGATTAGCTGGAAGGTTCTCTTGAGTCCAGGAGTTTGAGACCAGCCATGTCAACATAACAACACCTCATCTCTACCAAATTTGTTTCTAAATTAGTTGGGTGTGGTGGCTCACACCAGTAGTCCCACCAACTACTTGAGAGGCTGAGGTGGGAGGATCACTTAAGCCTGGGAGGTCAAGGCTGCAGTGAGCCAAGATCGTGCCACTGCACTCCAGCCTGGGCAACAGAGACCATGTCTCCAAAAAAAAAAGAGTGGGGGGGAGAGGGCGGAGGGGGAAGCATTCTTGGCCATGCATGCACAGTGGCTCATGTCTATAATCCCAACACTTTGGGAGGCTGAGGTGGGAAGACTGCTTGAGGCCAAAAGTTCAAGACCAGCCTGGGAAACACTGAGACCCCATCTCTACAAAAATAAAAAATTAGCAGGAGCTATGCTGGGAGGATCACTTGAGCCCAAGAGATAGAGGCTGCACTGAGTCGTGATGGCACCACCCCACTTTAAAAAGGAAAAAAAAAAAAAAGCTGGGTATGGTGACACCCGCTTGTAGGGCTGAGTGAGGTGGGAAGTTCACCTGGGCCCAAGAGTTCAAGACTACAGTGAGCTATGATTGAACTACTACACTCCAGCCTGGGTGACAGAGTGAGGTTCCAGCTCCAAAAATAAATAAAAAAAATAAAAACCCCACCATTCTACCATTCTCAAAGGCCTAAAAGATCCTCATAAATCAATATACACCTATCCTATAAATTATGTCCCCTTTATTTTATGTCTGAATTAACGGCTTTTTATTTCAACTCTGTACAGTCTTCAAACAACCACCTTTTAGACATTAAAAATGAAGCAAAGATATTAAACCATTTTGAAACCATATTGGTTTAAAATACCGATATGCTGGTTTCATTTATCTTTAAGTTCTGACATTTCTGCTCAAGTACACAACTTACTATATAATCAGTATCCTATTTTATTTAGCAACATGTTCAGCAAAAGTATATGCTCCTAAAAGCAAGTTTTATCCTAACGGTAAAATTTTCATCAGTTAGATTAAATTTTTTATGACGGTATCACACATGCTTCTTTCTCCTTATTCAAAGCAGAGTACAATGCCTGGGGTTCATTTCTTGTGTCTTTTCCACTGAACCCTCACTGGATGTGCTATATACAGTGCAGCTAATGTCTGAGGCTGCTGAAGTGTGGCAATCTAGCTACCTCATTTTTAATTTGTTTATGTTCTTTGATATCAGGCTATCAAAGAATATAAAGATACACAAGTTTTCATATGAGTTCCATCTTATGCTCAGAGAAGATTACTTTCTGAGGCTTCTCCTATAGTGTGCTATTCGTAATATGTTGAAAAACTAAAAGGAAACCCAATAATTTAAAAGTAAAATTATAAGAAATATTATTTAAAAATGAAAGAATGAGATTTAAAAATTCAGAGTGGCCTTTTGTCATGGGAGGGTAGGGGAGTTGGATGAAAGGAGGATGAGCTATAACAGGATTCCCTGCTTTTCTGGTTGTTTAAGAAAGCAGTCAGACAATATATACATATATACATACATACATACATGCTAAACAAATGAAGGATTAATAACAGTTCACCTGGTAAAGAGAAGCATTTACAATGTAAAACAATTTTATTTTTGAATGACACTTCAAATGCCCAAAAGCACTTACATCTGTTACGTATGCCTCAGTAATTGGAGGGCCCGAATTGGGCTGAGGCTTTCCCCAGTGCTCCTCACCACAGTACTAAATACCCGGAGAAGCGCAGCCAGCTTTGGTAATGACACTGATGGAGGAGGGACGTCTTCATCCACTGATTCCCCAGAGGCCACATGGCTGAGGTCCTAGATGTGAATTCACAGCATTCTTAATAAGTAGTACATTGTTTAAAAAAACAAAACAAAAAAAAAAAAAACTCTAAAATATTTCAATCAATTCATTTTAGAATAGATTTTTAGGCTTTTAGAAAGAGAACTGTGGCCCATGAGAATATTCATGACTCTGAATATAAAAATGGGTTTTACCTAATTATTTCAAAAAGCCAACATTAAACCCAATAGACAACAAATTAAGGAAATAATCTCTTAAATCAACTCAGAAAGCTGTTGGGGAAAAATAAATTCTAGCACATATGCTCTAGTTATATGTAGGTATAAATGAAGACGGAAGCTTTTGCCACTCCTGAATTAGTTTTTGGCTAAAAATCTCATTCTAGGTATTCTTTGAGCCACTCAGCTCAACAGTAAGTCCTCCAAACCAAGAGCATGCACATGAAGAGCAAAGGGAGATTACAAGACCTGGTCTACAGATGTGTAACTGAAGAAGTACGATATATGAAAAGGACAAGATTCGCAAAAACTAGGATACCAGAACCAATGTATACATCTACCTAAAATTAAGCACCAAAATAACAGAAGAGAATGAGATCTTAAGGATAACAAGGGGAAGCATCTCTACAAACTAGAATGTGTGGCTTATGAGAGGTAGATCAGCTTTAAACGTGGGCTGTGAAAAAAGACATTCTAGGTGTGGGGGCAAAGAAAAAACAACGCAGAAGCAAAACATTTCCTTGCTTTTCTAGGAAAGAGTAAACACATCAGTACAGCTAAAGGTACTGAATTCCTGTTGACTACAAGCAGCAAAGATGAAAAAAACAAGATGAGGCCAAAATCTTTATGGGAGCCTTGACTGGTTGATCTGAATAGGGGAGAAACACAAAGAGATTCAGATAAGAGATGGCACAGAGTTAAGCCATGACAGTGGGGCCAGAAAAGCCAAGTACCAGTAACAGAGGCTTCAGCAGCGCTCTTAAAGCTCCTATGCTATATTCGTACAGCCACAAAAGCTGGCTGAAGCCAAGGCTTGTCCTCCAAAGTACGATTCAAGATCTCCTGTACATATGTAAGAGGAAAATCTTTAGGAGCTTTTGGTGTTTTGTGTTTTTTTATAACACAACATCAATTTGCTTTAAGACTCTGAAGACTGGGAACAAAAAATAAAAATAAATAACAAAATATGTCTTTAGAAAAATACCAGCTACCGAGAGTATGTAAAGCTTTGCGAAATACGAAGCTTGCAACGTTTCTTTTAGTCTCTCCAGTAATTCTCCTGGTAACTTAAACACATCTGAAATAAATGTTTAAAATACTGACTGGGCACGGGGGCTCATGCCTATAATCCCAGCACTTTGGGAGGCCGACGCGGCTGGATCACCAGTGGTCAGGAGTTTGAGACCAGCCTGGCCAACATGGTGAAACCCCGTCTCTACTAAAAATACAAAAATTAGCTGGGCGTAGTGGCGGGCACCTGTAATTCCAGCTACTCGGGAGGCTGAGGCAGGAGAATCATTTGAACCCAGGAGGTGGAGGTTGCAGTGAGCTGAGATCGTGCCATTGCACTCCAGCCTGAGTGACAGAGCGAGACTCCGTCTCAAAAAGAAAAAATTTTTCAAAATATTGCAATGGGCTTGTAATTTCTGCTTAAATGTCAGGAGGTCTGAGCCATTTTAAAATAAATCTAGCACAATTTAAGATTTTTTCTTAACCAAAATTTTAAGAAACAGCTTTCTATATACTCACCTCAGCATATGCTTCCATGTCTTCTAGAAACTGACCAAGTAGAGGCGTAGAAAATGCAAGATCAGCTACCCAAAATGGCTCCAAACTCTGCAACCACCCTTGGAATCGCGTAAGAAATTGTGAAAGGGTAGGGGGGAGAAAAAACACCAAAAAATCCAAATTAAAAAAAATAAGAGGCTTCTTTTAAAAAGTATCTGGTTTTCAAGCAGCATACCCTAAAACATGTCCTATATCATAAAATTAAGACTGCTAAACATGCTGATCACGATTAACCAATACCTCTTTAATTAATACCTCCTTAATTTCTGCAGAAATTAACAGGTAAATGTTATTTCCTTACTTTTTCAGTAAATTTCATATCTATATTGTCACTACACATGACTTAAGACTAAAATGCCACAATCTACCATTGGCCCGGCTAATCCCAGGGCCACATCTAACCATTAAAGGTGTATACTCATCTCCTCAGTGAAAATGAAACAGACCACTATCACCTGAATATCTTATTTTCAAAAGTTTATTACACCAAGTAAGTTACGAGAAACTATGACACTTGAAACAAGCTGAAATGTGCAAATGAGCCACGCTAGTCATTCACTTAACTCCAAAAAAGTGGGAAACAAAACCACTTCTCATTTATGACAATTCTCCAAATTAACCCTATATTTCCTTTTTTAAAAAAATAACCAGAAAAACAATAAAATGTGACAAATAACTTGGATCTTCCATTGTCCACTTCAGGGTATTGCCACTGCAATATATTCTTACCATATACTTTCCTACCAGTACAAACTACAAATAACTTGGGTAAGTCCTGTCTGTACTTACTCTACCCACCTACTAGTAATTTCCTCTGAAAATATATATTTAGCTAACAAGTCATGTTCATTTACAATAAAACATTTCTCTGAATTAGTTTTCTTGCATTATTAAAGAAATGGTATTGATAGATGGTCACTGGGGGACCACTGCTCCTCCCCGACAGTATTTAAATAACTGGTATAGGCTGCAAGACTTACCAGATACCTGCTGCGTGAGCGAAGGTTTCTGAGTATGATCTCTATGCCATCCAACTAATATACCAACTGTATCCTTGATGGAAACAAAGAGAGAGGGGGCCAATCATTTTAAGATATTACTGCAATCCACCTGTGGACCATTTCACAGCAAAAGATCCTAAAAGGAGCATCTATGTTCTACCTACTTGACATTCTAGAAACTTAGAAAGGGGAGAGGGGCAGGAAAATAAAAGAACTACATTTCTGACAACAATGAAATAGTTTATTTTCTTCAAATATTTTAAGGTACGAACGTCAGAAAGAAAAATGCGGCATTTAACCCTGGAACCTCAAATATCACTGATTATATTCAAAGGAGCAGAGGCACTGTTTTCCATCTGATTCCTCAGTTCCTCACACACACAACCATCCCCCTCACCCCATGATCTGAACAGCGGAATGAGGAACTCACCCTAAAATTAGTGCTGAAAATATGAGGGTAACATCGAGCCACCAAAAGAATGCACTTAACACATTTGCAAAGCAATTCTGGTGTATCCACATTTTCAAGAATTGACTGCAGGCTGGTCATTACAAGCTTAAAAATAAAAGTTACAAACCGTGAACATTCAACAAAATAGGGAGAAAACAAGCAAATTAGGTTCATTATTTACGAAGTGCCTACATAAAAACCTGAGTATGAGACCAAGAAAAATAGATTCTGTAGTTTTAGTTAAAAAAAAAAAGAATTGACTTGTAAATCCCAACTGCTTGGGAGGCTGAGACACAAGAATTGCTTGAACCCAGGAGGCAGAGGTTGCAGTGAGCTGAGATTGCACCGCTGCACTCCAGCCTGGGAAATACAGCCAGACTCCATCTCAAAAAAAAAAAAAAAAATTAATAAATAAATAAAATAAATAAACTGAAAATATTTCGCTCCACTAAGCTGTTAAGCTAAAAACAGATACTGTTTTCTCTTCTTCAATGTTTGTTAATATTAGTCCTTTGACATCAGTTAACATTAGTCCTTAATAACATCTGTTTACAATATCCCTAAATGCTCTCTTTAAGATTCTACCTGTGATTAAATTTCAAATACAAAAAAGTAAAATGGATTTGGGAAACTTTTCTATAAAGTACAACAATTACTTTGCAATCCAAAATATAAAGCAAATTTTATATAATTTATGCTTTAGTATATTAGTACTTGCTTCATATTAAAATTAAGGAAGATCAGTATGGCACCACACATGAATAACATGCAGGCTCAGGTTACCATTATACATAAATTTTTAAAATAAATATATGGCAAAAATAAAATAATAAATAACTATTTGTCATTCCATTGAAAGAATATTTATTTTGCAGCTGTTAAAAAACATTTTTCCCTAAAAAAGGAAAAGCTGTGCTTTACATAGCAATCTTATCAAAGAAATGCTAGAATCAGAAAACCATCATTTTAGGCTGGGTGCAGTGGCTCACACCTGTAACCCCAGCACTTTGGGAGGACGAGGCAGGTGGATCACCTGAGGTCAGGAGTTCAAGACCAGCCTGGCCAGCATGATGAAACTCCGTCTCTACTAAAAATATAAAAATTAGCAGAGCACAGTGGCACATGCCTGTAATCCCAGCTACTCAGGAGGCTGAAGCAAGAGAACTGCTTGAACCTGGGAGGCGGAGGTTGCAGTGAGCCGAGATCGTGCCACTGCCCTCCAGCTTGGACAACAGAGCAAGATTACGTCTCAAAAAAAAAAAAAGAGAAAAAGAAAACCATTATTTTGCAATAGCCAATGTTATAATCTACACAGGCACAGACTATCAATGCTAAAAATCATTTAAAAGACATCTTGGGGTAATTACAGAAATTTGAATATAGAACACATATGTAATAAAATTCATTTTCTTAGGTATGATTACAATATTCTTGTTATACAGAAGAAAAACCTTATTCTTGGGAGATGCATACTAAAACATTATGGGGTGAACTGTCATCATGTGTATGGTTTTCAGATGCTCAACAAAAGTGTGTGAGAAAATAAAACTGTGGCAAAATATTAGTAACTGGTAAATCTAGGTGAAGCATATATTGTGAAATTATTATCGTATTTACAGGTATTTATTTTACTGGTGCATCTATCTTTCTATGAATGTGAGAATTTTCACAAGAGCTGGGAAAATGTTCATAATTATGCATGCAGAATAAGCCCAAGCTGGTGGCATTCTGTTCAGTTACAGGTAATTTTCTGAATCTTCCCTCAAATTTTTCTCAAACCTCTATAATCAAGGGGAAAATGTTTCATTTTGTTTTGCTTTTTTGAGACAGGGTTGCCTATAATGGAGTGCAGTAGCTTGACCATAGCTCACTGTAGCTTCAACCTCCCAGGCACAAGCGATCCTCCTGCCTCAGCCTCCAAGTAGCTGCGATTACAGGTGCATGCCACCATGCCCAACTTATTTTTTTTCCTTTTTTTTTTTTTTTTGTTTGATAGAAACAGGGTTTCACCATGTTGCTCAGGCTGGTCTCAAACTCCTGGACTCAGGCAATTCACCAGCCTCAGCCTCCCACAGTGCTGGGGTTACAGGAGTGAGCCACCATGCCCAGTTAAAAATACATTTTTTATTAAAAAAAAAAAAAAAGAATATTCCTTATATTTCCTTTATATTTTTTAAACTACATACCCAAAATAAAGCATATCAAAAACTGTAAAAAAAAAAAAAAAAAAAAAAAAAAAAAACCCTAATATCAGATATTCCAAACACAACAATACCATAATTTAATCACTTAAAATCTTACTCAAAACTAAATCAATGATCTTTTAGGCCAGGTGTGGTGACTCATGACACTAATCACAGTACTTTGGGAGGCCGAGGCAGGAGGATCACTTGAGGTCAGGAGTTGAAGACCAGCATGGCCAACACAATGAAACCCCATCTCTACTAAAAATACAAAAATTAGCCAGGCTAATGGCACACTCCTGCAATACCAGCTACTCGGGAGGCTGAGGCAGGAGAATCACTTGAACCTGGGAGGCAGAGGTTGCAGTGAGCCGAGATTATGCCACTGCACTCCAGGCTGGACAACAGAGCAAGACACTGCATAAAAAAAAAAAAAAGAATGATATTTTAATATATTCAGATACACAAATATGAAATACAACTAAGTAGAGCCGGTATTCATTTACACATAATTATCTTATACCATTTGGAATAAGAATTTGGGGCACGTTAGCAAACCAAAAGGCTCAGAAAGAAGTTGTGATATTTAGTTCTTGTCTCCCTCTACAAATGTGAAGCACTCTTCTATCCGGCATTACTAGTGGAGTTCCTATTTTCAACTTTGCAAATTCTGGTCCTAAGCAATCTCAAAAAAAACATTTCTAAAAACCAAAGGGGAAAAAAATCTTTTTTTTTTTTTTTTTTTTTTTGAGACAGAGTCTGGCTCTGTCTCCCAGGCAATGGTGCGATCTCGGCTCACTGCAACCTCGGCCTCCCAGGTTCAAGCCATTCTCCTGCCTCAGCCTCCTGAGTAGCTGGGACTACAGGCGCGTGCCACCACGCTCGGCTAATTTTTGTATTGTTAGTAGAGACGGGGTTTCACCATGTTGGCCAGGATGGTTTCGATCTCTTGACCTCATGATCCGCCTGCCTCAGCCTCCCAAAGTGCTGGGATTACAGGCGTGAGCCACCACGCCTGGCGTGTAAGCCAATTTTTTAGAAGAAATCTCTCCCTCTCTCTCCACATATATGCATATATGTATGTAGCACTGATCCTTGAACAGTGTATCCTTTACTCAAACTGAGAAAGAGGAATTTTTAAAACATATTTCCTATCAGTAGATAACCCCTATTCTATGATTCCCTTCTTCAAGCTCCCCTCCAAGGACATGTGTTAAAGGGACAATTTTCTTCCCAAGTATATCATGCATTTTTTCCCCCTTCATTCTTACCTGCATTACAGATGAAAAGGCTTTCTTTTCTCCTACAGTCTCTAGTGCTTTGTAGGTGGCACATAAGTAGAGGAGTTTAACTTCATCTTTTGCAGATGAGCTAAATTTGCTAAAAATCCACTTGAAGATCTTCTCAGCCTCATAGCTCAGAGAAGCACAAAGAAGGCCGAGACAGCAAGCTCCCTCCTGTCTCAACTCCTGAAGCAATTTGCTACTGTGTTTATTTTAATGCAAACAAAAAACACACACAAAAGGCTTAAGTTTTCTATGATGACACGAGTAATACATCTTACAAAAGAATGTCTTAAGTGGTTTTTTAAATTTCTATTCAAACTACATAAAAGGTTGAAATTTTCTCCACTCTAAATACTACATTCTGTCTAGCCTGCATTGCCCTCAAGTATCTGTCTGACATCACTTTCTTTTTACAAAATCAATTATTTACAAACAGTGAGGGAAGGCCCAAAAATGCTAAATTCCATCTCAAACTGTATTAAATAACTCTCAGAAAAGGGCAGCAACAAATAAGTAGATAAAACACTCTATACATAACTACATTCTACATAATATCCAATATGTAATGACTATAAAATAAAAAATGGTAATAGTTAAATACAGAAACTTAAAAGGATAACAGTAATGATTTACATAGAACTTTAATAAGTAACTCTATAAAACAAAACCATCAAAAGGCACTAAGGTTTATGACCAGCTGAGATAAATTTTGGGTACTTGCCAACACTGCAAATCTTTGGGAATCACCATAACAAAAAATGACCACACACCTCTGGAGACTCTAATAGCCAGAGAATATATGGTTTGGATCCACTCTTACCCAAAGAAGGAAATTCCTTTTTACCTCTATTCTCTAAGCAGTTTCAAATTCTCTTGTTTACAAAAACTAATTTTATTCTTCATGCCTGCATCAAGAGTTTATGCCATTCCATAAGTCAAGACTCAGTTATCCAGTGAGACTAGCAAATTAAAAAAATAAAATATTCCAGCCAGGCACGGTGGCTCATGCCTGTAATCCCAACACTTTGGAAGGCTAAGGTGGGTGGATCACCTGAGGTCAGGAGTTCCAGACCAGCCTGGCCAACATGGTGAAACCCTGTCTCTACTAAAAATACAAAAATTAGCTGGCAGTTGTGGTGCACGCCTGTAGTCCCAGCTACTCGGGAGGCTGAGGCAGGAGAATCACTTGAACCCGGGAGGTGGAGGTTGCAGTGAGCTGAGATCGCACCACTGCACTCCAGCCTGAGCGACAGGGTGAGACTCCGGCTCAAAAAATAAATATTCTTTTCAAGTGGATTCCATTTGTATTCAACCGTAATTAACACATAATTAATGCAGATAAAAATGACAAGACCCACTGTAATGTCAATAAATGTTCATAAACAAAGCCAGTGGGTTTGTCTTCTTGTGTATTGTTAAGTAATTTCTAAAAATATATTTTAAAGTCATTTAAACCGAACCATTATTAGTTACTTACCTTTCATTAAGCACATCATGTACAGCAGCCAAGATATCCAATTGTTTAACTAGTACCTTTAAAAGAAAACACATTTATAAAAACTTCAAATTCCTATACTTTTAAGAATAGCATTGTGTACTTTTTTATTTGTCTTCCCTCCAAATTCTAATTCAACAGTACTTTACTTTCTTTATTATTCCCACTCCCCAATGAGCATGTATCAGGAATGTCATGTTTCCTTTCAGCCTATGAAAGAAATTCACCCACTGGAAACATAGAGCTGTGATCATCAACAAAAAAATAAACTCAAAAAGCTTGTTTCATTTACTTTGAAATCCATTTGAAAAATTGACTGACGGATGGAGGGATAGATGGAGAGATATGTGACAAGGCAGTATTTAGGGTAAAATGTTAACGACAAAAATTAGATGATGGGTTTAACAGATTCAATGTCAAATTCTTTCAACTTGCTATATATTTGAAACTACTCATAATAAAATTTGGAAGGAGGAGAAACTTGCTTTGATCCAAGTGTCATCTGCCTCACTAGACCATTTTCATTAATTTTCTCCTGCTCATTGTCAAGTTCTTTTTTTTTTTTTAAGATGGAGTTTCACTCTTTTCGCCCAGGCTGGAGTGCAATGGCGTGATCTCAGCTCACTGCAACCTCCGTCTCCTGGGTTCAAGCGATTCTCCTGCCACAGCCTCCCATGTAGCTGGAATTACGGTCATGTGCCACCACACCCAGCTAATTTTGTATTTTTAGTAGAGATGGGGGCTTCACTATGTTGGGCAGGCTGGTATCGAACTCCTGAACTCAGGTGATCCACCCACCTTGGCCTCCCAAAATGCTGGGATTACATGCATGAGCCACCACACCTGGCCCATATCAAGTTCTTAATTGGTGTAAAGAAAGTGAAGAAAAAAATTTAACCCTTCCTATACTTTGTTACATTTCTGTTGTTGTTTTAAGAGACAAGGACTCCCTCTGTCGCCCAGGTTGACATGCAGAGGTGTGATCATATCTCACTGCAACCCTGAATTCCTGGGCTCAAGTGATTCTTCCACCTCAGCCAGGTGTAGTGGCACATGCCTGAAGTCCCAGCTACTCAGGAGGCCACAGCGGGAGGATAGCTTGAATCCAGGAGTTTGAGACTGCAGTGAGCTATGATTGTGCCACTGCACTCCAGCCTGGGCGACAGAGCAAGATCTTGTCTTTAAGAAGAAAAAGAAATTACATATTAGAGAGCATTAAGTTCTTGATCATCATAATACAGACTTTCCCCATTCTTAAACTACTCAAGGTAGCATTACCTAGTTTATTATGGAAACACAAAAATCCTCATATTTCCAAACATACTATACTTACCAGCTTATTTTCTGGTTGCTGAATAAATTCTTTCAACTGCTTTACAGTAGCCAATCTTCGGTCTCGGTCGTTTTCCCGGGTGATCCTCTGAAGAAGATTTGACAGTCGAGACTCATCACAATAAGACATTGATCTCTCTGTGAATATATAAACATTTTGTTGTCCACTGAGTATAAATAAGCAAAGGAAATTTTAAATTTTAAAATAATTTTAAAATTTTTAAAATTAAAAATTATTTAAATAATAATTAAATTATTATGGGGGCTCATGCCTGTAATCCCAGTACTTTGGAAGGCGGGTAGATCACATGAGTTCAGGAGTTTGAGACCACCCTGGGCAACATGGTGAAACCCTGTCTCCACAGACACACAAAAAATTACATAAACTAGCCAGCCAAGGTGGGGTGCACCTGTAGTCCCAGCTACTCGGGAGGCTGAGGCAGGAGAATCACTGGAGCCCGTGAGGCGGAGGTTGCAGTGAGCCAAGATCACCCCATTGCACTCCAGCCTGGGTGACAGAGCAAGACCCTCTCTCAAAAATAAAATTACATCAAAAGTCACAGTCCACTGGTCAATAAAAGCTCAGGGAATATAGGTCCTATCGCTCTTTTGTTCAACTCTGTATTCCAAATCCCAGCAGAGTGCCTGGCACATAACAGACCCTCAAAAAAATATTTGCTGAAGGAAACAAGAAATGAATAACCCTAGGCCAACTGAACACCTCATTCCAGAGGACTGGCTGGGAGAGAAAAAAGAAAGGCCTTAGTAACAACTTTCTTTGGGTCCATTCCAAACTGTTTTCAACATGCAGGTAAAGAGCCCGGGTGTAGGTAAATTAAACAACTTCCAAGGGGTATGGATAAAGTCTCAATCGAGTAAAAACAGGATATAGGCTTCTACTTATCATCTAGGTATCCCACTGGAGGAAAGCCTCTTATTCACATTATCATCATTTCCCTGGGATGAAGTTTTGGGGAGCCATAATCACACATTTAGTTCAACAAATGTCTAATTATCATCTACCACATGCAAGGCATGCCTCCACTAGAAAGGTAGCAAACCACAACTTTTCTCCCTTTATTTTTTAATCACAAGAACAAGCAAACAATAGTGAATACTATTAGTATATTAACGATGCCTTTAAAAACTAGATTTTTGCTGGGCGAGGTGGCTCTTGCCTGTAATTACCCAGCACTTTGGAAGGCCAAGGCAGGCAGATCACTTGAGCACAGGAGTTCGAGACCAGCCTTGGCAACATGGTACAACCCCATCTCTACGAAAAATACAAAAATTAGCTGGGCACAGTGGCACATGCCTGTAATCCCAGCTACTCAGGAGGCTGAGGTGGGAGGATCGCTTTAGCCTGGGAAGCAAAGGTTGCAGTGAAATCACACTAGCGCATTCCAGCCTGGGTGACAGAGCGAGACTGTCTCAAAAAACAAAACAAAACAAAAAACTCAATTTTTGCAAAACATTTTCAACTGTGCTATTTACCATAATTAGCCAATACATACGTAAACAACAAATCACAAAGGGTCTGACAGTTTCATTTCTAAGGTATGAGAAAAAATTGATAATAAAAGAAACCAGAAGGCTGGGCATGGTGGCTCACACCTGTAATCCCAGCACTTTGGGAGGCCGAGGAGGGCAGATCACGGGGTCAGGAGTTGGAGACCTGCCTGGCCAACATGGTGGAACCTCGTCTCTACTAAAGATACAAAAAATTAGCCGGGGCCGGGCGCGGTGGCTCACGCCTGTAATCCCAGCACTTTGGGAGGCCGAGGCGGGCGGATCACGAGGTCAGGAGATCGAGACCATCCTGGCTAACAAGGTGAAACCCCGTCTCTACTAAAAATACAAAAAATTAGCCGGGCGTAGTGGCGGGCGCCTGTAGTCCCAGCTACTTGGGAGGCTGAGGCAGGAGAATGGCGTGAACCCGGGAGGCGGAGCTTGCAGTGAGCCGAGATCCCGCCACTGCACTCCAGCCTGGGCGACAGAGCGAGACTCCGTCTCAAAAAAAAAAAAAAAAAAAAAAAAAAAATTAGCCGGGCGTGGTGGCACGCTCCTGTAATCCCAGCTACTCGGGAGGCTGAGGCAGGAGAATCACTTTAATCTGGGAGGTGGAGGCTGCAGTGACCTGAGATCGCGCCATTGCACTCCAGCCTGGGTGACAGGGAGATACTCCATCTCATAAATAAATAAATAACTACAAGGGGGAACAACACACACTGGATCCTTTTGGAGGGTGGGGGGTGGGAGGAAGGAGAGGATCAAGAGAAACAACCAATGGGTACCAGGCTTAATACCTGGGTGATAAAATAATCTATACTACAAACCCTCATGACACAAGTTTACCACTGTAACAAATCTGCACTTGTATCCTGAATTTAAGTTAAAAAAAAAAAAGAAACTACAATGACTGAGAGAAGAATAGGATTTTTACAAATCCGTAGCCCATAGAGTATTTCAATAAGGACAGATACCAAATATGTCATCAAGTTACCAGCTGGGAAATTAGGCTCTACTTACAATTCTGTCACTAGCAAACTACATGACCCTGAGCCTTTGAAGAAGAGGAATTCTCTACTGAACTACTTTAGAGTCGCTGTTTAGCTTCTATAATATCATAAGTCTAAGGCTTCAAACACTCTATTTTAACAAACAGCATACATAGCCTTTGAATTCATTCCACTTGTGAAAACATAAAAAGAAATCAGTTTTTTAAAAGTTATATACCAACAATAAAAGCTACAGGCACAAAGATTTTCACCAAGATACACGAAGCACACACACAGTATAAAAAATAAAAAAAAAAAGTCAAAAACTAAACGTCCAAAAAGTAATTACATCTGACAAAGCCCATAACTCAGCTTTACCGATAAGTTTCTCTTTAAGGAAAAAAATTATCATTACCTCTAATCCTCTGAACTTTCTTTTTTGTTGTTGTTGTTTTGAGACGGAGTCTCGCTCTGTCGCCCAGGCTGGAGTGCAGTGGCGCACTCAGCTCACTGCAAGCTCTGCCTCCCGGGTTCACACCATTCTCCTGCCTCAGCCTCCCGAGTAGCTGGGACTACAGGCGCCCGCCACCGCGCCCAGCTAATTTTTTGTATTTTCAGTAGAGACAGGGTTTCACCGTGTTAGCCAGGATGGTCTCGATCTCCTGACCTCGTGATCTGCCCGTCTCGGCCTCCCAAAGTGCTGGGATTACAGGCGTGAGCCGCTGCACCCGGCCAATCCTCTGAACTTCCAAGGCACTCACCTATACAGTGAGGCTATGTCATAAGGCAGAAATGCTATCAGTGTATTTAACTTTAGAAAAGTGCCCACTCAAGGCAGGGCCCGGTGGCTCACGCCTGTAATGAGCACGTGTGATCACTTGAGGTCAGGAGTTCGAGACCAGCCTGGCCAACATGGTGAAACCCTGTCTCCACTAAAAATGCAAAAATCAGCTGGGTATGGTGGTATGCACCTGTAATCCCAGCTACTTGGGAGGCTGAGGCATGAGAATCACTTGAACCTGGGAGGCGGAGGTTGCAGTGAGCAGAGATTGCAGCACTGCGCTCCAGCCTGGGTGACAGAGCAAGACTCTGTCTCAAAAAAATATATTGAAAACAACAACAACAAAAAAACCAGAAAAGTACCCACTCTAGGGGGCGGGGGGAAGGAGAGCATCAGCAAGAATAGCTTAATGGATGCTGGGTTTAATACCTAGATGATGAGATGATCTGTGCAGCAAACTACCATGGCACACGTTTACCTACATAACAAACCTGTACATCCTGCACATGTACCCTGAACTTAAAAGAGAGAAAAAAAAAAAAAAAGACAGAAAAGTACCCCCTCTCTACATATATCTATATCCTCCACAGGCCCAAGAGTTCAAGGACTTGCTGTAGTAGGAGCCTACTATGCACTATACATTCAATATCCACGATAATTGGGTAAACCTTTTCTGTAAGATCTTATCCAGTCTTCTAATCTTGTTTTAAGAGAATTCTCTTTTAAAATGTACTATAGCCTTTCTAGTGGGAAATTAACAATTCACAGGAAAAGAATGTAAACAATTTTTACCTGCACAGTAGACTAATCAACTTATGCCTTTGCAAGGCATTAGTAAGAGGCATCCAGAATAAGAGGAGATACAAGTCTTTGGAAGGTGTATGTGATTGGTCCCCGTTTTCCCAGCCTTACCCTGTGATTTCCTCATGTCTTTGGTGGCTAAAGCACAACTGCCATGCTGAACACTGGTGAACTCAGGGCTGGTCACATTGTTAACCCTCAGCTCTTGCCCCAATGACTTCCGACCATAAGTATTTTCCCCAGATCCCCCATTGACACCGTAGCCACCTACAAACAGCCATGTGTACGTCATTTAAATATGATTGTTCGTTTCATTCAGTCAATTTCCTGATAGCTCAGGATCTTATGACTCAATCTGCAGCTCAACCAGCCTTTGCTTCTCCTACCTTTTTCCTGTACTGTCTGCCTTGAAAATCATTTTCATTTCTTTTAATACACCTTTGAAGTTAAATTAATTTTATTTTGATCCCTTCATTGGAAAATAAGCAAAGAAATGAAAACTAAATTAAATCAAATTTTGCACCTTGTTTTAAAACTTTCTTGAAGTTTAGAGACAGTAGCCAAGAGGAACTTCAACCTTAGCTAAATATTTTTGAAAATAAAAACAAAAATAGTATTGTATCTTTTTTGTAAGAAAACTGCATTGATGAATTATGTATGGAAAAATTTTAAATTTTAAAAATAATAAAGTGGATAAACGTCCTATGAAGTTTTCAGAAATAACACTGCATTTGTTATTCATATTTTAAATATATTAGAAGAAAGTGAGAAAGTTGGGGGTGTAAGAAGGCAGGAAGGTGGGATAGGTAGGTTCAAAAAACATGCTTGTAGCAATAAGAAAATATATATACCCTTTTCGTCATTCTGTATGTCAGCGTGGACTCTGGTATCATCGTGCCTTTGCCGAGACACCACAGCTGAATTTGAAGGTTGCAGTCCGTAAGAGGAAGAACCACCTCTATCTCTGGATGAAGAATATTTTAAATTACCTGGGTCGGCTGATGCACTATCAGTTCTATAAAAAGAGAAAAGTTTAAGATTAGAACTTTAAATAACATAAATAAATCTTTCTTTAAACAAGCCTCTCTTCTCCCAAATTTTACATTTAACCATTACTATTGTATTTAGTGTAATATGCACTATATATTATATGTAAGCACTCAGCCGTCTAATAAGAAGTCTTTCACTGGGAAGAGAGTCTCAATGGATGAAATGCCAACTTTTCACTCTCTTCTACTGTTCTAAAGACCCATTCAGAAATATGAATAACTACTGGGATTAGGGTGACTTTGCTGGTTTTAGCATTGAAAGTCTCCTGTCCCAGGCAAAACAGGACAATTGGTTACTCTGGTCCAGTGTTCTCCTCACATGACTTGATAATAAGAATAATTCTTTCTAAATTCTCCCCCATGGAGACGGTTAATCAGTCAAAACATTTCAGCCTTTCCTGTCATAAAAATAAAAAACACTGGCAGCATGTCAGGGACGGGCAATGTCTTACCAAGTTATTTTCTAAGTACTGATTAGGTACTGTAGTATTGAAGACCCCATTGAAGATGCCTTAATTGTAAAGAGTAGCAATCAAAATTTTAAAAAGTAAAAAAGAAGACATTTTAAGAAAATAAAAGGTATCAGAAATGCAATAAAGTTATATCAGAAAGTTGTAGTTCGTAATCTATTTAAAATTCAGGTACTGTTTAGAATAATACCTGATGCTTATTAGTAAACAAGTAGGGTACAGCCAAGGGTAAAAGTGTGTCCTCATCTAAGTATCTGCTCTATGCTTCAACTGCCTCATAAGTAAAACAGAGCTGAGTTACAAGACTTCTCATGAGTGTTACTCTTTCAGCCATCAATCATAAACTATCAAGAAAGAAGACAACAAAATAATCTGTTATAGCATATGAAAAATCCAAGTAAGTTCTTCCCCTACTGATTTTCTCCTGAGAGGAACAATTTTGAGGAAAAAAAAAAAGAAAAAGAAAAAGAAAATCACTTCTATGATATTTACTAAAAATGCTTTCTCAACCTTTTAGAACCTGAATCTTTTAGAAAAGTTTAGGACACTGGCAAGGCCAGAAACTAACCTATTCCTCTACGCTTTGCCCCTCCCTCTATGGTGTAAAAGTGACAGCAGTGTTTGTATACTGTATATATTTCGTTTAGAGTTTATTAGTCTTTCCTTGCTCCCAAAAATACTAAACATAAAACTTTGCATGAGCTCAATCAGTTGGACACCTTGATCTGCACTTACTGCAATCACTGTTAATACAGAATGCAGACAATAGGTCCAATTAAACTTGGATATCTAACTGGTACAAGTCATTACTTATAAAGGATCTCAATCTGAAACTTCATGAAATTCAAAACCTAGCATACTAAAATGACTAAGGCTCCATAAGGAGTATCTTCTAATATTCAGAGTTCACTTATTCATAAAGCTAAGTACTTCGAACATAAGGGAAAATAAAATCTATGGAATTTCAAGAAAAATGTATGAGAATATTTTCTGAGTATACTAAGTCTATAAGCATTAAAATATTAACTCAATGGACCATAACTTTTTTAAACTAATGAAAAGACATTCCTTATGTACCTAAAAATAGCACACTTAACATGCGTCTATATAAATCATAGCATACCATTACTTTCTGAAAGGAGACTGAAACGTTAAGAGAGCTTATAATCTTTTCTGACAGGGTTTGAACTTTATATGTATGCCACAGTAAGCTCTTATTAGATGAGCGAATAAAATAAGCACTTGACTAATTCAGAAACACAAAGATAACTGAAGTCTGCCAATATTTAAACGTATCTTCACTTCCTGTTTTCATCATGTTTACTTATCTCCTACACTACCTTTACTATTAAGAGTTAAATGTTTGTATCATTTTCTGGTGACACAGTAGTACCATAAGGCAGCAGAGAATACAAGTTAAAAAAAGATCTGGGCTCAAATCCCAGCTCCAGCACTGAAAAGTATGTGTGCTTTTGCACAAATTACTTGATCTCCAAGCCTTGGTTGTCTCTTGCATAAAATGAGGATGATACCTATCTAACATGTAAGGTTGTTGTGAGGCTGAAATAAGATAATGAATTATAAAGAAACACTTAGTTTGCAGGGTATGTTAAAAGTTGTTATGACCATAATACAAAATAAACTCAAAGTTTCCAGTCTAAAAGACAATGTACAAACAGTTCATGAGTATATGAATATAATCAAAACAAGTTTTTACAGTCAATATAGAGCAACTTAAATACTTCACTGAAGAAAGCAGGTAATCTGTTGCTACCAACAATGTGTTTCCAACTAGGAAGCATCTGATTTCAAACTAAACTGTAAAACCAGGAGCAGCTTCCCCGTTGGTTAGAAATAAGGTTTCTAAATCCCCTAAGTTATGAACACTGAGATTTTTTTCCCAAAAAAAATCTGTTTTCAGAAATATAACAAAAAAAACTGGAATAGAGCCACCGTCTCAGAAATACCTCAAAACTCCCTAGTTGCCAAATTATTTTAATACAAATTGATCAAAGCATCCCCAACCAGAACTCAGGTTGTAAGCATTCTGAACCTAAAAGCACAAAATGGTTTAGCATTTATAAGAAATTTCTATTTTTATACAATCTTGACTGCTTTGGTTTCAAAAAATGTCAATGTCAGGCTGTTAGCACCAACAAGATCATCCCAGTCCAATAAATAGAGAACTGTTAAAGAAGGGAAATGAGCACTTAAAATGAGGCAATCAAAGCCACAAAATAGAAACTGCAGATTTGAACTCCAAGAAGCAGGCATGAATGTTAAGACTAGTTAGTTAGAAGAGCTGAAAGGGATATCATCTGCCAGAATTAGTGTCTCAATTTAGTGAAAAAAGAAAATCTATCTGTTAAGTCTAAGAATCCTAGCAAGGATCCAAAAATACCTCTACAGCCCCTTTAATATTCTAAAAATATCATGGAGAGAAAAAAAAAGAAATGCATAAATTTCCCCAAAACGATCAAACTGAAGTTAAAGCCTGATGTACATGCCACATGAGAGGTAAGTTTCTAAAGCTCATACCTCAAAAATCGCCTTTGTGATGTTGTGCATCAAGTCAATCTGTAAGACAGTAGTTACAATATTAGTGAAGACAGTGGGTTAAAACATTTGTTGTTCAAACATGGAGCAAATATCATTCATGAGTTAGGTGCCTTTAGTTGAACTATGGTCCCATTAGGGTTCATACATTAAAGCAAAAATTGAGGTGGAAAGACACTCTGTGCCTTACAGGATAAAGAGGCTTACTGTGGCAACCAAAAAAATTTTAGTACATAAGAGAATTTAAATGTTAACTATAACATACAAATCACATGCAAATATAGTTACCACTTATTTTAGTTACCTATTCTCAATATACAGAAAAATGCCACAAATCTAGGAGGCCATTCGTTTCAAATGACCGGAATCCTTAGACCTCACACCAACAAGCCACCATGTGCTGGGGATGGTATCGCCTGACTAAATGTAGCCTTGCAGTCCATTCTTGTAAGTATTAGAGAGAAAAAGAGAGAGAGCGTCGTCTCTGGAAAGTGTGAAGTCAGGGAATTCCCTACTAGGAAGCAATTCCATAAAGCACCCCAAAATGACTTGATGCAAACACCACACCTAGTGGTGACACTGGAATAAGCATCATATTACTTCAAATTGCTTTTACCTAGGTTTATTAAGGGATTTTGCTCTCATGGTGAGATCTAATTTGTAATGGATATAAACCAGGAAATGAGATTTGCACTAAAGCCAATGAAGTAGGAATGTACTTATTCTCTAAAGCAGCAAAGATAGTCTCACTGTCACAGAGCAGTTATAGGATATGTTGCTTTCCATACTAATGGTTAATACCACTTGGAAATGATTTACCCTTCAAAAATAAATTCAAGGTTTTCCCCTGTAATGCCTCTTACCTGGATTCAAACATGCTTTAATGAGGAATAAGAGAAAGGGTGAAACTATGAATAACCCTGGGCCTTGTATCATTACATTAGAAACACTGCTCTAAATATGAGTCTATGGCTAAAATATTAATTTGGGAGGCTCAGGGAATTTATTATACAAATCTCTTCTTGCAGAGAACTTTAAGTTCAAATTTAATAAAACAAAACAGAACCATTCCATGTCAAAATTGTAAATGAGTATGCATCAGTTTTGCAATACTGAAATATTAAATTACTATAATTTATTGGTAAAACTACCTTAGCTACCTAAGTATTAAGTGTCTATAATAACCAAATCTTAATTATCCATTTATGGGTGATTTGTTTCCTTTTTTGAGACAGGGTCTCACTCTGTCACCCAGGCTGGAGTGCACTGGCATGACCATAGCTCACTGCAGCCTCGACCTCATGGGTGCAGCCTCGACCTCATGGGTTCAGCCTCTCAAACAGCTGGGACCACAGGTGCATGCCACTCCATTTAGCTAATTTTTTATTTTTATGTTTTTTGGAGACAGGTGTCTGATTATGTTGCTCAGGCTGCTCTCAAATTCCTGGACTCAAGCAATCCTCCCACCTCAGCCTCCCAAAATGCTAGGATTAGAAGCATGAGTGACCACATCTGGACTGTCACCAATTTTTAACTGTCTGTCAACTAAACAGCCAATATAGACTGATAAAATATATTTAACTATTGTAAAATTGTAAAGAATTGTATCTTCACCAAGGAGA
This sequence comes from Homo sapiens, assembly GCF_000001405.40. Lineage (NCBI taxonomy): Eukaryota > Metazoa > Chordata > Mammalia > Primates > Hominidae > Homo > Homo sapiens. The sequence goes on from NC_000016.10 coordinate 21,489,218, forward strand.
GGTCTGGCTTTTACCTGTGAATTCTGGAAGGTAATCTCTAAACTCTTGAAATGTCATACCTAATAAGAGGGTCCTGGCCAGGAGCAGTGGCTCACACCTGTAATCCCAGCACTTTGGGAGGCCAAGGCGGGCAGATCGCTTGAGGTCAGGATTCTGAGACCAGCCTGGCCAGCATGGTGAAACCTGTCTCTACTAAAAATACAAAAATTAGCCAGGCATGGTGACGGGCACCTGTAATAATCCCAGCTACTCAGGAGGCTGAGGTTTCAGTGAGCTGAGATCATGCCACTGCACTCCAGCCTGGGCAACAGAGCAAGACTATCTCCAAAAAAAAAGGGGGGGGGGCGGCGGTGGGGGAAAGTGTCCTTGTTCATCTGGGGGCTTTAGGCCACAGCACAGTCTAATAATGTGGCTTATGGTGGGGGCTTTGAGTCACATGGATCAGCTTGGCCTCCAGTGGGGCTGGAGACTAAGGTTAGCCACATGGGCATGCAACCATGGAACCCCAGTAAAAACGCTGGACATAAAAAATAGAGTGAGCTTCCCTGGTTGGCAATAATCCATGAGTATGGTCGCACACCAGTGCCACCAGGAAGGTGTCATTTTTCACAACTCTACAGGGACAGGACAATTAGAAACTCCAACATTTGGAACTTCCCCGAACTCTGCCCTATGCACCTCTACCCTTGGCTCGTTCTAATCTGAATCCCTAAACTGCAATAAACTCTAACCACGGGTATGAGAGCTTTCAATGAGTTCTAGTGAGTCCTCCTGGCAAATCATCCAACCTAAGAGTGGTCTTGGCCAGGCACAGTGACTCAAGCCTGTAATCCCAGCACTTCGGGAGGCCCAGGCAGGCGGATCACTTCAGCTCAGGAGTTTGAGACCAGCCTGGCAATATGGTGAAACTGTCTCTAAAAAATATAGAAAAACTAGCCAGGCGAGGTGGTGTGTGCCCACAGATCCAGCAACTCAGGTGGCTGAGGTAGGAGGACTGCCTGAACCTGGGAGGGAGGAGTTCAGGGCGCAGTGAGCCGTGATCATGCCACTGCACTCTCACCGGGGTGACAGAGAGAGGCCCTGTCTCAAAAAAAAAAAAGAGTGGTCTTGGGAACCCCCAAACTTGCAACTAGTATTAGAAGCAAGGGTCATCTTATGGACTGGACTCCCTCTTACTCTGCACTCATATTTAAAACCATTAAATATACTGTAGCTCAAAAAAAGTTGCTTGTTTGTTTTGAAAAAGGGTCTCACACTGTCGCCCAGGCTAGAGTGCAGTGGTGCAATCCGAGCTCAAGCAAACCTCCCACATCAGCCTCCCAAGTAGTTGAGACCACAGGCTTACTCCACCACGCCCAGCAACTTTTGTATTTTTTTGTCCCATTCTCTACAACATTCCCAAAATGTTGCCCAAGCTGGTCTCGCACTCCTGAGCTCAAGTGATCCACTCACCTCAGCCTCCCAAAGGGTTGGGATTACAGGCATAAGCCACTGCACCCGGCCATAAATTTTGTTTTTTAATAACATTTCCAGCAAACATGATAAAGATTTGACTTCAGTGTTGCTTATTTTCCTTCCAAGGAACCTCTAATATTCTCTACTTTCAGAACTCCAATCAAATTAGCCAGAAAGAGCAAACGAAGCCAATAAATCCAGGAGGGCAATAGATCTGATTTTAACCCTTGTTTCACATGCACAATTGTCTTCAGAGAAAAGCTGAAGAAAGTACCCCCTCACCTCCATGCCCCAATGCTCCTTTTCTCTGACTTCAAGTGGGCCTCTGATGCTGCCCACATTTCCCTCACCAGGTTTCTTTCCTTTCCAAAACATCTGTAAAACTTTCTGCACCTTTTTCCTTCTCCCACCACTACCAGTGGATGACCTTATAGATTTCTGCTCCATGAGAAACAGAAGCCATTTGACAGCACCCTCAGCAAGAGCTAACATTTTAGCTCCTAACAAGAGCTAGTGGGCAACTGATCCAAGCAGTTTACATATGTTTATCATGTCATTTCGTGTTCAACACAATCCTATTAGTTATAACTTGATAACTAAGGTTTCATAACTGGCCTATGGTTGCACAGCTTGCAAAAGGCAGAGTCAGAACTCAGACCCAGTACTGTCTAATGTTTGAGCTCTTCAACACTCCATCACTGCCTGTCATCTTCCTTCTAATATATCCACAAATTCACCTGCATCTGCACATACAGCTTTTCTTCCCATCATCTTCGCATAATGGAACAAATAAACCTCCTATCCATAGAAATCATCTGTCTATTCCCCCCATTTTCCAAGGTATGTCTTGTCTTTTTTTTTTTGAGATGTAGTCTCGCTCTGTCGCCCAGGCTGAAGTGCAGTGGCGTGATCTCGACTCGCTGCCTCCCGGATTCACGCCATTCTCCTGCCTCAGCCTCCCGAGTAGCTGGGACTACAGGCGCCCACCACCACGCCCGGCTAATTTTTTGTATTTTTAGTAGAGACGGGGTTTCACCATGTTAGCCAGGATGGTCTCGATCTCCTGACCTCGTGATCCGCCCACCTTGGCCTCCCCAAAGTGCTGGGATTACAGGCTTGAGCCACTGCACCCGGCCTGTTTCTTTTGTACGTTGCAAAATCTCCCATTTTACTACTGCTTATCACATCATCAACATATGAGCACTCTCAAAAGTCTTACTTTAAAAAAAACAAAAACAAAAACAAAAAATGGCCGGGCACGGTGGCTCATGCCTGTAATCCCAGCACTTTGGGAGGCGAAGGCAGGCAGATCATAAGGTCAGGAGATTGAGACCACCCTGGCCAACACGGTGAAACCCCGTCTCTACTAAAATAGAAAAAATAAAATTACCTGTGCGTGGTGGCACGCACCTGTAGTCCCAGCTACTTGGGAGGCTGAGGCAGGGGAATCATTTGAACCCGGGAGGCAGAGCTTGCAGTGAGCCAAGATCGTGCCACTACACTCCAGCCTGGTGACAGAGCGAGACTCCGTCTCAAAAAAAAAAACTAAAGGCCGGGTGCGGTGGCTCACGCTGGTAATCCCAGCACTTTGGGAGGCCAAGGTGGGTGGATCATGAGGTCAGGAGTTCAAGACCAGCCTGCCCAATGTAGTGAAACCCCGTCTCTACTAAATATACAAATATCAGCCAGGCGTGGTGGCGGGCGCCTGCAATCCCAGCTACTCAGGAGGCTGAGGCAGGAGAATCGCTCGAATCCGGGAGGCAGAGGTTGCAGTGAGCCGAGATTGCACCATTGCGCTTCAGCCTGGGCGGCAGAGAGACTCCATCTCAAAAATAATCATAATAATAATAAAATAAATTTAAAAATTAAGAAAATAAGGCCGGGCACGGTGGCTCACGCCTGTAATCCCAGCACTTTGGGAGGGCGAGGCAGGCAGATCATGAGGTCAGGAGTTTGAGACCAGCCTGGGCAACATAGTGAAACCCCGTCTCTACTAAAAATACAAAAAATTAGCCGGGTGTGGTGGTGGGCGCCTGTATTCCCAGCTAGTTGGGAGGCTGAGGCAGGAGAACTACTTGAACCCCGGAGGCGGAGGTTGCAGTGAGCCGAGGTCACGCCATTGCACTCCAGACCGGGCAACAGTGTGAGACTCTGACTCAAAAAAAACAAAAAACAAAAAAACCCTTTAACTGCCTTTCTCCCTCTATCAATCTAATAGCCTGGACTCTTCACAGACAAACCTGTTGAAAAATTTATCTTCCTTGCCTTCATTTACTTTTTAACCCACTTTAATCTGGGTTCCACCTGCAACACACCACTGAAGCTATTCCTACTAAGGTAGGAACTGCCACTCAAGGCCTTCTTGGCTCTAAAATCCCATGAGCCTTTTTCAGTTCACCCTACAATTTCTCAATACCACTCTAAAGTTTATGAGTTTTTTAGTTAACTTTAATCCAGTGACTCTTTCTACTTTATCCCAATCCAAGTATTCTCCTCCTTCTTCACTTCATTTTTTTTTTTTTTTTTTGAGACAGACTCTGACTTTGTTGCCCAGGCTGGAGTATAGTGGTGCAATACTGGCTCACTGCAACCTCCACCTCCAGGTTCAAGCGATTCTCCTGCCTCAGCCTCCCAAGTAGCTGAGATTACAGGCCCCTGCTACCACACCCGGCTAATTTTTGTATTTTTAGTAGAGACGGGGTTTCACCATGTTGGCCAGGCTGGTCTCGAACTCCTGACCTCAAGGGATCCACCCGCCTCGGCCTCCCAAAGTGTTGGAATTACAGGCGTGAGCCAACGTGCCCGGCCCCTTCTTCACTTCTTTAACCAGCTTAGATTTCATTGTGTATCATTTCAACAACACTCTTGCCTATACCCTTAACTCTTAAGATTCTCATCACACCCATCTGGCAAAACCCCAATCCTGGATAAACCCAACGATCCATCAATAAGCACCACACTCCCAGGTCCTCCAGTGTTTACTTCCCATTCTATACATGCACTATCCAGACATTCCCATTCTCTTCAAATTCCAAAATATCCTATCACCTCCCCTCCCCATACACACATTCTACTTCACCAACAAGAAAAAAGGTACCAGCTGGGCACAGTGGCTCACGCCTGTAATCCCCGCACTTTGGGAGGCCAAGGCGGGTGGATCACTTGATGTCAGGAGTTGGACACCAGCCTGGCCAAAATGGTGAAACCTCATCTCTACTAAAAATACAAAAATTAGCTGGGTGTGGTGGTGCGCACCTGTAATCTCAGCTACATGGGAGACTGAGGCAGGAGAATCGCTTGAACCCAGGAGGTGGAGGTTGCAGTGAGCCAAGACTGCACCACTGCACTCCAGAGCCTGGGCAATAATAAGAGCGAAACTCCGTCTCGGGGTGGGGTGAGGAAGATACCATAAAATACCTGTACCCGATTCTAGACCTTACTGAGGATTCCATCTACTTCCACCTTACTGTAACTTTTCAAATACTTTTCCCACTGAACTAAATCCCCCCCATAAACATGCAACACTTTCTAATGTATTCCATTGAAAAATACAAAAACATATAAAAAGGAAAAACTCCATCAATCCCACATGTCCCTCCATCAAACAATCTGCCTTTACTTGCTGCAGCCAAACTAAAGTTGTCTAGATTCCCCTCTCCCATTTCTTCACTTCTTCTAGCTCCTTAACACACACTGGTCCAATTTCTGCCCCATCACTCTTGGCAAAATCCATTATGACCTCCAGGCTGCTAAATCCAAGATACAGTTCAGGCCTCAATCTGCTCATCCTTTCAGCAGCTTTCACAGGGCTTCTGAGTAGGGTTGAGCAGTTTTGCCCTGCACACAGGTGCCCTGCAGAGGAATGAGGTGGGCTGAATGAAACTCCTTTTTTAAAAATTCTTGGCTGGCATAGTGGCTCACGCCTGTAATCCCAGCACTTTGGGAGGCTGAGGTGGACGGATCACTTGAGGTCAGGAGTTCAAGGTCAGCCTGGCCAATATGGCAAAACCCCATCTGTTAAAAATACAAAAATTAGCTGGCCGTGGTGGCGGGCACCTGTAATCCCAGCTACTCGGGAGGCTGAGGCAGGAGAATCACTTGAACCCAGGAGGCAGAGGTTTCAGTGAGCCGAGACTGCCCCACTGCACTCCAGCCTGGGCAACAAGAGAGAAACTCCATCTCAAAAAAAAAAATTGTTTATGCCAACTAATTGTACACCTAAATGCACCAAGTTCCTGACTTTCTCCTTGCATTTATTTGTTTATTTATTTATTTATTTATTTATTAGGTCTCACTCTATGTTGCCCACGTTGTAGTGCAGTGTGTGATTACAGCTCACTGCAGCCTTGAACTCCTGGGCTCAAGAGATTCCTCTGGTCTTAGCCTCCCCAGTAGCTAGAACTACAGGTATGGAGTGGCTCTCTGCCTTTATTTCTAACCCAAGCTACCTTACAACCTTAAAAAGAGACGCTGCTTCGCCGGGCACAGTGGCTCTCACCTGTAATCCCAGCACTTTGGGAGGCCGAGGCGGGCGGATCACGAGGTCAGGAGATCGAGACCATCCTGGCTAACACGGTGAAACCCTATCTCTACTAAAAATACAAAAAATTAGCCAGGCGTGGTGGCGGGCACCTGCAATCCCAGCTACTCGGGAGGCTGAGGCAGGAGAATGGCGTGAACCCAGGAGGTGGAGCTGGCAGTGAGCCGAGATTGCACCACTGCACTCTAGCCTGGGCGACAGAGTGACACTCCATCCTAAAAAAAAAAAAAAAAATTTATTATATACATACACACACACACACACACACACATACACACACACACACACACACATCTCCCCAGAAGCATCAATATTTACTGAATTAGAGTATTTCATTACCTGTTATAAAAAACAAACAAAAAAACCTTCCATTATACTAATTTATAAAGGAATCAAAACAAAATGGGTTGGCGGGTCCAGGCACGGTGTCTCACTTCTGTAATCCCAGCACTTTGAGAAGCCAAGGTGGGAACTCGAGGTCAGGAGTTCGAGACCAGCCTGGCCAACATGGCGAAACCCTGTCTCTAATACAAAAATTAGACGGGCCTGGTGACATGCGCCTGTAGTCCCAGCTACTCGGGAGGCAGAGGCACATGAATCACTTGAACCCAGGAGGTGGAGGTTGTACTGAGCCAAGATTGTGCCACTGCACTCCACCCTGGGAGACAGAGTGAAACTATGTCTTTAAAAAAAAAGGCGGGGTGCAGTGGCACACACCTGTAATCCCAGCACTTTGGGAGGCCGAGGCAGGTGGATCACCTGAGGTCAGGAGTTCACGACCAGCCTAACATGGTGAAACCCCATCTCTACTAAATATAAAAAAATTAGCCGGGTGTGGTGGCACATGCCTGTAATCTGATCTACTTGGGAGGCTGAGACAGGAAAACAGCTTGTACCTGGGAGGCGGAGGATGCAGTGAGCCGAGATTGCACCATTGCGCTCCAGCCTGGACAACAAGAGCAAAACTCTGTCTCAAAAAAAAAAAAAAAAAAAAAAAAAAAAAAAAAGTTGGGGTGAGGGGAAGGTTCAACTTAAAGATACAATTACTAAGTGTTTCATAAGGAATGACTTATTTCATAATGGAGTAGGAGTTTGACACCAGCATGGGCAACATGGGGAGGCCCCATCTCTACAAAAAAGTAAAAATAAAAAATTAGCGTGCCAAGCATGGTGGGTCACACCTGTAATCCTGGCACTTTGGGAGGCCAAGGAGGAAGGATCACTTGAGCCTAGGTATTCAAGACCAGCCCAGGCAGCATGGCAAAACCCCGTCTCTACAGAAAACAAAAAAAAAATAAAGTAGCTGGGGGTGGTAACATGCACCTGTGGTCCCAGCTATTGGGAGGGTGAGGTAGGAGGACTTATTGAGCCTGGGAGGTGGAGGCTGCAGTGAGCTGAGATGGTTCCACTGCACTCCAACCTGGGCAATGGAGCGAGACTCTGTTTCAGAAAAAGAGAGAGGAAGCCAGGCGTGGTGGCTCACGCCTGTAATCCCAGCACTTTGGGAGGCCGAAGCGGGTGGATCACCTGAGGTCAGCAGTTCAAGACCAGCCTGGCCAACATGGTGAAATCCCATCTCCACTAAAAACACAAAAATTAGCCGGGCATAGTGGCATGCACCTGTATTCCCAGCTACTTGGGAGGCTGAGACAGGAGAATCACTTGAACCAGGAGGCGGAGGTTGCAAGTGAGCTGAGATTGTGCCACTATACTCCAGCCTGGGCGACAAAGTAAAGCTCTGTCTCAAAAAAAAAAGAGAGAGAGAGAGGAAAAATAAATTAGCCAGGTGTGGTGGTATGCACCTGTGGTCCCAGCTACTCAGGAGGCTAAGGCGGGAGGATTCCCAGAGCCCAGGAAGTCAAGGCTGCAGTGAGCAGTGATTGCACCACTGCACTCCAGCCTGGGCAACAGAGCAAGAGCATATCTCAAAAAAGAGGAAAGAAAAGAAAAGAAAAACATAAAAACAAATGTTCCTTTAGTTTTAATTTTTATTTTTTAGTTTATTATGGCTGTTTTACTCTCCCCCAAGTAAAACAGCCATACACAATTTGCTGAAATTTTCCTTAGTGTACTTTGAAATCTGTGGAACAGAACTGGCAATCGCTAAATTCTATTTGACTCTAGTTCCATTTAATATTAGACTGGTGTGGAAGTAACTGCGGTTTTTGCCAAAACCGCAATTACTTTTGCACCTACCTAATAGGTATAAAATATGTAACTTCACTTAATTTTATCCTTTATGTATCTCCCTATATTATGTACCTATGGACATCAAACTTAGTACAGACTGATAAAAGGCTGAATAGACAACTCTGGTTTCAAAAATCCAGCTTCTCACAACATCAGACATACTAGTATACAGCTTTTCTAATTTCACAACACATTTCCATTTTTTGGTCTTTCACAATAGAGAAGATGTGTGTACTTTTGAATACTCTGATCTGTCTACAATCTACCAAAATTGGAAGGTGTTTTTATTATACAGTTTCATCCTTTTAGAAATATAGAAAGATCCTAAGTTTGGGCACAGTAAGACACTCAATATAGATCTACTACTAAACAAGTAAGACCAATTACACAATTAATGTCCTAATACCCCGAGTGGAGAAGTAAAATCTACTTGTTTTCTGTTGACTTGAATGCCTTCTCTTCTTTGTTGAATTAATCAATCTATTTGACTCCAATGTCAAATTAATCAATGTCACTTTAGAATATTAAAATGTACAATTATGAATTACACATTTAATTTTAAAACACATCATTCTGATCTCTGTCTTGATTGATACTAGAAGATTATCTTCCAAACTAAGGTGGAAAAAATGACAGACTTTAGCTATTGGCAATGATAGGTCATTTTTTTAGGGAAGAGGAGTAAAGAGGGCCACCTCCATAGGTCAGATATCCCTTTGTTCTAAGAAGCCACCACCCCTGTTTCTTCATATGAAAAAAACCAGAGGCATCCAGTGGTTCCCAAAACCTTCTCAACTTTACGCTTGAGGAACCCACAGATTTCAAATAATACAACTGACCTAAAACACTCATTTGTTTAACCATTCTTTTTTTAACTTTTTATTTTTTTTGAGAAGGAGTCTTGCTCTGCTGCCCAGGCTGGAGTGCAGTGGTGTGATGTCGCTCACTACAACCTCTGCCTCTCAGGTTCAAGTGATTCTCCTGCCTCAGCCTCCCGAGTAACTGGGATTACAGGCATGCACCACCACATCCCGCTAATTTATTTATTTATTTTTTTTTAGTAGAGACGGGGGTTTCACCATGTCGGTTGGCCAGGCTGGTCTCGAACTCCTGACCTCAGGTGATCCACCCACCTCAGCCTCCCAAAGTGCTGGGATTACAGGCGTGAGCCACTGCCCCCGGCCTGCTTAACCATTCTTAAATGTCGGGTGCAGTGGCTCACACCTGTAATCTCAACACTTTGGGAGGCTGAAGGTGGGCAGATTGCTTGCGTTCAGGGGTTCAAGACCAGCCTGGGCAACGTGGTGAAAACCCCATCTCTACAAAAAATACAAAAATGAGCCGGGCTGTTGGCAAGCGCCTGTAGCCCCAGCTACTTGTGGATGCTGAGGCAGGAGGCTTGAGCCTGGGAGGTCGAGACTGCAGTAAGCCAAGTATCTGTGCCGCTGCACTCCAGCCTGGGTGACACAGCAAGACCGTCTCAAAAAAATTGACAGAAGAGTTGACTGAGAGCACAGTGAATGAAAAGGAAGACTATAAGCCAGTGCCATATAAATGCTTACTGTTGGAGGTATGCTTCTATGGAACACGGGTTTGCTCTCTTGCCATATGACATTCACATATTCAGCCACCTGGAACACTTCCTGTCAGTATGTGTGAAGTATCATGTGTGGTCAAAATTGTCTCAACAGTCATTTTCCACACCAACTGGCAAACTAACACTAAAAGAAATCAACAAGTATTGCTTTTTCAAAAGCCTAAATCGGCTGAGTGCGATGACTTACACCTGTAATCCCAGCACTTTGGGAGGCCAAAGCAGGCGGATCACCTGAGTCAGGAGTCCGAGAACAGGCCGGCCAACATGGTGGAATCTCGTCTCTACTAAAAATACAAAAATTAGCTGGACGCCTGTAATCCCAGCTACTCAGGAGGCTGAGGCAGGAGAATTTTTCCCTGTAACCGGGAGGCAGGGGCTGCAGTGAGTCGAGATTACACCACTGCACTCCAGCCTGGGAGACAGAGCAAGACTCCATCTCAGGAAGACAAAAAAAAAAAAAAAAAAAAAGCCTACATCAAGGAAAACAGAACCAAAACACCAGGGACAAAATGGTACATAAGAGGCAAAAAAATTTTCACCAAAATTATTCAGATGAACAATAATAAATGTGCCTGCATCTGAAGATGTTCTAAACCTTCATTTAAGCAAGAAGCAAGATCAAGATCTGTTCCGTCAGTTACCTGGAGTCTGTCATCTTTCTGAATAGGGGACAGAATCACCTCAAATTTAACTAATAAAAATTTATGACTTGGCAAACACCCCAGGTATTTTTATTGACTAACAAATCAGCTATGACAATCTTAGCAACAAATCAAGTTATGCTATGGGGTATGTCCACACTTCCCTGTTCCCTCTACAACAGGAGAAAATCAAATTTTTCCAACATCCTAACAAACTGTTATTGCCTGTAACCAAATGTATCACAGTATCGTCTACCAAGGCGTTACATCCTGAAACTTTCCTACAAAAAGCACAGCTTCAAAGAAACCTTGCAAGCTTTCTTGTAAGCTCCTCCCTTCCCCCATCGCCCCTCCCCAGAGCCAAGAAATAAAGCACTTGAAAGAAACAACATGGATAATATTTATTAATAGCTCATGTACATATTCCATAACTACATAAGCCATTTGGCTTCATACCTGTCAGCAATGAAGTCAGCTGGCCCTAGCACGTGGCTGCGACTCTTCTCTATTTATTTAGAACTACAAACTACAATTTACACTTTTCCAAAAGCTGTAGGACTATTTGGGAAGGGCACTTTATTCTTCTAAAAGGTTACTAAATTCTCTTATATACTTATACTGATCACAATACTGAAAAATAATAGAAAATCCATTGTCATTCATTTACCACCTAATTTGTTAGATGCCAGAAAATCAAATTTCACACATTTCAATAAAAAGGCAAAACTAAGCATGTCAATCATAGGAAAAAAAATACTTAATCAACTAATTTTATTTAAAGCACTCACAAACTCTTAAGTGGTACAAGACAAGTCAACGCTGTTTATCGAACAATATTTTTTTTTACGACTAAACATCTCAATTCTAGACTCAGGCACTAATTATTAAAGTCATCTAGTTATATACACCAATTCTCAACAGACACAGTTTTTTTTGGAAAGGCATATTAAACAGACTAAGATGTGTACTACCCATTAGCCAAAGATAATTTTATTGATTTTTCTAACGAGTCTTCAAATGTTACATTCTAACATCTTAGCAAATTATTTCCAAATACTGCTGGAATTACATGTAACTATCAGGAAACAAAAGGGCTTCTCAACAACTTGTGCGTTCTACATTATCTGGCCAGTTTCCGGACAATTATAATACAATTGTGCTCCAAAGTAGGAGAGTTCCATGAATCAATTACCCCTAAAATATATTTCTGTATATTTAAGGAGTTCTAAGCATTGGGTTAAATTCCAAACAGACTCTGAATACAAGCATTTATTTAGTAAGAGAGGTTAGAATAAATCAATCCTAAATTAGGCACAGCTGCCCTCCCCCCATTGATCAAAAAGACAGGAAATTACATTTATTTAAAAAGTTAATGTTCCTAATATATTCAAATCTAACTAAGCCCCAAAACGGTCTGACATCAAATCCTCCATAAAAGAGGAAATTCTCTAGACTTCTAAGTGGGTGCCCAGAGTTCACTCAAGTGTCCAGGTATGAATTACGATTCACCAGAGTAACCGGCCTTGCACTTAGGGAAAACTTCCATCGCCCAAGACCAGAGTAGGTCGATCCCATCAACAGTCACACAATCTCATCTCACGCTCCACTAATGAATGTTCTGCCTAAAGTCAGAGCAATGCCTTAGCTGGAGTTTTGTTTTGGTTTTTTCAATATTACCACGTGGGGGTCACAGAAAGGAACAGAGGTTAGAAGAGCTCTCACGTGGCGGCTGAAAGACTGGGGAACCGAGAAAGTGAATGAGTAACAGGGAGGGTCCTGTACTCTCAGAATCTCCCAACTCGGGGTCAGGGGGAAGCGGTAAGTGGAATGCCCCCCGCCCCCCCACCCCCGCCTCTTTCTCACCTCCTGGTCCCGACCCTAGGCCAGTGCCACCGCCGGGAGCCCCGGGTCTCGGCTTCAGCCCCGGGCTGAACAAGCAGGGAGGGGAGAGGCACTTAGGCCTCGCCTCCCCGCGGCCTTCCTCCCCCAGCCGGGGCGGAGGAGACCCAGGAAGCCGCGCCCGGCTCCCGGGGGTGGAGGGCCTAGGCCGCGCCTCCCAGCCCCGCGGCCCTAGGCCTCCGCCCGCCCGAGGCGGAGCCCGGGAGGTCGGGGCGGGGTCCCGGGCCGGTCACCCACCTGGGTTGCCAGTCATTCCAGCTCCGCGAATAGTTGGTGCCGTTGGTGCCGCCGCCGCCGCCGCCGCCGCCGCCGCCGCTCAGCCGAGACCCCGGGGCTCTGCGGCTCATTACCTTCCCCGACACGATATGGCCAAGCGCCGCCGCCCAGAGAAGCGCGAGTCGCCACCCGAACCGGCCGCCGCCAACACCCCGCTCCGGCCCGGGGCTGAGAAGGAAGCCGAGAAGGAGGAGGAGGAGGAGGCGGCGGCGGGCGGGGGAAGAGGACGACCGTTTCGGGTTCCGCCTGAGCCCGCAGCACAGGACGAGGAGGCGGGAGCGGCGCGGTGAGAGAGAGGCGGATGAAGGGGAGGCGACGTCTCTTCCAGGGCCCTGCGCGGCCCACGTCGCCGGGGCCCCCGAGGAGGAGGACGACGAGGAACAGGCGGTGGCGGCAGCTCCTCACGCTCACACGGCCACTGCTTCCCCGCCTCCCGGCTCCGCTCGCCGCGCCGCCGCTGTCGCACGGCATGCTGGGAGCGAGAGGCGGGGTCGGCCCCGCCGTGCCTGCGGAGAGAGGCGGGTCCTGTCGGCGGGGCGGGGCCGATAGCAGGCCGCCCCGCCCCCCACGGCCCCAGGCTCTTGGACGGCGAAGAGGTCTGGGCGTAGCGGTGACGAATCCTAAGACGGGATCTCCACTACTGCGGCCACACACTTTTCTCCCAAATGCTTCCCGGAAAGCACCGGAGGGCCAGGCAGTCAGGTGTAAACAGGCGTCCAATCAAGGACCTGCGGTGGGGGGGGGGGGGGGGGGCGGGCTGTTGCCCTGGGGTGCGCGCGCACACAGGCGCGCCCTTGGATTCACGTGTGCCAGTTTTCCCACTTTCTACGGGGCGGGGTGGAAAGTGAAAATAGTCAGATCGACAGGTGGATATCCACCTTCCCAACCTCCACCTGAAATGTGCCCATCGAGTCCTAGCACCTTTTACCATTTCTTCCCAATGAAAAAAACTAAACGATGGAAGGGAAGGGAGTACCCACGACCACCAAACCCTGTCCTCTGCAATGTGAAATGTGCTTTGAAGTCCTCTCACCCTGAGGCTTGCCCGCCTTCTGCTGGTGAAAGAAGCTGGGGGCTAGGCGCGGTGGGTCACGCCTGTAATCCCAGCACTTTGGGAGGCCGAGGTGGGCGGATCATCTGAGGTGAGGAGTTCCAGACCAGCCTGGCCAACATGGAGAAACCCCGCCTCTACTAAAAATACAAAAATTAGCCGGGCATGGTGGAGGGCGCCTGTAATCCCAGCTACTTGGGAGGCTGAGGCAGGGGAATCGCTTGAACCCAATAGGCCGAGGTTGCAGTGAGCCAAGATCAGACCATTGCAGTCCAGCCTGGAGAACAAGAGTGAAACTCTGTCTCAAAAAAATATAAGAGAGAGAGAGAGAGAAAGCAGGGAGGGAAGAAAAAGGAAGGAAGGAAGGAAACGAGGGAGGGAGGGAAGGAGGGAGGGAGGAAGGAAGGAAAGGAGGGAGGAAAGGAAAGAAAAGGAGAAAAGAAAGAGAGAAGGCCGGGCGCGGTGGATCACACCTGTAATCCCAGCACTTTGGGAGGCCGAGGCGGGCAGATCTCGAGGTCAGGAGATCGAGACCATCCTGGCTAACACAGTGAAACCCCGTCTCTACTAAAAATACAAAAAATTAGCCGGGCGTGGTGGCGGGCGCCTGTAGTCCCAGCTACTCCGGAGGCTGAGGCAGGAGAATAGCGTAAACCCGGGAGGCGGAGCTCCCAGTGAGCAGAGATCGCTCCACTGCACTCCAGCCTGGGCGACAGAGCAAGACTCCATCTCCAAAAAAAAAGAGAATCAGCTGGGTAGAGGAGACGTACCTGACTGTCTACCCCATGACATGCCCCATGCCCCAGGGAAAAAAATTCCCTAAAGCATCTGATGCATAACGTGAATGCATACACATTTTTTAAAAGGTGGGCCAGGATGCTCCTTAAACAAGTGCCTAAACCTTATCTGCATAAGGAGTCTTAACCTATCATTTTATGTTGCAAAGAAAACGTCTTTATATATCGCTTGTGCAATTAAAAATTGTTACCAAAAGTACTTGAAGATTACGAGGAGTTGACACCTCCACACACATGCATATCCCCTCCACCTTGGGCTCCTTGCTTATGGCCACCAATCCCTCACTAAGGGAGGATCTTGCCAGTTCTAAATGATGGGGACTACAAAAATTACAAAAATTACCCGGCGTGGTAGCGCGTGCCTGTGGTCCCAGGAACTCAGGAGGGTGAGGCAGGAGGATGACTTGAGTCCAGCGGGTGGAGGCTGCAGTGACCTATGATCCTGCCACTGCACTCCAGGCTGGGCTGCGGAGGGTAGGGAGGGAGGGAGAAGAAGAAAGAGAAAACGCGGGGCACCATGGATGGCTGACTCCTGTAATCCCAGCACTTTGGGAGGCCGAGGTGGGTGGATCACTTGAGGTCAAGAGACCAGCCTGACAAATATGGTGAAACCCCGTCTCTACAAAAAAATACAAAAATTAACCAGGCATGGTGGCGCACGCCTGTAGTCCCAGCTATTTGGGGAAGCTGAGGCATGAGGATTGCTTGAACCCAGGAGCCAGAGGTTGTAGTGAGCCGAGATCGTGCCACTGAACTCCGGCCTGGGTGACAGAGCAAGACTGTCTCAAAAAAAAAAAAAAAAATCATTTAGATGAAGTGATTCATGCCTGTAATTCCAGTGATGGGAGGCTGAGACTGGAAGATCCTTGAGCCTGGGAGTTATAGGCCAGCCTGAGCAACATAGTGAGACCCCCATCTCTACAAAAAAAATATTAAATTTTTTTTTTCAGACGGAGTTTCACTCTTGTGGCCCAGGCTGGAGTGCAATGGTGTGATTTCAGCTCACTGCAACCTCTGCCTTCCAGGTTCAAGTGAGTCTCCTGCCTCAGCCTCCCAAGTAGCTAAGATTACAGACACATGCCACCATGCCCGGCTAATTTTGTATAAAAATTTAAAAATTTTTAAAATTAGACAAGTTAGAAATTGCTTGAGCAACTGGACACAATCTCTGGTACTACCTTTCTTTTTCTTTTTTATTTTTTTATTTTATTATTATTATTTTTTGAGAAGGAGTCTCGCTCTGTCGCCCAGGCTAGAGTGCAGTGGCGCAATCTCGGCTCACTGCAAGCTCTGCCTCCCGGGTTTAAGCCATTCTCCCGCCTCAGCCTCCCGAGTAGCTGGGATTACAGGCGCCCGCCACCAAGCCCGGCTAATTTTGTTTTTTTGTATTTTTAGTGGAGACGGGGTTTCACCGTGTTAGCCAGGATGGTCTCAATCTCCTGACCTCGTGATCCGCCCGCCTCGGCCTCCCAAAGTGATGGGATTACAGGCGTGAGCCACCGCGCCTGGCCCTCTTTTTCTTTATTGGTCAAAATATTATCCAACTAGGCATATGGATGTGGAGGCATGCCTGTGATCCCAATTACTTGGGAGGCTGAGGTGGGAGAATCGCTTGAGCCCACGAGTTTCAGGCTGTGGTGAGCCATAATGGTGCCTCTGCACTCCAGCCTGGGCAACAGGATGAGACCATTTCTTAAGGGGACGGAAAAAATCACTCTGGCTGTGGCAGATTTCCTTAGGATAGATTCCGAGAAGTGGAGTTATTGGGGAAAAGGCTGTTAATGATTTTAAGTCTTTGGATACAGACTGTTAAGTTGCTTTCCAGGAAGTTTCTGCCAATGATAGTGTGATACTTTCTGTGTCCTCACACCACCCTTTGTCAACACTGAGTGTTTTTGAGGGTTAATTATTTCTATGAGAGAAGTTAAAAAAAAAAAAGACAACAAAGAAATTGCTTCAGGTGGGGCATGGTGGCTCACGCCTGTAATCCCAGCACTTTGGGAGGCTGAGATGAGAGAATCACTTAAGCCTAGGAGGTGGAGGTTGCAGTGAGCCTAGATCGTGCCACTACACTCCAGCCTGGGCAACAGAGTGAGACTCCATTTCAATAAAATAAATCAAATGAATCAAACGTGAGCAACTCTCATAACTTCCAACATTTTTTTCTTCTTCCTGTTGGTGGTTCTGCCTCTCTGGCTCCATTAGGATTTCCCTACTCCATTTCAGTCATGGGAGCCGAGTTTCTGTTCCTGAAACACACCAGGCCTTTCTGGCCTCTGGATTTTTGTACTTGCTGTTCCCGCCATCTGGAATGCCTTCCCTGCATTTGTTCCCATCAGGGTTGGGACTAGCAAAGTGACAGGTGATGGAGTTGCTGAGGGTGCAAAATTTAAGGAGGCACCTACTCCCAGGGTCATGCAAAAGCCAACTTTGCATTTGCACAATCCTGTGAGTGAGTCCCTCCTTAAATTTGAGGCTGTACTGTAATCCCAGCTACTCAGGAAGCTGGGGCAGGAGAATTGCTTGAACCTGGGAGGCAGAGGTTGCAGTGGGCCGAGATCCTGCCATTGCACTCCAGCCTGGGCAACAGGGCGAGAATCCGTCTAAAAAAAAAAATGAGGCTCTAGGCACCACATTTGCCCTACTCTGGCCCCTGCCCTGATTTTCCTGGCCTGTCTCATCTCCAGACAGGTTTGCTTTGACCTCCCTGCCCATAAAAGCTGGCCAGTGCCCTTTCCAGGTACTCTGTCATATACCCTATTTCTTTCCTTGGTAGTACCCAGCACCATCTGCAAGTATTGGGTTTCTTTGCACATTTAGCATCTGTCCAACCCTTAGTATATCAGCTTTGCAAGAGCAAAGGTCACATCTATCTCAGCCTACCTCCTCCATACTCAGCACACAGCACAGCACCTGACCATAGGAAGCACTCAAGAAATGGGAGGAATGAAATGGAAATTATCTAAAATAAGGATCAAGATTGATACAGAAGTATTCATCTCAGTTTTACTTATTAATAGCAAAACAAAAACAAAACACCTGGAAACTATACTAATGCTCAACAATAGGAAACTGATTAGGATGCAGTACATTCAGAGCTGAAATTTTCTGCAGCCATTACAAATTATATTTGTGAAGATTTTTTTTTTTTTTTTTGAGATGGAGTTTTGCTCTTGTTGCCCAGGCTGGAGGGCAATGTCTCGATCTCGGCTCACTGCAACTTCCGCCTCCCGGGTTCAAGCGATTGGTCTGTCATTTTCAGACCCCACAGAAACACAGGTGCTCCTGCCAGGCCCCCGGGGACTGCCTCCAGGAGTCATTTGTAATGACAGGGTGCGTTCTGCGCACGGTTTCAGAGTCTGTCCAAAGGGCCAATGCTGGGGCTGGGGCAGAAACGGTCCAAGGCCTGTGAGCTGTGCAGCTTTATAGGCAAATGAAGATCGTTTACCCAGAATTGCCTGCTGGAGAGAGCATAGAGGAAGTGGCGGCAGCTTCACCAGTTCCAGGAAGCCCAGGCAGCCTGGTCCCCCAGGGTGCACCTGGCACAGCAGTTCGCACAGGGCCAGAGAGCGGCAGCTGACCGCTGCAACTACAGCTGGCCTGACACCGGGCACAGGTACCAGCCCAGCCCAGTCCCGCCCAGCGCAGCCTGCGGCCCCTAGCGGAGCCAGCACCTGGCAAACCTGACACCCAGCCTTGGAGCTTGGGCCCCCCTCTGCAGCTGGCTGGGGCTCCTGAGACAGCTTCTTTGTCGGAATCCACTCGGTACACACACGGTCCCTAACTTAGTGGCTGCCCAGTGAACATGGGGCTTAGTAGAACCAGTACCTTCCTCCCTGGCCCCTTCAAGTCTAAATATCCCCTGCTCTGAGTACAAGCTTCCACCTTCTCCACCGACAGACAGCCCCCACCATCTCCACCGACAGACAGCCCCCACCATCTCCACCGACAGACAGCCCCCACCATCTCCACCGACAGACAGCCCCCACCATCTCCACTGACAGATAGCCCCCACCATCTCCACTGACAGACAGCCCCCACCTTCTCCACTGATAGACAGCCCCCACCTTCTCCACTGATAGACAGCCCCCACCTTATCCACTGATAGACAGCCTCCACCATCTCCCGTGTCATCCCCTGGGGGGACTTGTAAAAGCAGTGGTGGGGGAGTGGGATGGAAACCCAGAGCTTCTGATCAGGCAGGTCGGGGGAGAGGGAGACAACACATCTGCACAGAACAAGGTCCCAGGGAGGCCGGCGCTGCTGGTCCAGGGAGCACCCCCCAGCACAGGCGCGTGCTTCCCTGATGGACACGTCACCGCCCTGGGCTCCAGAAAATGAATGTCTGACCCAGTGACCCCTGTCCTCACCCAAGGCCAACCTCACCCCAGAATGGGCTGGAATGCTGAGCCTGCCCATGCCGGCTCCAGATCCACCCGCCTCCCCACCATTGCTGGCCACAGAGAGAGGTCAAAATGGTCCGGAAACCCCAAGGAAAATGAAGCAGTTCCAGGGCAGGGAAGCAAAGGCAGTGTTTCCTTTTTTTTTTGAGACGAAGTCTCCCTCTTGTCGCCCAGGCTGGAGTGCAATGGTGCGATCTTGGCTCACTGCAACCTCCACCTCCTGAGTTCAAGCCATTCTCTCACCTCTACTTCCCGAGTAGCTGCAGCCTCTGCCTCCGGGGATCAAGTGATTCTCCTGCCTCCTGCCTCAGCCTCCTGCCTCAGTAGCTGGGATTACCGACACCTGCCACCACGCCCACCTAATTTTTGTATTTTTAGTTGAGACAAGGGTTCACCATGTTGGCCGGGCTGGTCTCGAACTCCTGACCTCAGGCGATCCACCAACCTTGGCCTCCCAAAGTGTTGGGATTACCGGAGTGAGCCACCGTGCCTGGCCAGGATGGTCTGCTTATAATGGCTCAATTTTGATGTCCAGTCTCTGCAGAGCACAAGGCCCCCGCTTTGGGCCAGACATACAGATGTCCCTGGGCAAGCACAGAGATGATCCCAAGGCCCTGGCCCCACCTGTCTGCTCAGTGTTGAATCAGGTTTCTGTGAAAACAAATTACTAACAGGCTGGTGTCACATTTTCAAATTCTGTCACCAGGCCTTGAACACATGTCTTTGTACTTTTTTCCATTTTTAACCGGGGCTGAGTTACGCCCAACCACACTGTCCTGGCTGGCACGGGGGAAGAGGTGTCAGCTGCTGTCCAGAATGGGGCTGACACATTCATTTTAAACAGGCCAGGAAGATGCAGATTTGGCAAGCTCTGAAATTTGCCGACACCCCAAGTCGAGGGTAAGCAGGAGAACCAGAAAAGGGCAGCTTCTCATGTGGTCAGGTTCTCCTGATGCAAGCGTCCTGGTGGATTTGGGTTTCCCAAGGGTCCTGACTCCAGGAGACCCCCAGGACCGACAGGAAGGGCCACCCCTCCCTCTGAAACTCTGAAGCCAGGCCACCCGGTGCTGAAATGCTGTGTGAACTCGGGAAAGTTCCTTCGCAGGGACTGAGCCTCCCTTTCCTGTCTCCAACAGACTGGAACACTGCCTCCCATTGTATGGGTGAAATACCTCGCGGACATGTCTTACGGCGCCCCATGAAAGCATCACCATTAATCTGACCAGTCACCGCAGCATTAGTATCTTCAGGGCACAGATGAAGCCGTGGGCACCAGTGATAAGGAGTTGCCACTGCTGGCTAAGTGCGGAGCCTCACACATCTGTGGCCCAGAAACCCACACCCCACTCCAAACCCTCTATAGCTCCAACAGTTATGCTAACAAGAAAAAGGAGTGAAAACCCGCTCCAGTTACGGTATTGTGGAGGTGGAGGACACTTGTGGCAGCCAATCCAACACCTCCATTTTATAGCTGGTGTAAACATAGTTCAGAAAGGTTGTCCCACTTGCTGAAAGTCACACAGCAGTTCCTGGGCGGCAAAGTGAGGACATCCAGGTCTCCTAAATCTCACCCTCGTGCTCTGCCCACTTGACTGGGCTTTTCAATCCTGGCTGTCAAAGAGAAGCACCAAGTCCACTTGGGCTCCTGGCCAGCATCCAGGCCAGTCCAACTCAACAGCAAGCGGAAGCAAATACCACACAATGAACTCGTTGAACAGACTCTGCGCTCAGGCTTAACCAGTGCACAGCCTGCACACCCGACAGGCGGATACAGCTGTTCCAAGCTAAGGCCAGGGCCTCTCCCCAATCCCAATGGGCTCTGCAGGTGCAGTGATGGAAGAATCCCTGGTGACAGGGAGCCCTTAGCTCTGAGCAGGACCTGAAGCCATCTCAGGGCTTGCACCGGTCCAGATGCTGCTGCACAAGTGCTACAGGGGCTCCTGCCCTGCCCTCCTCACCTGCCCCCTCACCTGTCAGGGATGTTTGATTCCTGGCTGGCCCCTCCCCTACCTGACCCCTGCCAAAGACCTACGCCACCCCAGGCTCCCAGCTCTGAAGCAAACGCCAGAGAAGTCAAGCGCCTGGCTGCGGGCCACACAGCTTGAGGGACTCAGAGCTCCAGGGACAGTGCCCGGGCCCTGCTCAGGCCTTCTGCAGAGGCTCTGGGCTCTTCCAGTTGACTCAGCTCACAGGGCCCCTACACGGTACCAGGTGAAGACACAGCCCCAAGAACTCCCAGGCTCTGAAGCCACACATGTGAGCTGTGGGCAGAATCCTGCATTGGCCTCCAGCAGCTCGAGAGCACAGGGACAAAGCTGGACTGGCCCCAGGGTCACCGTGGCCTTGGTTTTGTAGCAGCTGCAGTTTGAGCACGTACACCAAAAATAAAATTCTAAGCCCCCTAACTGACTGAAGGGACCCCTCCTATTGGCCAAAGGGATATTCCAAAGTTAACCTGAAAAACGAGCTCAGGTCATGATGGGAAGAAGGGTCACACAGGCCTTGTTATACCCCCTCCCTCTGGAATTCAGGTACAGCTGACCAGCACTAACATTCAAACACAGATCTTGGCCTGGCTCAGTGCCTCATGCCTGTAATCTCAGCACTTTGGGAGGCTGAGGTGGGCAGATCACGAGGTCAGGAGTTCGAGACCAGGCCGACCGACATGGAGAAACCCCATCTCTACTAAAAATACAAAATTAGCTAGGCATGGTGGTGGCAGGCACCTGCAATCCCAGCTACTTGGGAGGCTGAGGCAGGAGAATCGCTTGAACCAGGTTGCAGTGAGCCGAGATCATGCCACTGCACTCCAGCCTGGGTGACAAAAACAAAACAAAACAAAACACAATATTGGTCTCCACAACCTCCTGTCTTACCCAGATACTCCTTTCTATTGATTCCAGGTCTTTAGCTAATAACTCTTTCAACCAATTGTGAATCAGAAAATCTTTTGCCAGGCACGGTGGCCCATGCCTGTAATCCCAGCACTTTGGGAAGCCAAGGTGGGCGGATCACCTGAGATTAGGAGTTCAAAACCAGCCTGACCAACATGGTGAAACCCCTGTCTCTACTAAAAACACAAAATTAGCTGGGCATGGTGGTGCATGCCTGTAGTTCCAGCTACTCGGGAAGCTAAGGCAGGAGAATCACTTGAACCCAGGAGGCGGAGGTTGCAGTGAACTGAGATCACGCCACTGCACTCCAGCCTGAGTAACAAAAGCATCTCAAAAAAAAAAAAAATATATATATATATATATATAAAGAATAAAGAAATCTTTGAACCCACTTGTGACCAGGAAGCCCATCCCCACCTTGGAGTTGTCCCGCCTTTCTCGGCAGAACCAACAAATACCTTTCACATACTGACTGATGTCTGCCTGTAACTTCTGTCCTTGTACAAGGTATGAACTCCAGCTGTGGCCCACCCCCTGGGGCACATGTCCTCAGGGCCTCCAGGCCTTGGTCCTCACATTTAACTCCGGATAAATCTCTTCAAATATTTTACAGAGTCTAGCTTTCTCGTTAACAAGCAGCTCACACATATAGTGTCTCAGCAGTGACAGATGCTGGCCCACCCCGAGGTCAGGATGACTCAGCAGGGATCGAGTTTGCGGGCGTCACGCTCCAAGGCCCGGAATAGGAGGTTGGTGCTCATTCCTCACATAGTGGGCAAATCCTAGGGCAGGGGAGGGGCGGGCAATGCCAGAGAATGGTCCCCACCTGGGGCGGTCTGACGGCCAGGGATGCAGAGAAAGAGACGCCTCCCACGCTCCCGGAGGGCACGAGCTGTGGCCACCCCGGAGGGTCCGCCTTCCAGAGGGAGAGTTCAGGATTTGGCCACAATCAGGGAAGGAGACGCTGCGGGGGGGCCCTCCTGTTGGAAAAGGGCAGCGGCAGGAAGGGGGTGCTGCCACAGGGCCTCTGGGGAGCGCGCGGGCACACAGTACCAATCTGCGTGCATACACATGCCCTGTCCCTGCAGACGGGCCAGGCAAGGCCTGCCCATGGCCAGCCATCCAGGTGATGCTCCAGGGAGGGCCAGGCCTACTGGGGAGCAGAACCCTGTGGCTGTCCAGGATACCTGGATGTGAGTCTGGGAAGGATGGAGAAGGGTGGAGGAGCGCGAAGAGCCCCTAGGGGTTGCTGGGGAACACAGATGAGCCTCTGACCCACCTGTGTCCTTACCTGGGCCGACTGGGCCACCCAGTCTTGCTGACACCTCCCCAGACCCCTGGCACCCACCAGACTCCCCAGGCGTGGCTGTGTGCTCCCCTATGCCTGAAGACAAACGGTGGCCTCAGTGTAGAGGTGGGCACTGTGGCCCCTGGCTCCTGGCTTGCTCCTGCCTCAGTTTCCCCAGCTGTAAATTGGGGATTATCACTGGCTTCAAAGGCTGGAGTGGAAAGTGGTGGCCAAGAGGTGCCAAGAGGTGGTGCAAGCGTGTGCCCTACCTTGGACACCCCTCTCCAGGGGGTGGCTCTCACCCTGGCCTGGGCCCTCGGGGGTCTGCACAGCCCACCCTTCTGTGTGAAGGCGGCTGGTACACATTCCTGGGCAAGATTCTGCACATTCTGCTGGATTATGAAAGAGGTCTGTGACCCAAGGAAAAAGGGTCAGAAGTGCCCGTTAGGCTCTCCTGTGTGGCTCAGGTCATGTGCTTCTGTGAACTCGCCCTAGGGCCTTGCCCCGAATCCCGTGATGCAGCGTGACCTGCCCAGGCGCTGGCGGCACTTTCATGTCTGGCTGGGAAAGTCGGATTTCAGCACTAATCACTGGCTGCCGCCTGCAATGAGCCCACGGCTTGAGCTCTGGGGCCCACCCAGCTCCTTAAACACGCAGAACCTTTGCTAGCTGAGCCAGGGTCCCAGCTGTGGGGGGTTGGGGATGGAGGGGTGCAGGGATCCCAAAACCCAACCCGGGGCCAGGTTTTACACAGGCCTGGACTGAGAAGTGGGGCTACAGGCTACAGGTGCTTGATACCCCGGGGGGGCCCTGGAACAGGCCTGGACTGAGAAGCGGGGCTACAGGTTACAGGTGCTGGATACCCCAGGGGGGTGCTGGACACACCAGGGGGGCGGATAGAGGCAGCCAGGCAGCCTGAAGACCCTGGGGCAAAACACACACAGGCCCCCTCTGCTCTCTGGTCACTGCTAACTGGCCAACTGGCCTTTGAGTCCACTGACCACAGCTAAGCCCACAGCCATCAAAACCCACCCCTTACACCCTTCACCCTTTAGGGAGGGGCTCAGAGACAGTTGTGGCGATTCCTACTTCCACCCACAGCCCCCCGACCCTGGGCCTGTGCCGAGTGTGGGTGGGTGACATCATCTTGCACCCAGAGCTCCAGACTAAAGGAAACCCTGGCTCCTGTCTCTGGCTCTTCCCTCCCTCTCTTTGTTCCCTTGCTCCTTTCTTTTTGCCAAAGGAGAAGACAGTGAGGCTGAGGGCTGCTCAACATGCACAGTGAGCAGGAGATACAAGCACGTGGAGGGACGGTCACAGCCCGTGCAACTGGCACCTTCACACACGGAGGCCTGTGATTCCCAGACACCTGGCGCTGGGGCAAATCCCATTCCACAGCCAGAAACAGGCTCGGCAGGGCCAGGTGGATTTCTCAAAGCCTTGGTTGCTTTTGGCCTGACGCTAGCTGGACAATGTCTCAGCTCACAGGTTCCTAAACGCACACCCGCCCACACCAATCTGCTGAGGAGTGACAGCCATGGGGAGGAGACCCACCTCACTCCAGGGACCCTGGCACCGTCTCCCATGAGGCCAGGTGTCCTCAGCCACCCGCAGCCAGAGTCCCGCGAGACCGATGGACGGCCTGCCCCTGCGTGACGGCACGCCTGGGACTGTCCCAGCAGGCTCCCATGCTTCACCCAACTGGGACAGGGAAACAGGAGGGGGCTACTTCTGCTTTCAAGGCATGGAGGAGCTGTCTGCAGGCCACTTCCCGAACACCTATGCGCTTGGGGAACTGACTGAGACTGAGCCGGGGTATCTTCTCCACGATGTGGTGAGCCCATCAGGCCCTTCTTCTGAGAGCACCTCCCTGGAGGTGGAAGCCCCTGAGGCCCACAGCATCTTCTGAACCTGTGAGTTCCCACTTACTGAGAGCTCGCCTGGGCCAGTGCCAGTCCACGGCTGTGGCCGGGACTTTGAGTAGATGCTACCCTACTTGCTATGCAGAGCCAGCTGGGGCCCAGGGAGGTCAGATAAACTGCCCAAACCAAATCCAGGCCCAGCCAGAATCTCAACTCCAGCCTTTGCGCCTTCTGATAAAACCCAGCATTGCTTGAATTTCCAGTACACGCTGCCAAGTCTTCATCAAGCAATAAATAACCCACACAACCCTACTGTCATGCCAAGTTCCATATGGCCATCCAGAAAGAGACACATGGAGCTGGTTCCTCTCATCTTTATGACCCGTGAAAAGCGCACCAACACGAAGACACGCGTGAAAGGACCTCATCTCCTAACCAGACTGACAAGCAAGGGATTTTTTCCACTCACCGTCAGTGGGATGGTTCTAAGCACCGAGGCCAACCCATTTCACACGATTATTTCACAAAAAGAAACTTTCTGTGGGACGTGCCTGGGCGACTGAAAAGACAGCCAGCAAAACTGAGAACCTTGTTCGCAAATCCGTACCCTCTCCCAAGGCAGCCTCAGAGGCCCGAGGGCTGAGGATCCAGACCCGAAAGCCACTGTACCTTCTGTAGGATCAGGCTCAAGGACTAAGGGGGTAAAAGGTGCCCTTTCCCTTCCTAAGCAGAAAATTCTGGAACCCAACCTTATGTGTGATCATTTAAAAAAAAAAAAAATCAGCTGGGTACACTGGCTCACGCCTGTAATCCCAGCACTTTGGGAGGCCGAGGTGGGCGGATCACCTGAGGTCAGGAGTTCGAGACCAGTCTGGCCAACATGGAGAAACCCTGTCTCTACTAAAAAATGCAAAATTAACCAGGCATGGTGGTGCATGCCTGTAATCCCAGCTACTCGGGAGGCTGAGGCAGGAGAGTCACTTGAACCCGGGAGGCAGAGGTTGCAGTGAGCCGAGATCGTGCCATTGCACTCCAGCCTGGGCAAAAAGAGCGAAATTCCATCTCAAAATAAATAAATAAATAAATAAATAAATAAATAAATAAATAAAATAAATCACTTTCTATGGCTTTTCACTGCTCCAGGAACAATGTCCACAGATCAAACGCCGAGCCTCTCCTTCACACCCTGGAGCGCCCATCCTGCCCACTGGTCCGGGCTCCAGGCTGCCCCCTGCACCTGTCAGAAGTCCCCCTACAAGGGCAGGGTCTCCCTTCCTGGGACATCCACTGCCCTTCTCCGAGCTGAAGTCAGAACGACCTGAGAATCAGCTTGGAGTTCTACCAGACTCAGCCAAGCCCACCTCTGCGACAGCACTCCTTTCAAGGGGGCACCAGCTGCAGGGAGTCTGTCCCTTACAGACCCGTGACCCCGTGACAGATGAATAAAGTACAGACACACAGATATTCTGCTCTGCCAGTCCAGCTGAGTGTTCCAGCCGCTTATAGGCTCCCTGCTGAGTCCTGTAAACAGTTGCTACTTGGCCCTGATCAGCTAGTCAGACGCGCATTTATTCAGTATGATTAATTAACAAAAGCTTGAGTCAACACCATTAGAGTGTAACAGACATTGTGGACTTACCGGGTAAAAAGCATTTAAGCACCCAGGGTCTTAAGATTATATGAGTAAACAAGCTAGCTAGGTAAACTACTCTGCCTTTCTTTTATTTCTATGTTTATTTGTTTAACTAAAGGTAAAGGGATCAGGCCGCCTTCAGCCAGAGCTAATTACCAAAGTTATGCCAACTTCTCGGCCTTCCAAGATTTGTGTCTATTTCTATAACTACCTCTAATATCTTTCCCACCAGAATGATTGAACCCCAACACACCTCCCTCTCTCAGCAGGGTCTGCCTGTTCAGAGAACACAACTTCTCCTTCTCGCCTTACACACAGGGGCAAGAATAGATTCACTCTTGCAGAGAGCACATCCCTTTCTGTTACTGAAAATCACTTTCCAAAAAAAAAAAAAAAGCAACACATACACACATACTCACCACATACACAGGTGGGTCAGAGAAAAAAAACAAGTACAAATGGCTTAGGGACATGAGAAGTGTGGCCCTAACTTTCGCTGAAAGGGATCCTATTAACATTAACCCTCACCTCTGGGTCAGAAGGGTTGGCACTCTAGAGCCTGCCTTGAGGCTTTACCTACTGGGACCAAAAGGACTGCTGGAAAGCTATTTTAGGCCGGGTGCGGTGGCTCAAGCCTGTAATCCCAGCACTTTGGGAGGCAGAGGCGGGTGGATCACCTGAGGTCAGGAGTTCAAGACAAGCCTGGCCAACATGGTGAAGTCCTGTCTCTGCTAAAAATACAAAAAATTAGCTGGGCATGGTGGGCACCTGTAGTCCCAGCTACTTGGGAGGCTGAGGCAGGAGAGTCACTTGAACCCGGGAGGTGGAGGTTGTAGTGAGCCGAGATCGCGCCATTGTACTCCAGCCTGGGTAAGAGCAAAACTCCATCTCAAACATAAAATAAAATAAAAATAAATAAATAAAAATACTTTTTAAAGCCCTATTACCACAAAATAAATCCAGGAACGTGTGACTTGGTACAGCCTCTTTGGAAGGCACATTAGCTATTACATTAGAATCCACACCCCGCCGGGTGCGATGGCTCA